>NC_000003.12:133705574-134008604 GCF_000001405.40 Homo sapiens
GAAGAGGGTAAAATGGGCTTGCAGAACCTTAACCCACTGATACCCAATGATACCTTGCTCATATTATTATTGACTATTGAGATTGAGAAGCTCCTGACTTTGGATGGAGTAATGTGAGGGTTTAATGTCATGTACCTTGATTGTTTTTCTTTTTCTTTTTAGAGCAGTTTAGGTCTAAGTGTGTGAATTTACCCATGGAAGGTGAGTTAGAATCAGTAATACTGGCTCAAAGGTAAAGGCCCATTGTTGGGGAGAGGAAAGCTTAAAAACAAATAAAAATGACTGGAGGTGGAAAAAAATTCACAGTTAATTGTTAAGATGCAAACCTATCCTGGGGTGTAATAATACTATTTGCAGGGCACTTTATAGTTGGCAAAGGACTCCTGTTTGCACTATTCCTGTTCCCTCTTCTCAGCAACCCTGGAGTATGTGGGCATTGTTGTCTCATGTTATGGAGCTGGAGTCTGAGACTCAGGGACTGAGTGACTTGCCCAGGGCCACACTGCCAGGAGGCGGCTGCACCTGGGTTTCAGAAGAGGAGGAATGGCTGGAAACCCCAGGCCCTTCCTGGCACCACACTGCGCCTGAGCACATGCTGCCTGCCCATCTCTGTGTGAAGGTCCACACTGGGGCCCATTCCTGGCATTTCTGGACTAAGTAGAGACCTCACGAGAGAAGGAGATTCATAGATGCTGATAATGAAGATGAGGAGGAAAATAAAATCCACCTTTCAGCTTTTAGCCAGCTGGAGCTTGATGGCAGGGGAGTTGATCAGTCTTTAGAGTAGAAGACCACCACTAGGAGGCAAGTTCCTCCGTTTTGTGCCTCCAGATAAGCAGAGAGGGTCTGTCTCTAGTACCTACTCCTGGAAAATGGATAGAACAGTGGTTCTCAGGTGTAGTCTCTGGACCAGCAGCATCAGCATCCCCTAGGAGTTTGTTGGGAACAAAAATTCTGGGGCTCCATCCTAGATCTGAGTCAGAAGCTCTGAGGCTGGGGCTAGCAATCTATGTTTTAACAAATTTAATGCGCATTATGGTTTGAAAACTGCTGTGATAGAGAATTCCCTGAGGTGAAAACCAAGTGCATACTTGGGTTTAGAGTTTCTTCTGAGGCAGGAGGGCTGGGGAAGTTGAGGGATTTAGAGCATCACAGCACAAGGAGCTGTGGTCTCTGTCCCCTGCTGAGCACTGGGTCATAGGACCCTGCACAGCCCACCCTGCACAAAGGCCACTGGAGTGCAAAGTTGAGGCATCATTTCCCTGCTCACCTGCAGCAGCTCCCCTTCCTGTGTGGCAGGACCCCAGCCCGGGGATATGCTGTACCTCATCCCTCTCTGCTGTCATGTCTAAGAAGCCTTCTTTAAATTGTGTCTTCATCCCTAATCCTGAAGTCCAGCAAACAATCTTCTATCTGCTATGTATTCTATTCTGATCATTTATAGTCAGAAACAACCCTAACTGCTTCAAGAGTAGTTGACATATTCAGAAACTGCAATGATACACAAATGTAGATCAGCAAGCATACTTAGAGGATGGTTTAGTCACCAGCAGAGTGACTGACTGTGATGGAGAAGGTGCCATCTGAGTAGAGAGGGGGAGAGTTAACCTCAGAGTCACACACACACACACACACACACACACACACACGCATGGAAAGATGGATGACAATAATGAATGCCATAGGTACAGAAATAGTGGCATTGAAGGAAGGCACTATGACAGCATTTGGCTACCAGACTGGTGTCATGGACCGCAGTGTGGTAGGCAAGGGCTTGCCATGGCCTCAGGAGAACCTGCTTCACTGGGAGGGGCCTCCAGTCCTGCTTCTGCACTACTGCTGGAAAGCCACCTCCCTAACCTGCTCTTCCCATTCCTGATTTGCCTGTGCTCATATCTGCACCTCTGATCCCCATCAGTCACTCCAGGAGGGGTTCCACTGCCACCATTTAACTGAAGAAAAATTTAGGCTCCTAGATGATAAGGACGTGTCTGAGGTCACCTAAGAAGGACAAGACGGACCTTCCATCTGCCATGTTGACTCCCAACTTCTCCAAGTTTGAATTTGTAGAGACCTGATCTACAACACAGAGAAAAGGTGTGTACGTGGGGAAAGCAGGGAGTGGTGAGCCGCATTATCGTCTAATTCTAAAAATTTATGATTCAAATCTTATGATTCTTTTCAGTTTGCAGTTCAACCTAACTCAACAAGCACAATTCAGTTATATAGTATTGGCACTGGAATAAATGAAATATTCATGATATTCTCATTAGAATCAGGAGCAAGGCAAGAATGCCCACTCCCACCAAAGACATTCAGCATTATATTGGAAGTAAATGCAGTAAGATAAGAAAAAGAGTTGGGTTTTTAAATATTGGGAAAGAGAAAAGAGATTAAATTGTCATTATTAGAAAATATTATTGTAAACCTAGAAAATCAGAGACTTAACATTAAAAAATAACTCATTAAAGCTTTCTTTTGAACTTATATTCAACAGAAAAACTTAAACAAGTGCATACTCATAATTACAAACATTTATAGAAATAAATGGGTTTTAGTAGGGGAAAATGGGCCACAATAAAAATACCTACTAGTATAGATATGATACATCCATATATAATAAGATATAACTTAGATTCAGCCAAATAAAAGAATGATGTAGCCATATCTATCACTACTGAATCAAAGAAGTGTCCACAATATATTATTGAGGAGGAATAAAGCAACTCACAGAAAATAATGCAGCAAGACTCCGTCTCAAAAAAAGAGAAAATAATACATAGCAAGATTCTATTGAAAAAGTACAGTGTATGTAAATATATGTGGGTGCATGTATGTAGACATAGCTAGGGAGCAGTAGTGTTAGTCTGTTTGGCTCAGTTCCTAATAATGGTAGCTATTGGGAGGGTCCTCTACTAGAGTAACATGAGGGGTTCAAGATATTCCCTCTCCCCAGGGAGAGTGACAGGCAGGGGCTAGCAGCAGTAGCTCTAAAATATATTTTCAGAGTGCCCTGGAGGTCTGATAATAGTATCTTGGCACCCCTTCCACTAATATATATATGTAAATATGTGTGTGCAAACATATATATATAATTTATAATGTGTGTATTTATAAATATGTATACTTATATGTATATATGTATAAATACATAGTATATAAGTAAATACTATATGTATATATTTAAATGTATAGGTTTTTTTTTTTTTCCGAAAGAGCAACTTGCTGCCAGCAAAGTCTTCTCTGAGATGGTCTTGCTGTCTGCTTGAAAGGACAGACAGAGTACATCACTGAGGGGTCAGTAAAGAAATGAAGCACTATTTTAAGCAGGAAGGGATTTAATACAGGGAATTAAATGTTAACAAAAAGTGGACACTAGGTTCCTGGAATGACTCCCACCCATAGTGAAAGAGAGCTGACTCCCTAGGAGACCTACTACCTGCAAGACCTCTACTAGTACAGTGATTTCAAGACACATCCTGTAGCTGTGACCAAGGGATAGGAAGCCAGAATTGATAGTGGCTGCTGCTGCTGCATTTGCTGTAATAGCTTCTAATCCTCTAGGATGGAGAAGGGATACTAGAGATCTGGACAGAAAAACCTAACATCTCCAAGAATTTATTTCCTAGCAGAAAAGAGGTGAGGGGGAAGGCAAAGACCTCTATGTGACTTCCACCTTCCAAATTTCACACATCCTTTTACACTAAGAACACAGCTGCAAGGAAACATTGGAAGTGTAGTTTCCATATTTCCAGCCAGAAGGGGGACAGGATGGAAATGGAGAATACCAGCTCCAGCATAGCCACCATATGGAGATGGCATTTAATGGCCCGGTGCAGGAGGGCTGGCCAGATCTCACTGGATCGTACATTCTTCCTCCTCCTTCCCCTTCTCTCCCTGAAAAAGAAGAAATTGCATCTTGGTATTTCAATTTCTAGGCTATTATGTCATGGCTGTGGTTAAGAAATCAGATGCTGATGTCACCTGGAACTCTCTTTGAGGCAAGAAGTCCTGCCACACTGCAGTTGGCACTTCTGCAAGCTGGAACATCCCCATGGGCTTAATATACAATCAAACCGGGTCCTGTAAATGTGGTGAGTATGTTCTGGGAGGTGTTGTGGCAGTTCATTCCCTGTGCCTGTGCCTGGGTAAAGGAGAAATTCAGTTTGATGAATGGCAGAAAATGCCATAAATGGGTGGTGAGCTTAAGAGCTTGACAGAAATTGTGGGCGAGCCTCACATCTCCTTGAGCAGGTCCTCCTCCTTCTCATCCTTTTGCTTCTGAGGGAAATACCTTGGCCCAAAGGGCAGATCTCAGGGAAATAGCTCTATTTTTGATGTCTCACAAATGGCTCAGGGAACAAGCCTGGGTTCGCAAAGCAAGACCAGCCTGGATGCGTTGGTGAGCGCGAGTGTGTTGTTTTCACATATAAACCGAAATGGCTGCCTTCTTAATTGGAAACCTTCCACCAGTAAGTCCTGGAGTGCTGTTTTTCATGTTCATCCTCATCTCTCCCATCCAAGTACTAGCAAGGCCTGACCCTGCTTAGCTTCCAAGATCAGACAAGATCAGGCGCATTCAGGGTGGTATGGCCGTAGACCATCCTCATCTCTCTTAGATGCATTCATCATTTCAGCTATGCTCATGCCACTACCTAAGAGGCTCCTGCTCCTCTGCTTTCCCCAACTCTCTGAAAATCCCAGCCCTGACTGAACCCTATTACCTGCTCTCTTTTTTACCTGAGCAGCTGAACGTGGCTGGAGAGCGTCACAGCGCGGCAGAGCAGTTTGTGTCACTGGAATGCTTCAGGCACTGTCGTTGGTGTGCCCCCAACATTTACAAGCGCCCCCACCACTTCTCTGCTCCACATGCCACATTTCCCGGTGATTCTCCTAATGTCCTAATTGTCCACACACCTCAAACCCACACCATCTACCACCTTTCTTAGCAGACCATTTCACCTGCACCTGCAGGAGACAAAGAAACCATCAGAGAAGTTTCTCTTAACATCCCCCTGCCAAAACTGCGGGCCTCCTGGGGGCTGCACCTCCCCACCTCCTCCCTCCGCAGCCAATCCCTCTACCTGCACTTGGGTGCGGGTCACTCCCATGTTCCCTTCCATGGTCTCAACCCTCAGTTATTACTTCTCCTTCTGGTGTGTCCAACAATTTCTCTCAACATGTAAACACACCGAATGTTTTCCATCTTTAAAATTGGCCCCCCCACAACATTCTCCTGCAGCTCCTGCCTTCCTTCCCTCCTCCTCTTTAAGGCCAGAGTGATCAAAGTGTTGTTGGAACCACTCCCCTTCCACTCACTCTTCAACTCCCTGCCGCCTGGCTCCTCTGCATCACTCCTCAGGAAGGATTCTGGTCAAGCCACCAGTGGCCTCCATACTGCTCAGTTGGAACGATGTGCTTCTGTTGCTTCCCCCATGACCTCTCAGCAGCATTTCCTCATTTCGCCCTAAAATAATATCTCCTGGCTTTTATGAAAACACACTGGTTTGTTTTTCTTCTATTCTCACAAGGTCCCCATTTCCCAATCTAGTTAAGAAACGTTTGCGTTGCTAAATGAAACTCTTTTTCCCAATCTCAACGGAATCCCCAAGCACTCACATCCATGCCCACAGCCTCAATTGCCATCCAAAGGGGTGTTACACAAACAAAGCTAGGCACATGATAAGCACTAGGTAAATGCTTTTTATCTATCTCTGTGTTGATAATTGTCAACACAGATCTCTCAACACAGATCCCCAACACAGATCTCTCCTTAGCCTCCAGACATGTATGTATTTAACTGCCTATTTGACATCTCTAGATGGATATCTCAAAAGCACACTAAGCTCATCCTGTTCAAAACTGAATGCACCATCCCTGCCGAGCCTGGTCCTTTTCCAGAACTACCTGGTGTGGTGGAGGATCCTACAGTCCATCCTCTTGTGCCCACTGGAAGCCTCATCCTCCGCATAGCCATCTATCTCCAGGGGTGCCAATTTCTCCTCCTTCCACTCATCTCCCTCCCCTTTGTGCTCCTCTAGCCCCAGCTGCCCTCATTTCCCCTGAACTTCTCCAGGAGCCTGCCACCTGAACTCCACATCCGCTCTGGTTTCCATCCACCCTGTTGCCAGGCCAATCTTTGCAAAGTGCAGATATGACCATATCCAGCTTACTGCCCCTGGCCCAGCATTGTCTAAAACCCTTCACAGACTTCTCATCTCTCTAACGATAAAGAACAAAACTAATGACAGTAAAAGGGTCTGGACCCTGCCCCCCACTGCACTCACCGTCATTTTCTTGGTGGTTTAGTCCTGAAGGCCTCCATGAGGCTCTCTGTGCCGTGCCTCCACCCCACCCCAACACAGGCCTGTGCAGATGCTGGTCCCCTGTCTGGAGGGCTCTTCCCCTCCACTCTTCACTTGGGTAACTCCTACTCACTCTTCATGTCTCGGCTTAAACCTTCTCCCTGACCCCTAGGGCTGCAAGGGGCTCTTTTATTGTAGCTTCATGGAACCCTATAATTTTTTCCCAGAGCAAAGAGGGAAACATGAATTTACTGGTGTGGTTACTTGAGTTCTGACTATCGCCCTACAGGCTGCAAGTTTTCAAGAGGGCAGAGCCTGTGTCTGATTTCCTCATGGTGGTGCCCTGGAGCCCAGCACAGGGCTTGGCAGCTGTGCCTCTCTAGACTCTTCCTGGACTTGAAGCTGTGATGGCACACCTTGTGAAAAAGGGCAATGGCAGCAGAGCCCAGAAAACATGTGCTCCGGGTTCTGCGAGCCAGGACTTCTCTTTTGTCCCCTCACTGTTAAACTCTGTGTCCATCTTTCGATGCCACTGCCCTGTGCTGGGATGGAGTAGACCCCTGTGAGCTCACAGACCCTTGATCCAACTTGAGTCAGTTCCCCTTTACTTAGCTCCAGCTGGAACCTTTTTTTTTTAATTCCATAAAGTCTTGCTTTTAATAATATGTTACAAATAACTGAATGTGTCTTTATCAGGCAATTTTGGGGACAGAATCTGAGGCTTTCTTGCTAACACAGGCAGGGAGGGCTGATCCTGACCTCTGGTTGTCCTTTCTCGCAGATGATTTCTTCAGTCGCAGTTGTGCCCCTGGGTCTAATCCGGATTCCCCTCTCTGTGCTCTGTGTGGTGGCAGGTGCAATCCTGCCCACATATGGGCTTACAACAGCCAGGAGAGATACTACGGCTCCAGTGGGGCTTTCAGGCAAGTAATGTCTGTGCACCACCTTTATCTTTGCACCAAGCCAGTACATTTCTTGTCCTGTCACTTCTTCCATCATCCCAGCATCTGGCTGCTGCATTTGGAAGGAGCCAGAATCTAGGAAACAGAACTACTGCAAACTTTGAATGGCTCCAATGACTCAAGTCCTGCTCTTCTCTAGGGCACTCTCCTGCAGACCCAGATGATTTAGGGCACCTTAGGGCACCTAGGGAGAAGCAAGAATGATGGCGGCAGAGTCACAACTCTAGTTCTACTTTTGCCACTTTCTTCTGTGTGACTGTGGACAAGTCAAGAATCCATCAGAGCCTTGGTTTAAAATCACAGGGGGGACACCAGACACCTCACTTCTTACACTTGGCTGGTAAGTATATTTTAAAAATAGATATTCCTGGGCTCCTCCATCCATTCAAGAAATATTTATTGAGCACCTAATAGGTATTGTTCTAACTAGAGGTGTTACAGCAGTTAAGCTGTTACCAACCATGGGTTGTTGGGCTCTCAATGCAATAGAAATTGTCATAAGGCCAAGATAGTTTTCCCAGACAAGGCTTTGTTGGAGCTTATGCCCAGGAATATGGGAGGCAACACAAGAGAGAGAGAATTTTCTGGCTGGCTCCCCAGAGGGTGTTGAAAAGGAAGTTGTAAAGGGGCCGCGGTGAGAAAGGAGTGATGTCTAGGAATGTAGAGGCAGGGAACTTTTAGCACCTCCACAGTTTGATGACATGCTTCTTCATGCATCGCTTGTCTTATAAGCATGTTACATCTCCACCCCTGGGTGTGATTTTTAGTATTATAATGAAGCTAAAGTTAAGGATCAGTCATTCTCCTGGCCTTGCGTGCATGTGGGAGATAGTAAGATTTATGGTGGGAGCTGCTGCTTTTAGCTTCCTCAGGGTCCGGCAGTCAGCAGGTATGGCTCCTTGAGCAAGGTTTATGTTGCAAGGTCTGGAGGGGCTGGTTGGGGTCCCTGCCACCCATGGGGCCTCCCCTCTACCAGTTTGCAGTGAGGTCCTTGGTGGGGTATGGGGGGTACCAAGTCCTGTCCCTCTTCTGTCTCAAAGCCACACATAATACCTGTCCCTCCCCTGCTCCCAGTCTTCTGGGGAAAGTAGGACAACAGCACATAAATAAAGGGCAGGATACTTTCCAACTGTAAGTGCTACTGAGGAACCAAGGGAGGTGATGCATCAGCAACCAGTTTTAGAAATTTCAGAAAAGGTGGTCAGGGCAGGCCTCAGCAGGCAGAGGGGTCATGTGGGAATCAGGCCTGAGAAAACCTGGAGGAAGAGCAACGTAGGATGAAGGAACAGCAAGCACAAAGGCATGGGGGCAGGGCAAGTCATGCTGTGTGGAGGCCAGAGAAGAAGGTCTGTGGATGAGGGCACAGAGAGAGAGGCACTGGCTGTCTCGGAGCCCTGTTGGCCTGGCTAAAGACGTAGATTTAACTCTAGGTATTGTGGGCAGTGCTGGACCTTTGAGGAAGCAGGGCAGTGCTGTATGAATGAGTTATGTGAACAATGTATGAGGCTCTAGAAAGTTCTCTTTTATTCATAGACACCAGGGTATTCCACTACCAGACTACTTTGTCCTGCCCTCTCCAAAGTTTTCTCTCTTTCATAAGCCATGCATAAATTACATATTTTCACAGATCTACAACAACATATACTATTATTACATTAAATCTGGATGAAATTGCTTAATTTTTCTTTACATCAGAAGGTGCATTGGTGTTAGGCTTGATGGTCTGTCTAGAACCACAACTTCTTCCAAAATGAACATACACATAAAAAGCAGTCTTAGCTTCAGACCTCTCATTCTCTCCATCTCCTACCTGTCTTTTCACTTCCTTGAGTTGTTTTTTTGTTTGTTTGTTTGTTTTTTTGATGGAGTCTTGCTCTGTCACCTAGGCTGGAGTGTGGTGGTGCGATCTCGGCTCAATGAAACCTCCGCCTCCTGGGTTGAAGCAGTTTTCCTGCCTCAGCCTCCTGAGTAGCTGGGATTACAGGTGCCCACCACCACACCCAGCTAATTTTTGTATTTTGAGTAGAGACGGGGTTTCACCATGTTGGCCAGGCTGGTCTTGAACTCCTGACCTCAGATGATCCACCCGCCTCGGCCTCCCAAAGTGCTGGGATTACAGGTGTGAGCCACCACACCCAGCCCTTTAAGTTTCTTGACTCCTCTAGCCATTCACTCCTGGCTGACCTGTGATCTATCAATCCCGCACCTTTCCCCGTGGTCTTTTTTTCCATCCTTTCTGAGCATACATTTCACAATCAACTGTGCCTGCACTTCCAGCCTGGCTGGTTTCCCTTTAAGTGATGAGGACCTTGTTAAATGAGCCATGTATCTCTAGTCCTCCCACTACCCCATTTCTCCTAGAAGACAATTCCATACTTTCTCCTCTCCTTAAGCCTCCAACACTTCTTCCCCCACCTTTCATACCTTTGTTTCCTATTTCTCCTAAGAAAAGAAATCGAAAGATAAATTCTACAACACCCTGCTGCCATATCTACCCACATGCCAGCATCTGTGGCCCTAGTCACTGCCTTCCCTCCTCCTACTGGGGTGAACTGGCTGTCTCCTCGCTAAGTCCTGTCCTGCACCGGTTCAGGATTGTTGCCCTGGCAGTTCTCCCTTTTTCTGTGGCAGCATCAAATCTTCTTCTCTACTAGATCATTTCCATCAGCATACAAAACATGCTGCTATGTTTTTCCATCTTAAACACAAATAACTAAGTAAAACCTCTCCACCTCACTTTCCTCTCCCATTTCTCCTCTTCTTTTTACAACAAAATTCCTTGAAAGAGTTAAATATCTTTGCTAACTCATATTTCTCCCCTTTAAATCTCCCCAGGACCCAGTTTAAGAATCTGTTCAGGCCCCAAACTGCCAACATGGAGTTGGTTTTATTATTGTTTTTCAATGATCTACAGAAAATATACCTCTTTATTGTCAGAGTATGGGCAGACTACTCCCACCACTCCAACCCCCTTGGTACACCACCGACCACTGTGGAGATGAAACTATACCAGTGATCTCTGTTGCTAAATCGAAAGGCCAGTTCTTGGTCCTTGTGTTGTTGCAGGATTTTTAAGGAATCAGCTTACACACTCTTTAATTTCTTTTAATTCCTGTTCCAGTGTTAATTGATCTACCAGCATCACTGGCAGCCCCCATCACTTCCTCCTCTTGGATTTCTTCCCTGGCTTCTGGAATACCACACTCTCTTGGATTCTCCCTTCCCCCTCCTGACACTGCACCTCAGTCTCTTTTGCTGGTTCTGTCCACTTCCCCAGCCTCTACATGCTGGCATGACTCAGGGCTCTGTACTTGGAGTTCTTCTCTCTGCTGCCCATTCTCTTGGTGGGTTTATCTCTGTATGCTGACAATTCCCAAATTTAACATTCTAGTTCTGACATTTTCCTGAAACCCCAGACCTGTAGATCCAGCTGCCTACTGGCTATCTCCACTTGGATTTCTAACCACCATCTCAAACTTAAATGTCCAAAACTGAGCTCCTGAAACTCCATACACTCCCACCCAAGTGCTGCATCCTGTAGCCCACCTCATCTCAGTTAAGGGCAACTCTATTTTTCATTTTGGAAAAAATGTCAATACCTTGCTGCTTTCTGTGCCTGCCCTTGTTCTCTCTCACCCCATATCTCGTCCATCACCAAATTATATTGGTTGTACCTTCTCAAGGTATCCAGAATCGATCTCTCTGCCCATCTCCACTGATACCATTCTGACCTAAACCACCATCGTCTCTCCCCAGATTTTTATCATAGCCCCTTGACAGGTCTCCATGCATCTGTCTTGTCCCACTCTCCTCCACAACACATGAGCCAAAGTGATTCTGTTAAACTTAAAGCATTACATTAATACTTCTCTGCTCAAAGCCCACCAGTGATTTCCCATATCACTCGGAGTAAAAGTTAAGGTGCCTCTTTGATCTGTAAGGTTCTTTGTAATCTAAGAGGCCTTTGCAACCTCATCTACTTCTTTCCCTGTGCACTCTCTGCTCCAGTCAGCTTGGCATCTCGGCTGTTCCTTGAAGACCTCAGGCACACTCCTTCCCCGGGGACTTTGCACTTGGTCCTACCCCCATCTGGAGTGCTTGTCTTCCTCAGATCATCATGGCTAGTTTCCTCATTTTATTTAGGATTTCTCAGGGCAGACTTTCCTGGCCACTCTGTAATTTTCAACCTATAAACACACATGCTTGCACATACCCTTGCCAATACTTCATATCCCCCTTTCTTGCTTTATGTTTTCTTTAGCACTTATTACTCTCTAGCTTGCTATATATTTTCTCTACTTACCTTGCTTCGTGTCTCTTTTCTTCTGTAGAATGAACAAGGACCCCGTTGGTTGTAAGTGAGAAAACCTCATGTGAAGCAGCTTACACCAAGGGCACTGTCTTGACAGGTGCTCTGGGTGCTCCCTCCTTGAAAGGGCTGATACCTGAGCCTAGGAGGCCAACGAAAATTCTTTAAGGGTAGGGTTGCCACATACAATTCAGGATGTCCAGTTAAATTAGAATTCCAAATAGACAACACATGATTTTTTAATATAAGGGGATACACTCTGCTTCTCCCGTCTGCTTGTCTTTCTCTGCACATCTGCCTCATTGTTCTTCTCCCCTGCAGGGTGGGTTTTGGTTTCTCAGGCTACCTGGAGGGAAATGTTTGCAACCAGCAGTCCCAATGTTGTTACAGTTCATCAGTTATAAAGGAGCAGTCAAACAAAGACCATAGTGTATTCGTCCCAATGCTCAGGAAGGGGGATTGACACAACAGTCTGGGCGAAAGCTTCCTGTTCACACAACTCATGCAGTGAAGTCACATTGTAAGGTGACAGCTGCCTCCACTGTGACCACATGGATTGAGGCGGCTGGGGTGGGGGGAGTTGGTTCTCAAAAAAGTAACAATGCTTGAGGGACCAAACAAGGACTGAATACACAAAGGGAATTTTGTTTTCCTGGATACAAAAATCACATTATAATGATGTAATAATGGTTTAAGGATGGTTTAAGTGCAAGAATGACAAATAAGTGGAAAAGAATTGAGGTCCAAGAGAGATTCATGGATATATTGCCATTTGGTCACAAATGGTGACATTTCAAATCACTGGGGAAAGAATGAACTTGAGAGACCCAATAAAATATATGCCAAGAACTGGCCCCTGTGCTCCCTGATGGGAGCACGTTTAATCATGAGTGAGTCCTGGACGCTGGATGGGCAAGGGTCCAGGAGAGTGGTGGGAAGGGAGAGTGGTGGGAAGGGGTGCTGATGGTGAGTGAGGATGATTTCTTTTAGGTATTTGTATGAGTGGGAAGAGAAGCCCATTGCTGGAGAATAGGGTGGGATAAATGCAGGGTTTGTTGTTTTTGTAAAATGAAAAGACATAAATGTGATGAAAAGGGCCCAGTGAACAGGGAAAGGTTCTAATTGAGTAAGAGAAAGAGTATAGCTGTAGCATAAGGTTGCCAAGAGTGAGGGCAGGGTCCCTGGTGAGGACATGTTTGCTGGGAGGGAGACCTTCCCTCCTCTGTACCTGGACGGCAGAAGAGGGCACTGGAGATGCAGGCTGGCAGATCTGTTGGAGGGATGCTGAGAAAAAGCCACATAATGAATTCTGTGTTTTCTCTGGGAAGCAGGAGCACAGGTCAGTGTATGAATGTTGTGGGGTAGGGGGATGTGGAGAGGCAGAAGTTTGTGGAAAGTGGGAAAATGTTTGCTCTACAGAGCAGGGAGGCAGCTGTCTAAAGCAGTGGTCCTCATGCTTGAGCATGGATCAGAATCTCCTGGAGGTCTTGTTAAGGCACAGGTCCCTGGGCCCCACCTCCAGAGCCCCAGAATTTGCATTTCCAACAAGTTTCCAGCCAACACTGATGTTGGAGGTTCCTCACCTCCAACTTTGAGAACCATTAGTCTAGAGTAGAGAAAGGAAAGCAGGAACGCTGAGGTGAAGTTAAGGATCAGGAAGGTTTCTTTTTGTTTACCTACCTTGCCCTGAAATAGAGACACATGTAAGACAAGGGATCATGCTCATTCAGGACTGGGATTCTATGAAGGGGCATGAAGGAAAGACATAGGGTGGTGGAGCTTAAGAAATGTGAATGGGAGTGATTGATCCTAGCTAGGTATAGAGGGACCTGAAGATAGGAGAGAAAACTGGAGAGGTGCTCCTGACAATTGCTAGCCATTTCCACCTAAGTGTCATAACACTGATTTTGGATGTGCTCAGCATTCTTAAAAAGAATGTACCTTGAACCCAGAGAAACATTTTTCATGGGATTAGGGGAACAAATGTATAGTGATATACATTCACTTCATTAATCCTGAGTAGACATATAGGAGTGTGATAAAATTCCTGCAAAATCACCTTTCATGCTGATTTTAATCTCCGATATTGTGAGTTTGGATCCAATCAGAGAGTCACCCCTTGCACATCCCTGTTAACGGGAGAACACAAGCACCTCCTCTGGAGAGACTAATTAGTATTTAAAATAAGGACCCAAACAATGGTTGTCCATAGTAGAAATAAGTAAGCAGTTTTCTTTGTCCATGACATTTTCCCCTATAATTCCCAGGGATTGTGTGGGCATTGCAGGTGTTGGTGTGGAAGTGTTGGGCATGTGGGGAAGGGGTATGAGGCTCAAAGTGTGTTCCTTGTGGTGTCTCCCTCCCACTCCTGTAGTATAGTAAAAGTCAGGTACTGTGATACCCCCAGCTTTGTTCTTTATGCTCAGGATTGTTTTGGCTATTTGGGGTCTTTAGTGATTCCATATAAATTTTACAATTTTTTTTTCTATTTCCATGAAGAATGCTGTTGTTATTTGAGAGGGATTACATTAATTCTACAGATTGCTTTGTGTAGTATGGCCATTTTTACAATGTTAATTTTTCCAATCCATGAACATGGGATGTCTTCCCGTTTATTTGTGTCCTCAATTTTCTTCATCACAGTTTTATAGTTTTTAGTGTAGAGATCCTTCACCCTCTTGATTAAGTTTATTCCTAGTTATCTTTTTTGGTAGCTATTGTAAATGGAATTATTTTCTTGATTTCTTTTTTAGTTTATTATTAGCGTATGAAAATGATACTGATTTTTGTATGCTGATTTCATATTCTGCAACTTTACTAAATAGTTTATTAGCTCTAACTTTTTTTGATGGAGTTTTTAGGGTTGTCTTTATATAGGATTATGACTCCTCCAATGATAATTTGACTTCCCTCTTTCCAAATCGGATGCCTTTTCCCTATTTTTTCTCCTTCCTAACTGTTGTTACTAGTATTTCCAATATTAAGATGAATAGAAGTGGTGAAAGTGAGCATCCTTGATCTCTTCCTGATCTTAAAGGGAAAGGTTTCAGCTTTTCCTCCTTCAGTATGATGTTAGCTATGGGTCTGTAATAGGTGGTCTTTATTGTGTTGAGGTACATACTTTCTGTACTTAATTTGTTCAGTTTTTATCATGAAGTGAGGTTGAATTTTATCAATGCCTTTTTTGTGTCTATTCAAATAATCATATGGTTTTTGTCTTTTATTCTATTAATGTGGTGTATCCCATTTGTTGATTTGTCTATGTTAAATCATCCTTGCATTTCTGGGGTGAATCCCACTTGATTATAGTGAATGATCTTTTTAATGTGCCATTTGATTGCATTTACTAGTATCTTCTTGAAATGTTTGCATCTATATTCATTAAAGGTGTTGATCTGTAGTTTTCTTTTATTGTTGTGTCCTTGTCTGGTTTTGGAATCAGGATAATTCTGGCCATATAAAATGAGTTTTAAAATATTCTCTCCTCTTCAATTTTCTGAAATAGTTGGAGGATAATTAATGTTAGTTCTTCTTTAAATGTTTAGTGGAATTTAGCAGTGAAGCCATTGGGTCCTGGGCTTTTCTTTGATGGAAGATTTTTTATTACTGATTCAATTTTCTCACTTATTACTGGTCTGTGCCTATTTTCTATTTCTTCTTAATTTAATCTTGGTAGTTTTTAATGTGTCCAGTAATTTACCTATTTCTTCTATGTTATCAAATTTGTTGGCATATAATTATTCATAACAGTCTCTTATGATCTTTCATGTTTCTGTGGTATCAGTTATAATGTCTCCTCTTTCATTTCTGATTTTATTCATTTGAATCTTCTCTTGTTTTCTTTGTTTAGCTAAAGGTTTCTCAATTTGGTTTACCTTTTCAAAAAACCAAATCTTTGTTTTGTTAATTTTTTTGAACTGTTTCTTTAATCTCTATTTCATTTATTTCTGCTCAGAGTTTTATTATTTTCTTCCTTCTACCAATTTCAGGTTTAGTTTGTTCTTGTTTTTCTAGTTCTTTGAGGTGCACAGTTAGGTTGTTTATTAGAAATCTTCTTTCTTGATGTAGATGTTTATTGCTAAAAATTTCCCTCTTAGAACTGCTTTTGCTGTGTCTCATAGGTTTTAGTACGATGTGCTTCCATTCTCATTTGTCTTAAGGAATTTTTAAATTTTCCTTTTTAATTTCTTCATTGACTCACCAGTGGTTTAGAAGCATGATGTTTAATATATATGTAAAGATTCTGAAGTTTTTCTTACTGTTGATTTTTAGTTGTATACCATTGTGGTTAGAAAAAATACTTTGTATGATGTCTGTCTTCTTAAATTTGTTAAGACTTGTTTTGTGGCCTAATGTGATATATCCTAGAGAATGTCCCATGTGCAGTTGAGAAGAATGCATACTTTGCAGCTGTTGGATGGAATGTTCTGTAAATATCTTTTAGGCCAATTTGATCTATGATGCAGTTAAAGTCTTTTTTCTTTTTGCTTATTTTTTGTCTAAATAATCTGTTCATTGTCAGAAGTTGAGTGTTGAAGTCCTCTATTATCACTGTATTACAGTTTATCTCTCCATTTAGGTGTAATAATATTTGCTTTATATATTTGGGTGCTCCACTATTGGATGCATATCTACTTACAATTGTTATATCTTCTTGTTGAATTGATCCCTTCATCATTATCATCATCATATAATGACCTTCTTTGTCTCTTTTTATAGGTTGTTTTTGTTGTTGTTGCTGTTGTTCGAGACAGGGTCTGGCTGTGTCACCCATGCTGGAGTGCAGTGATACGAACTTGGCTCACTGCAACCTCTGCCTCCTGGGGTCAAGCCATCCTCCCACCTTAGTTTCCTGAGTAGCTGAGACTACAGATGCTTGCCACCAAGCTCGGCTAATTTTTTTGTATTTTTTGTGGAGACTGGGTTTCACCATGTTGCACAGGCTGATCTCAAACTCCTGAGCTCAAGCAATCTCCCTGCCTGGGCCTCCCAAAGTGCTGGGATTACAGGCATAAGCCACCATGCCTGGCCTCTTTTTACAATTTTTGACTTAATGTCTATTTTATCTGATGTAATATGGCTACTTCTGCTTGCTTCTGGTTTCTATTTGCATGGAATATCTTTTTCCATCTTTTCACTTTCAGTCTATGTTTGTCTTTAATGGTGAGGTGAGTCTCTTGTAGAGAGCACATAGTTGAGTCTTATTTACTTAGCCACCCTCTATCTTTTAATTTGAGAATGTAACCCATTTACATTCAAAGGCTGTTACTGATAGATAAGAACTTACTCCTGACATTTTTGTTAATTGTTTTCTGGTAGTTTGGTAGATTCTTTGTTTCTTTATTCCTCTTTTTTTGTTTACTTCTGTGGTTTGGTGGTTTTCTGTGGTTTCTCTTTCTTATTTTTGTATCTGCTGTGATTTATTTATCTGTGGTTACCATGGGGCTAATGTCAGTCTTGTAAGTATAATAGACAATTTTAAGCTGATAGCAACTTAACTTTGGCTGCATAAAAGTACGCATTTTCCTTCCCACAGTTAATATTTTTGTTGCCCTAATTTACTTCTTTATCTATGATGTGTTCCTCAGCCACTAATTGTAGTTGTTTTTTAACCATTTAACTTTAAATCTTCATACTAGAAGACTGAGAGTTTTACATAGCACCATTATATCATGGAGTATTCTTAGTTTGATTTATTTAATTACTTCTACTGGTAAGTTTTATATTTTAATGTGTTTTTAATGACAGTAATTATCATCCTTGTGTTTCTTGTTGTAGCACTCCTTTAAACATTTCTTGTAAGGCTGGTCTTAGGGGTGATGAATTCTCTTAACTTTTGCTTGTCTGTGAAGGACTTTATTTCTTCTTCATTTCTGAGGGATAACTTTGTGGGACACAATATTCTTGGTTGACAGTTTTTTTTTCCTCTCAGCACTTTGAATATGTCATGCCATTCTCTCCTGGTCTGCAAAGTTTCTGCTGAGAAATATGCTGATAGTCTGATAGGAATTCCCTTAGATGTGACTTGTCACTCTTCTCTTGTGGCTTTTAGAATTTTCACTATCTTTGACTTTTGACAGTTTGATTATAATGTTCCTCAGAGAGAATCTTTTTGGGTTGAATCTAGATGGAGACCTTTGGGTCTCCTGAATCTGGATGTTCATATCTCTTACTATATTTGAGAAGTTTTTAGCTATTATTTCATTAAATTGGTTTTCTGTGACTTTCTTAGTCTCTTCTCATCTGATATGTCTATAATGTGAATATCTGTTCACTGAATGGTGTCCCATAAGTACCATAGGGTTTCTTCATTCCTTTTTATTCTTGTTTTTTTTTTTTTCTCTCTGACTGGGTTACTTTAAAATAACTATCTTCAAGTTCAGAACTTCTTTCTTTTGCTTGATTTAGTCTGTTGATGAAGCACTTAATTGTATTATTTTATTTTATTCATTGAATTTTTTCAGTTCACAATATCTGTTTGGTTCTTTTATTATTATTATTATTATTATTATTATTATTATTATACTTTAAGTTTTAGGGTACATGTGCACAATCTGCAGGTTAGTTACATATGTATACATGTGCCATGCTGGTGTGCTGCACCCATTAACTCGTCATTTAGCATTAGGTATATCTCCTAATGCTATCCCTCCCCCTTCCCCACCCCACCACAGTCCCCAGAGTATGATGTTCCCCTTCCTGTGTCCATGTGTTCTCATTGTTCAATTCCCATCTATGAGTGAGAACATGTGCTGTTTGGTTTTCTGTCCTTGCGATAGTTTACTGAGAATGATGATTTCCAATTTCATCCATGTCCCTACAAAGGACATGAACTCATCATTTTTTATGGCTGCATAGTATTCCATGGTGTATATGTGCCACATTTTCTTAATCCAGTCAATCATTATTGGACATTTGGGTTGGTTCCAAGTCTTTGCTATTGTAAATAGTGCCGCAATAAATATACGTGTGCATGTGTCTTTATAGCAGCATGATTTATAGTCCTTTGGGTATATACCCAGTAACAGGATGGCTGGGTCAAATGGTATTTCTAGTTCTAGATCCCTGAGGAATTGCCACACTGACTTCCACAATGGTTGAACTAGTTTACAGTTCCACCAACAGTGTAAAAGTGTTCCTATTTCTCCACATCCTCTCCAGCACCTGTTGTTTCCTGACTTTTTAATGATCACCATTCTAACTGGTGTAAGATGGTATCTCATTGTGGTTTTGATTTGCATTTCTCTGATGGCCAGTGATGATGAGCATTTTTTCATGTGCCTTTTGGCTGCATAAATGTCTTCTTATGAGAAGTGTCTGTTCATATCCTTTGCCCACATTTGATGGGGTTGTTTGGTTTTTTCTTGTAAATTTGTTTGAGTTCATTGTAGATTCTGGATATTAGCCCTTTGTCAGATGAGTCGGTTGCGAAAATTTTCTCCCATTTTGTAGGCTGCCTGTTCACTCTGATGGTAGTTTCTTTTGCTGTGCAGAAGCTCTTTAGTTTAATTAGATCCCATTTGTCAATGTTGGCTTTTGTTGCCATTGCTTTTGGTGTTTTAGACATGAAGTCCTTGCCCATGCCTATGTCCTGAATGGTATTGCCTAGGTTTTCTTCTAGGGATTTTATGGTTTTAGGTCTAACATGTAAGTCTTTAATCCATCTTGAATTAATCTTTGTATAAGGTGTAAGGAAGGGATCCAGTTTCAGCTTTCTACATATGGCTAGCCAGTTTTCCCAGCACCATTTATTAGATAGGGAATCCTTTCCCCATTGCTTGTTTTTCTCAGGTTTGTCAAAGATCAGATAGTTGTAGATATGTGGCGTTATTTCTGAGGGCTCTGTTCTGTTCCATTGATCTATATCTCTGTTTTGGTACCAGTACCATGCTGTTTTGGTTACTGTAGCCTTGTAATATAGTTTGAAATCAGGTAGCGTGATGCCTCCAGCTTTGTTCTTTTGGCTTAGGATTGACTTGGCGATGGGGGCTCTTTTTTGGTTCCATATGAACTTTAAAGTAGTTTTTTCCAATTCTGTGAAGAAAGTCATTGGTAGCTTGATGGGGATGGCATTGAATCTATAAATTACCTTGGGCAGTATGGCCATTTTCACGATATTGATTCTTCCTAACCATGAGCATGGAAGGTTCTTCCATTTGTTTGTATCCTTTTTTATTTCATTGAGTAGTGGTTTGTAGTTCTCCTTGGGGAGGTCCTTCACGTCCCTTGTAAGTTGGATTCCTAGGTATTTTATTCTCTTTGAAGCAATTGTGAATGGGAGTTCACTCATGATTTGGCTCTCTGTTTGTCTGTTATTGGTGTATAAGAATGCTTGTGATTTTTGTACATTGATTTTACATCCTGAGACTTTGCTGAAGTTGCTTATCAGCTTAAGGAGATTTTGGGCTGAGACAATGGGGTTTTCTAGATATACAATCATGTCATCTGCAAACAGGGACAATTTGACTTCCTCTTTTCCTAATTGAATACCCTTTATTTCCTTCTCCTGCCTAATTGCCCTGGCCAGAACTTCCAACACTATGTTGAATAGGAGTGGTGAGAGAGGGCATCCCTGTCTTGTGCCAGTTTTCAAAAGGAATGCTTCCAGTTTTTGCCCATTCAGTATGATATTGGCTGTGGGTTTGTCATAGATAGCTCTTATTATTTTGAGATACGTCCCATCAATACCTAATTTATTGAGAGTTTTTAGCATGAAGGGTTGTTGAATTTTGTCAAATGCCTTTTCTACATCTATTGAGATAATCATGTGGTTTTTGTCTTTGGTTCTGTTTATATGCTGGATTACATTTATCAATTTGCGTATATTGAACCAGCCTTGCATCCCAGGGATGAAGCCCACTTGATCATGGTGGATAAGCTTTTGGACGTGCTGCTGGATTCGGTTTGCCAGTATTTTATTGAGGATTTTTGCATCAATGTTCATTAAGGATATTGGTCTAAAATTCTCTTTTTTGATTGTGTCTCTGCCCGGCTTTGATATCAGGATGATGCTGGCCTCATAAAATGAGTAAGGGAGGATTCCCTCTTTTTCTATTGATTGGAATAGTCTCAGAAGGAATGGTACCAGTTCCTCCTTGTACCTCTGGTAGAATTCGGCTGTGAATCCATCTGGTCCTGGACTTTTTTTTGTTGGTAAGCTATTGATTATTGCCACAATTTCAGAGCCTGTTATTGGTCTATTCAGAGATTCAACTTCTTCCTGGTTTAGTCTTGGGAGAGTGTATGTGTTGAGGAATTTATCCATTTCTTCTAGATTTTCTAGTTTATTTGCGTAGAGGTGTTTGTAGTATTCTCTGATGGTAGTTTGTATTTCTGTGGGATTGGTGGTGATATCCCCTTTATCATTTTATATTGCATCTATTTGATTCTTCTCTCTTTTCTTCTTTATTAGTCTTGCTAGTGGTCTATCAATTTTGTTGATCCTTTCAAAAAACCAGCTCCTGGATTCATTAATTTTTTGAAGGGTTTTTTGTGTCTCTATTTCCTTCAGTTCTGCTCTGATTTTAGTTATTTCTTGCCTTCTGCTAGCTTTTGAATGTGTTTGCTCTTGCATTTCTAGTTGTTTTAATTGTGATGTTAGGGTGTCAATTTTGGATCTTTCCTGCTTTCTCTTGTGGGCATTTAGTGCTATAAATTTCCCTCTACACACTGCTCTGAATGCGTCCCAGAGATTCTGGTATGTTGTGTCTTTGTTCTCGTTGGTTTCAAAGAACATCTTTATTTCTGCCTTCATTTTGTTATGTACCCAGTAGTCATTCAGGAGCAGGTTGTTCAGTTTCCATGTAGTTGAGCGGTTTTGAGTGATTTTCTTAATCCTGAGTTCTAGTTTGATTGCGCTGTGGTCTGAGAGACAGTTTGTTATAATTTCTGTTCTTTTACATTTGCTGAGAACTTTACTTGCAACTATGTGGTCAATTTTGGAATAGGTGTGGTGTGGTGCTGAAAAAAATGTATATTCTGTTGATTTGGGGTGGAGAGTTCTGTAGATGTCTATTAGATCAGCTTGGTGTAGAGCTGAGTTCAATTCCTGGGTATCCTTGTTAACTTTCTGTCTCATTGATCTATCTAATGTTGATAGTGGGGTGTTAAAGTCTCCCATTATTATTGTGTGGGAGTCTAAGTTTCTTTGTAGGTCACTCAGGACTTGCTTTATGAATCTGGGTGCTCCTGTATTGGGTGCATATATATTTAGGATAGTTAGCTCTTCTTGTTGAATTGATCCCTTTACCATTATGTAATGGCCTTCTTTGTCTCTTTTGATCTTTGTTGGTTTAAAGTCTGTTTTATCAGAGACTAAGATTGCAACCCCTGCCTTTTTTTGTTTTCCATTTGCTTGGTAGATCTTCCTCCATCCTTTTATTTTGAGCCTATGTGTGTCTCTGCACGTGAGATGGGTTTTCTGAATACAGCACACTGATGGGTCTTGACTCTTTATCCAATTTGCCAGTCTGTGTCTTTTAATTGGAGCATTTAGTCCATTTACATTTAAAGTTAATATTGTTATGTGTGAATTTGATCCTGTCATTATGATGTTAGCTGGTTATTTTGCTCGTTAGTTGATGCAGTTTCTTCCTAGTCTCGATGGTCTTTACATTTTGGCATGATTTTGCAGCAGCTGGTACCGGTTGTTCCTTTCCATGTTTAGTGCTTCCTTCAGGAACTCTTTTAGGGCAGGCCTGTGGTGACAAAATCTCTCAGCATTTGCTTGTCTGTAAAGTATTTTATTTCTCCTTCACTTATGATGCTTAGTTTGGCTGGACATGAAATTCTGGATTGAAAATTCTTTTCTTTAAGAATGTTGAATATTGGCCCCCACTCTCTTCTGGCTGGCAGGGTTTCTGCTGAGAGATCAGCTGTTTGTCTGACGGGCTTCCCTTTGTGGGTAACCCAACCTTTCTCCCTGGCTATCCTTAACATTTTTCCTTCATTTCAACTTTGGTGAATCTGACAATTATGTGTCTTGGAGTTGTTCTTCTCGAGGAGTATCTTTGTGGCGTTCTCTGTATTTCCTGAATCTGAATGTTGGCCTGCCTTGCTAGATTGGGGAAGTTCTCCTGGATAATATCCTGCAGAGTGTTTTCCAACTTGGTTCCATTCTCCCCGTCACTTTCAGGTACACCAATCAGATGCAGATTTGGTCTGTTCACATAGTCCCATATTTCTTGGAGGCTTTGTTCGTTTCTTTTTATTCTTTTTTCTCTACACTTCCCTTCTCTCTTCATTTCATTCATTTCATCTTCCATCACTGATACCCTTTCTTCCAGTTCATTGCATCAGCTCCTGAGGCTTCTGCATTCTTCACGTAGTTCTTGAGCCTTGGCTTTCAGCTCCATCAGCTCCTTTAAGCACTTCTCTGTATTGGTTATTCTAGTTATACATTCGTCTAAATTTTTTTCAAAGTTTATAACTTCTTTGCCTTTGGTTTGAATTTCCTCCTGTAGCTTGGAGTAGTTTGATTGTCTGAAGCCTTCTTCTCTCAACTTGTCAAAGTCCTTTTCCATCCAGCTTTGTTCCGTTGCTGGTGAGGAACTGCATTCCTTTGGAGGAGGAGAGGCACTCTGCTTTTTAGAGTTTCCAGTTTTTCTGTTCTGTTTTTTCCCCATCTTTGTGGTTTTATCTACTTTTGGTCTTTGATGATGGTGATGTACAGATGGGTTTTTGGTGTGGATGGCCTTTCTGTTTGTTAGCTTTCCTTTTACCAGACAGGACCCTCAGCTGCAGGACTGTTTGAGTTTGCTAGAGGTCCACTCCAGACCCTGTTCGCCTGGGTATCAGCAGCGGTGGCTGCAGAACAGCGGATTTTTGTGAACCGCGAATGCTGCTGTCTGATCGTTCCTCTGGAAGTTTTGTCTCAGAGGAGTACCCGGCCGTGTAAGGTGTCAGTCTGCCCCTACTGGGGGGTGCCTCCCAGTTAGGCTGCTTGGGGGTCAGGGGTCAGAGGGGTCACTTGAGGAGGCAGTCTGTCCATTCTCAGATCTCCAGCTGCGTGCTGGGAGAACCACTGCTCTCTTCAAAGCTGTCAGACAGGGACATTGAAGTCTGCAGAGGTTACTGCTGTCTTTTTGTTTGTCTGTGCCCTGCCCCCAGAGATGGAGCCTACAAAGGCAGGCAGGCCTCCTTGAGCTGTGGTGGGCTCCACCCAGTTTGAGCTTCCCAGCTGCTTTGTTTACCTAAGCAAGCCTGGGCAATGGCGGGCGCCCCTCCCCCAGCCTCGCTGCTGCCTTGCGGTTTGATCTCAGACTGCTGTGCTAGCAATCAGTGAGACTCCGTGGGCGTAGGACCCTCTGAGCCAGGTGTGGGATATAATCTCCTGGTGCGCTGTTTTTTAAGCCCGTCGGAAAAGCGCAGTATTCGGGTGGAAGTGACCCGATTTTCCAGGTGCTGTCTGTCACCCCTTTCCTTGACCAGGAAAGAGAACTCCCTGACCCCTTGCACTTCCCGAGTGAGGCAATGCCTCGCCCTGTTTCGGCTCGTGCACAGTGCGCTGCACCCAGTGTCCTGCACCCACTGTCTGGCACTCCCTAGTGAGATGAACCTGGTACCTCAGATGGAAATGCAGAAATCACCCGTCTTCTGCATCGCTCACGCTGGGAGCTGTAGACTGGAGCTGTTCCTATTCGGCCATCTTGGCTCCTCCCCCCCGTTTGGTTCTTTTATATGATATCTCTTTGTTGATTTTTTTCATTCAGATCATGGATTGTTTTCCTGATTTCATTGAATTGTTTGTCTGTGTTCTCTTGTATCCCACTGATCTTCCTTAAGATCAATATTTTTAAATTTCTTTTCAGGTATTTTGTAAATTCCTCTTTCTTTGTGGCCTCTTACTGGACATTTATTGTGGTGTCATATTCTCTTGCTTTTTCATGTTTCTTATGTCCCTACATTGATATCAGCACATCTAGCGAAATGAGCTTCTATCTCAAGTTCCTCATCTACCCAGTGAGCTACCAGATTGACTCTTCCAGCTCATTTAGTTGCCAGAGCTGAAGAACCCAGCAGAAGGCAGATCTTCTCTCCAGCCTAGAACTCAGTCCTAGAGGGGACAGGAAGGGCCCCTGGCTCATGAGCTTCCTACCCAGGAGTTTCTGGGGACAGGACCTCACTCCTTCTGGAAATGGCATTTTCACATCAAGTCCTATGTTCTCTCCTTGAAGTTTTCCCTCAGGAAGCCATAGGCATGCCTATCCTTTATGCTGGGCTTCTGGAAGACTCTCCCCTGGAGTTTCACCTGCTACAAATCTTCAGACTCTGTTATCCAAAGCCCAGAGACTGCTGGCTATGGTGGGCTTGTGGTTCTACCACCAATTTTCTATACCAGGAGAGTCAACCTTGCAGTCCTAAGTGGCACAGACCTGAGGCAGGAGCCTGTAGACCCTGGTCCAACAGGGGTCTTTCAATGGCACTGGGGAAGAGCTGTCAAGAACCCCACCTCTGCTTTGTCCCAATTCTAAGAACCTGGAAAGAAAGCCAGAGCAAATAATTAATGTTTAACATTTCAATATATTTGGGATACTAATGGATCCCTTTGAAGATTAATAAAAGCCAGGAACTCTCATTCTAGTAACACACACACAAGCATGCATACACACACATGTTTACATACAATTTTTGTGCATTCATAGCTTCAGTTCAGTGATTCTTCTGTGACCTCACACTGCCTTTCCCTGAGTGGTAGAAGTGTAGGGATGGAGATTTGTTGATCTGATTTTAAGTAGATGCTACCCTAGGGGGTTGGTAAGTCTTATTAAATTGTACATGTATACACTTTACATATATGTACTTAAAAGGCCTATCTGTGAGGAATATTTAAAACAACTAAAAGGGTAAAATCATTCCATTGTAGAAACCAACAGTTGACACCAATTATTTGCAAATCTGTATAGGTCAGAGATTTACTTTGGACAGCTGAGAAAACTGGTGAACTTTGATCTTCTTTTTCCATGGACCCTGAGGACATTAAACAAGGGAGTTTGCTCTGGAGGCAGTAGAAGGATCAGTGATCAGTTTACTTTGGCCCTAGGAGCACTGGACTCTGTTCAGCTTAACCAGCTGAACAGAGCTGATTCAGCTCATGGGCCTATCTGAAGGTCTTGGGACTTGACCTGTCTTGGTGAAGGAGCAATGGGAAGTACAATCCTTAAATAATGTTGGAAGAAATTGTGAATAACACTTTTCAAGAAAGTGTGTTACAGGACAGTGGGGACAGCTCAGGCTATTGAGTTCATAGTCCTAGATTCTAGCTTTCCATCTTGCTGGACAGCCTACCAGTTATGTCCTCCAGCTGAGCTCAGCTTTTGTCTCTGTAAAACCACTTCTCTATACTAAATGGTCTCTCAGGGTGTATTTTGCCAAAGGTCCCAGCAGCAATGGAGGGAGACATAAAGCAGTCACACAGAATAACTTCATTAGTTCACTGAGTGTGTATTTGGTATGTAGTCTATGTTGGGTGTTCTGTAATAATGATAGTTGTCATCACCATCTATTGGTGTCATTACCATCTATTGGTCAGACAGAGCAAGCAATCTAATAGCAATGTGAGCAATCTTCAGAATGACAAGGTAGACATTTGTACTCCTATTACTAATGAGAAAACAGAGCCTCAGAGTAGTTAAGTAACTTGTCCGGTATGATGCAGCTACTCAGTGGTCTAACATCCAAACCCAAGAGTCTTTGACTCCAATCCCATGCCCATTTTATTACTGTACGGATTGCATGTGACAATACTCAGTGAATGAATGGACAGGTGACTGTTAATAGAAGGTGGGCATAGGGAACTAGTATACAGAGAAAAAGTCCTGCTAGGATCTGTCTGCTCTGTTCTCTGTGATGGACTTCCTAGGACTTAGTGGTCAGCATCCTTGCAGGGTCCTTGATGTAGTGGGACCTGAGGGGCTGGGCTCAGGAGCTGTGCACATGGGACTTAGAAGGGGAAGATATTGGTCAGGATATAAATAAAAATTAGAGGAAAAATGCTAAGGTGCTGGATACTGTACTAGGTGATTTACAGTAATTACTAATTTAGATCTCACAATAACTCTATGAAGCAGGCATTATTGAGAGGTGAAGCTGGCTGGGCTTCTGGGTCGGGTGGGGACTTGGAGAACTTTTCTGTCTAGCTAAAGGATCATAAATGCACCAATCAGTGCTCTGTGTCTAGCTAAAGGTTTGTAAATGCACCAATCAGCATGCTGTCAAAACGGACCAATCAGCACTCTGTAAAACGGACCAATCAGCACTCTATAAAATGGACCAATCAGCTCTCTGTAAAATGGACCAATCAGCAGGATGTGGGTGGGGCCAAATAAGGGAATAAAAGTAGGCCACCAGAGCCAACAGCGGCAACCCACTCCGGTTCCTTTTCACAGTGTGGAAGTTTTATTCTTTTGCTGTTTGCAAGAAATCTTGCTGCTGCGCACTGTTTGGGTCCACACTACCTTTATGAGCTGTAACAGTCATCATGAAGGTCTGCAGCTTCATTTCTGAAGTCAGCAAGACCACCAGCACACCAGAAGGAAAAAACTCCAGACACGTCTGAACATCAGAAGGAAGAAACTCTTGACACACCGTCTTTAAGAACTGTAACACTCGCTGCAAGGGCCTGCAGCTTTGTTCTTGAACTCAGCGAGACCAATGAACCCACCAATTCCGGACACATTATGATCCTCATTTTCTAGATGGGGAATTGGGGCACTGAGAGCTTGGGTGACTTGCCTAATTCACTGTCCAACCTGAAAGTCTTGGTGTATAGAAGTGAACGACCAAGCCACTGTAGCTTTAGTGGTGTCTTCAGTCAGGGAGAACCAGGGCCAGGATCTTCTCTTGTCCTAATTCGTGCAGTTATGATCTTGTCCTGTGTTTACTGAATGCCACTTCTACCAACGCTATGTTCCTGCCTTGCAGTGTGAAGATTATTTCCAAATTCAGATCTAGGAATAAACCCCACTTCTGGGGGCCCATTCATCTATCAGAATTTATTCTTTTGTTTAAAATCCAAATTATTTGACACCTGTTGTCCCAGCCCACTTTATGCCATGCTGTCAAAATTTCACAGCCTTCCTTTCCACTCCCGAGCATCTACTATCTCACCTGGGAGAGGGGCCTGTGGAGGAAGGGGCTGAAGCAGCTGCTGTGACACAGGCTGCCTATTTCACAGTTTGGGGCACAAAACTCGTGTGTCCCCATCCCTGACTACTAACCTCCTTCCCATCTTTGCCAAGCCTGCCGAGGTGTCCTGTAAATAGTGTGTCAGGGAAGGCTAGCATTCCTGCACACCTGCCTTTGATCAGGGACCTTTGTTCCTTTACACATGAGAGTTCCCAGAGTGCGCTGGGCTCCAGGGTCAGTGGCCCTTCTAGCTGTCAGCCTGGGGGGTCAAGTGGAACTGGGTGAGATTGAAAATATGGTGATGAGAAAAGGGGTTTCTTAGCCAGGTACATCTCTGTCTTAAAATGAGAACAGACAGCTCCTGGTCTGTCCCAGTTGTAGAAGAAGGACTGAGTTAAGGAGAAGGAGCCCTTGGCTTTGTAACATTGAACAATGCTGAATATCTCTGCTCCGTTATTCCTCCATTCTGCACACAATCCTATCTGCCCTTCACAGTCCTGTAGAGGAGATGATTAAAAGGCTGGCTGCTCCCTTTCTTCTTTCATTTCCCTGCCTTTCTCTTGTTTCCATTTTCTTTCCTTCCTTAAAAAACAAAAAAAAAAAAAACATGTATTTATTCTATTCTCGTTCCTTTGCTTGAGGTGGCTATGGGCAGTGGCTCCTGAGACACTGGGGTGAAGCAGGCAGTGGGAGGATCAGGAGGTTGTTTATGTACAAGAGAAATGAGCAAAGAGCTGAAAATAGTGAGCACACTGGGACTGCGGTTTCTCATGGCCAGAGAAGGGAGCTGCACATATGGGGAGGAAGACAGCTAGAATATCTGCAGTGCTGTTCAGTTGGAATTGAGGGATCAGTGTGAACTCATGGTTGTGTAAGGGTGTGGGACAGGTATAGACGTGTGTGTGTTTCTGTGTCCCCTAGCTCTGTCTGGAGAGCCTAGTATCAATGATTCTGCAACAAGAATTACCACACCTGGCACCCAGAATTTGCTTTCTAAATACCGTTCTCCACTAAAAGGTTACGTCCGTCACCTTAGAGAAGGAGATTCTAGAAATAGAGATCCCAGAGCTGGTACAGGGAAGGTACAAAGTAGGCTTGAATGTCTTGTTCTATCAGAAAGTGAAGTGCTTAAAAAATGTTGAGGCTTGTCACAGGTCTGCAGGAGCCAGCTGGAAATGCCTCCAATTGGCCACATGTGCAACAGTTTGAGCACTGAACTAGATAATGTCAGTAACTGGCTATAACCCACCAAACAAAACAGGAACTCACGAGTCCATGCAGATATAAACAAGTCATAGAAAAAACTAAACAGATGAAGAAAGGGAAGTTCTTCCTTACCTCAGAATGCTAATTAATAAGCATAGAAGAAGTGATATCTGAAAATCCTCATTTTGCAATCAATGTAGTACTAATTCATTCTGTGAATCATTAAGAACACAGCATTGTGTCTGTGATATTGCTGCCAAAAATGCACAACCTGAGTCAAATCATGTGGTGATGCCACAAAAACCCAAATGGAGAGTTTCTTAAAAAAAAAAAAAAACCTGTTAAATACAAAATCACACCATGAGAACACAGACCAGCCAAATCCAGAATGTTGGAAATTCCCAAGGACAAGTGATCCAGTTTATTTGACAAGTATGCAACATAAAATGCTGCTAATTGTTTAGAGTGAAAGAGATTTAAGAGTTAAATGTAACATGTGGATCTTCTTTGGGATCCAGTTTGAACAACCTAACACTTTTTTAGACAACAAGGGTAATTGCTATATTGACTGAGTATTAGATGATAATAAGAAAAAATTGTGCTGTTGTCCCAGCACTTTGGGATGCTGAGGCGGGTGGATCACGAGGTCAGGAGTTCAAGACCAGCTTGGTCAAGATGGTGAAACCCCGTCTCTACTAAAAATACAAAAATTAGCCAGGCGTGGTGGCAGGTGCCTGTAATCCCAGTGACTCGGGAGGCTGACACAGAGAATTGCTTGAACCTGGCAGGCAGAGGTTGCAGTGAGCCAAGATCACACCACTGCACTCTAGCCTGAGCAACTGAGCAAGACTCCATCCCAAAAAAAAAAAAAAAAGAAATAATTGTGGAAAATTCCAAAAGCCAGAACACCTCTTCTCCTCCAAAGGATTGCAACTCCTTGCCAGCCAGGAACAAAACTGGACAGAGAATGAGTTTGACGAATTGACAGAAATAGGCTTCAGAAGGTGGGTAATAACAAACCCCTCCGAGCTAAAGGAGCATGTTCTAACCCAATGCAAGGAAGCTAAAAACCTTGAAAAAAGGTTAGAGGAATTGCTAACTACAATAATCAGTTTGAAGAAGGACATAAATAAGCTGATGGAGCTGAAAAACAGCACGAGAACTTTGTGAAGCATACACAAATACCAATTGTGCCGAATTGATCAGGCAGAAGAAAGGATATCAGAGATTGAAGATCAACTTAATGAAATAAAGCATGAAGACAAGATTAGAGAAAAAAGAATGAAAAAGAACAAATAAAGCCTCCAAGAAATATGGGACTATGTGAAAAGACCAAACCTACATTTGATTTGTGTACCTGAAAGTGACAGGGAGAATGGAACCAAGCTGGAAAAGACTCTTCAGGATATTATCCAGGAGAACTTCCCCAACCTAGCAAGACAGGCCAACATTCCAATTCAGGAAATACAGAGAACATCACAAAGATACTCCTCAAAAAGACCAACCACAAGCCACATAATCGTCAGATTCACCAAGATTGAAATGAAGAAAAAATGTTAAGGGCAGCCAGAGAGAAAGGTTGGGTTACCCACAAAGGGAAGCCCATCAGACTAACAGCAGATCTCTCAGCAGAAACCCTGCAAGCCAGAAGAGAGGGGAGCCAATATTCAACATTCTTAAAGAAAGGAATTTTCAACCCAGAATTTCATATCCAGCCAAACTAAGCTTCCTAAGTGAAGGAGAAATAAAATCCTTTACAGACAAGCAACTGCTGAGAGATTTTGTCACCACCAGGCCTGCCTTACAAGAGCTTATAGAGGAAGCACTAAATATGGAAAGGAAAAACCGGTACCAGCCACTGCAAAAACATAACAAATTGTAAAGACCATCAACACTATGAAGAAACTGCATCAACTAACAGGCAAAATAACCAGCTAGCATCATAATGACAGGATCAAATTCACACATAACAATATTAACCTTAATGTAAACGGGCTAAGTGCCCCCCAGTTAAAAGACACAGACTGGCAAATTGGATAGAGTCAAGACCCATCAGTGTGCTGTATTCAGGAGACCCATCTCACGTGCAAAGACACACATAGGCTCAAAATAAAGAGATAGAAGAAGATTTACCAAGCAAATGGAAAGCCAAAAAAAAAAAAAAAAAAAAGCAGGGGTTACAATCTTAGTCTCTGATAAAACAGACTTTAAACCAACAAAGATTAAAAAAAAGACAAAGAAGAGTATTACATAATGGTAAAAAGATCAATGCAACAAGAAGAGCTAATTATCCTAAATATATATGCACCCAATACAGGAGCACCCAGATTCATAAAGCAAGTTCTTAGGGACGGACAAAGAGACTTAGACTCCCACACAATAATAGTGGGAGACTTTAACACCCCACTGTCAATATAAGGCAGATTAATGAGACAAAAAATTAACAAGGATATTCAGGACTTGAACTCAGCTCTGGACCAAGCGGACCTAATAGACATCTACAGAACTCTCCACCCCAAATCAATAGAATATACATCCTTCTCAGCACCACATCGCACTTATTCTAAAATTGAACACATAATCGAAAGTAAAACACTCCTCAGCAAATGCAAAAGAAGAGAAATCATAACAGTCTCTCAGACCACAGTGCAATCAAATTGGAACTCAGGATTAAGAAACTCACTCAAAACTGCACAACTACATGGAAACTGAGCAACCTGTTCCTGAATGACTACTGGGTAAATAACGAAATTAAGGCAGAAATAAATAAGTTCTTTGAAACCAATGAGAACAAAGACACAATGTACCAGAATCTCTGGGACACAGCTAAAGCAGGGTTTAGAGGGAAATTTATACCACTAAATGCCCACAGGAGAAAGCAGGAAAGATCTAAAATTGACACTCTAACATCACAATTAAAAGAACTAGAGAAGCAACAGCAAACACATTCAAAAGCTAGAAGAAGACAAGAAATAACTAAGATCAGAGCAGAGCTGTGGGAGGTAGAGACACACAAAAAAAAACCCTTAAAAAAATCAATGAATCCAGGAGCTGGTTTTTTGAAAAGATTAACAAAATGGACCGCTAGCCAGACTAATAAGAAAAGAGAGAAGAGTCAAATAGACACAATAAAAAATGATAAAGGGGATATCACCACTGATCCCACAGAAATACAAACAACCATCAGAGAATACTATAAACACCTCTATGAAAATAAACTAGAAAATTTAGAAGAAATGGATAAATTCCTGGACACATACACCCTCCCAAGACTAAACCAGGCAGAAGTCAAATCCTTGCATAGACCAATAACAAGTTCTGAAATAGAAGCAGTAATTAATAGCCTACCAAGAAAAAATAGCCCAGGACCAGAAAGATTCACAACTGAATTCTACCAGAGGTACAAAGAAGAGCTGGTACCATTCCTTCTGAAACTATTCCAAACCATAGAAAAAGAGGGACTCCCCCCAACTCATTTTATGAGGCCAGCATCATCCTGATACCAAAACCTGGCAGAGACACAACAAAAAAAGAAAATTTCAGGTCAATATCCCTGATGAACATCAATGAGAAAATCTTCAATAAAATACTGGCAAACTGAATCCAGCAGCACATCAAAAAGTTTATCCACCACGATCAAGTTGGCTTCATCCCTGGGATGCAAGACTGGTTCAACATACTCAAATCAATAAACATCATCCATCACATAAACAGAACCAATGACAAAAACCACATGATTATCTCAATAGATGCAGGAAAGGCCTTCAACAAAATTCAACACCCTTTCATGCTAAAAACTCGCAATAAACTAGGTATTGATGGAACATATCTCAAAATAATAAAAGCTATTTATGACAAACCTACAGCCAATATCATACTGAATAGGCAAAAGCTGGAAGCATTCCCTTTGAAAACCGGCACAAGACAAGGATGCCCTCTCTTCCCACTCCTATTCAACATAGTATTGAAAGTTCTCGTCAGGGCAATCAGGCAAGAGAAAGAAATAAAGGGTATTCAAATAGGAAGAGAGGAAGTCAAATTCTCTCTGTTTGCAGATGACGTGATTGTATATTCCGAAAACCCCATCGTCTCAGTCCAAAATCTCCTTAAGCTGATAAGCAACTTCAGCAAAGTCTCAGGATACAAAATCAATGTGCAAAAATCACAAGCATTCCTATACACCAATAACAGACAAACAGAGCACCAAATCATGAGTGGACTCCCATTCACAATTGCTACAAAGAGAATAAAATACCTAGGAATACAACTTACAAGGGATGTGAAGGACCTCTTCAAGGAGAACTACAAACCACTGCTCAACTAAATAACAGAGGACACAAACAAATGGAAAAACATTCCATGCTCATGGATAGGAAGAATCAATATTGTTAAAATGGCCATACTGCCCAAAGTAATTTACAGATTCAATGCTATCCCCATCAAGTTACCATTAACTTTCTTCACAGAATTGGAAAAAACTACTTTAAATTTCATATGGAACCAAAAAAGAGCCCGCATAGCCAAGACAATCCTAAGCCAAAAGAACAAAGCTGGAGGCATCACACTACCTGACTTCAAACTATACTACAAGGCTACAGTAACCAAAACAGCAGGGCACTGGTACCAAAACAGATATATAGACCAATGGAACAGAACAGAGGCCTCAAAAAATAACGCCACACATCTACAACCATCTGATCTTTGACAAACCTGACAAAAACAAGCAATGGGGAAAGGATTCCGCATTTAATAAATGGTGCTAGGAAAACAGGCTAGCCATATGTAGAAAACTGAAACTGGACCCCTTCCTTACACCATATACAAAAATTAACTCAAGATGGATTAAAGACTTAAACATAAGACCTAAAACCATAAAAACTCTAGAAGAAAACCTAGGCAATACCATTCAGGACATAGGCATGGGCAAAGACTTCATGTCTAAAACACCAAAAGCAATGGCGACAAAAGCCAAAATTGACAAATGGGATCTAATTAAAATAAAGAGCTTCTGCACAGCAAAAGAAGCTATCATCAGAGTGAACAGGCAACCTACAGAATGGGAGAAAATTTTTACAGTCTATCCCTCCGACAAAGGGCTAATATCCAGAATCTACAGGGAACATAAACAAATTTACAAGAAAAAAAAAACCCTATCAAAAAGTGGGCAAAGGATATGAACAACCATCAAAAAGTGGGCAAAGGATATGTCACAAAAGAAGACATTTAGGCAGCCAACAAACATAAGGGAAAAAGCTCATCATCACTGGTCATTAGAGAAATGCAAATCAAAACCACAATGAGATACCATCTCATGCCAGTTAGAATGGCAATCATTAAAAAGTCAGGAAACAACAGATGCTGGAGAGGATGTGGAGAAATAGGAATGCTTTTACACTGTTGGTGGGAGTGTAAATTAGTTCAACCTTTGTGGAAGACAGTGTGGCAATTCCTCAAGGATCTAGAACCAGAAATACCATTTGACCCAGCAATCCCATTACTGGGTATATACCCAAAGGATTATAAATCATTCTACTATAAAGATACAAGCACATGTATGTTTATTGTGGCACTATTCACAATAGCAAAGACTTGGAACCAACCCAAATGCCCATCAATGATAGACTGGATAAATAACATGTGGCACATATACACGATGGAATACTATGCAGCCATAAAAAAGGATGAGTTCATGTCCTTTGCAGGGGTGTGGATGAAGGTGAAAACCATCATTCTCAGCAAAGTAACACAGGAACAGAAAACCAAATACCACATGTTCTCACTCATAAGTGGGAGTTGAACAATGAGAATACATGGACACAGGGAGGGGAACATCACACACTGGGGCCTCTCAGGGGGTTGGGGGCTAAGGGAGGGATAGCATTAGGAGAAATACCTAATGTGGCATGATCTCAGCTCACTGCAACCTCTGCCTCCTGGGTTTAAGTGATTCTCGATTCTCATGCCTCAGCCTCCCGAGTAGGTAGGACTACAGGTACATGCTACCATGCCCGGCTAATTTTTGTATTTTTAGTATACACGGGGTTTCACCATTTTGGCCAAGCTGGTCTCGAACTCCTGACCTTAAGTGATCCTCCCGCCTTGGCTTCCCAAAATGCTGGTATTACAGGCATGAGCCACCGTGCCCAGCCTCTTTTGCATTTTCTTTTACAAACTTTAGAATTATGTTGTTAATTTACATGAAAAAACATTTGGAATTTGATTGGGAGTACATTGAATTTCTACATCAATTTAAGGAGAATTGTAATTTTTACAATATCAAGTCTTCCACTCCCTGTTCAAGATATAGTTTTCCATTTACTTTGAGTTTCTTAATTTAAAGTCTGGTACATAAAAGTTTTAGATGTCTTTTGATAGATTTAATCCTAGGCATTTGTTTTTCTTATGTTACCTTAGGTAGCATTTTTCATGTTTTTTTTTTTTTTTTTAATTTGAGTATAGAAATACAATTGACTTTGGTGTGTTTACCTACCTTGATCCAGCTCTATTTTTTTTTTTTTTTTTTTTTTTGAGACAGGGTCTCACTCTGTCACCCAGGCTGGAGTGTAGTGGCACAATCTCAGGTCACTGCAACCTCTGCCTCCCAGATTCAAGCAATTCCCCCACCTCAGCCTCCTGAGTAGCTGAGACTACAGGTGTGCACCACCACACCTAGCTAATTTCTGTATTTTTAGTAGAGAAGGGGTTTTGCTATGTTGGCCATGCTGGTCTCAAACTCCTGACCTCAGGTGATGCTGCCTGCTTCAGCCTCCCAAAGTTCTGTGATTATAGACATGAGCCACCATGCCCAGCTTTAACTCATTTATTCTAAGGTATACTCTAGTTTCTTCAGAATTTTATATACATACAATTTATTATGCATAAAGATGAGAATTTATTTTTTTCCTTTTCAATCCTTTTACTTACTATTTCTTTTTCTTGCCTGACTAAACTAGCAAGGGCCTCCCGTAAAAAGGATGACCAGAAATGATAATAGTAAACATTCTGGTCTTATTACTGATCTCAACAGAAAAGCTTTATTCAGCATGCCACATTAAGTATGATTTCTGTAGATTTTTATGGTACACTAATACTTGATATCAGACTGAGAAAGGTTTGTCGAATAAATTTGCTAAGAGGTTTTGTTATGAATGGATATTGAATTTTATGAAATGATGTTCCCATACTGAGTGATAGGGTCATACCGTTTTCCTTTATTATTCCACTAATATGATATATTACAGTGATTGATACTTGAAAAGATAGCTTACATTCCTGGAATAAACCCAATTTGGTAATTATTTATTAATCTTTTTTACATTTTGCTAGATTCTATTTGCTAATCTTTTGTGTAGAAATTTTGCATCTGAGTTCATAGAAGTTATTTTTTTATCTTTGTCATGATGTCTTTGTTAGTTTTTCCTTTCTAAGTATACATACTGTCCTCAAAACATTAGTTAAGGAGTGTTCCTACTTTTCTGTTCCTGGAGGAATATATTGGTTTAATCCTTTTTCTTTATTTAGAGACAGGGTCTCACTTTGTTGCCCAGGCTGGAATGCAGTGTTGTGATCTTGGTTCACTGCAGCCTTGAACTCCTGGGCTCAAGCAATCCTCTTACCTTAGCCTCTTGGGTAGCTGGCACTACAGGTGCATGCCACTGTGTCCAGCTGATTTAAATTTTTTGTAGAGACGAGTTCTCACTATATTGCCCAGGCTGGTCTTGAACTCGTGAGCTCAAGCAATCCTCCTGCCTCAGGCTTCCAAAGCCCTAGGATTACAGGCATGAGCCACCACCCCCACGCTGTAATTCTTAAATGTTTGATGGAATTCATTCCACCTGGCCCTGGACTATTCTTCATGAGACAGGTATTTTTGCAGACTCCCCTGTGAAAAGAATGGAAACCTTGAGAATCTTCATTGTCCAAGGACTTCTGAGAGGTAGAACAGAGATAGAGAAAGGGAAAGAGAAGGAGAGAGAGAGAGAGAAAGAGAGAGAGAGTGAGAGCGAGTGAGCAGTGGTGTCATGTGGCATTTCAAAATGCCTGGCATTTTCCTAAAAGTACCCTGCCCAGTCCCCAACCCCCTAGCCATACAGCCCGACCCAGCGGGCTTGCAGGGTGACTGATTTCGTGAATGTCGGTTCTCAGGCTGCCAGGCTGCTGCTTCTCAAGGATGACCCAGACTTAGAGAAGTCTCTGGTGTCAGGCAGAGGACACTGGGTGGGGGACAGGAGGAACTGCTCAAAACAGACAGAGGCTCTTTGTTTGCTTTGCTTCTGTGTCAACTGGGCAACATTTGGAAACAACAAATATTGGTTCAGAGGCCCACTGCTTTCTTACCCACCTCCTGCTGGTCAGCTTTTCCAGCTTTCCTGCACGTACACACAAGCGCAGCTATTTCTTTAAGGGCCAACTCGTGGTTGAAATTTGAGAGTTTTGCCCTGTTTGCGGTGAAAGATTTGGCTCATGCTTGGGTTGGTCTAGAACTGGAAGCTTCCTTTATGTCCTCTATCAATCTCTTTCTCTTTCTCTTTCTCTCTCACCTCCCTCCCTCTCTTTCCTCCCCCACTAAATAAATAAAGAGAAGGTCAATATCAAGAAGGCAGCTGTGGTCTGGAGAAGGGCAAGATTTAGGAAGTTTGAGTTCAGGTCTCAGAGCTCCATGAATAAGGACCCATCATTTGACTGTAATGACCACATGTGATAAATGGAGGTACTGATCTTATCTTGCATGGCTGCCCCAATGATCTTGCCCCAGGACAGTGCCTGACACATACAAGGGGATAAAAACATGATATTTTCTTCCAGCTGAGCATAATCAAGCCAGTCCATGTCTAAGGATCTGCAGTTGGTACTCAGACCTCTCCCAGACTGACCAGCCCCTGTGCTGGCAAAGCCCTGGGGGCTGTGTGCTTTTGGAGAAATGGCAAGGCTGGGAGTCTCATGTCTGTCCCTCTCTCGGTGTGACCCCAGATGAGCTCCTTGGCCCCTGCATGTCCTGGTTTCCTGGGAGAGGCAGTGTCCCTGGTGGATGTGTACACTCTGGAACCAGACTGCCTTCTTTTGTATTCTGACTTTGCAGCTGACCTTGAACAAGATATCATCCTCTCTTGTCCTCAGTTTCCTTGTCTCATCTGTAAGATACAGATGCTAAAGCACCAAAGTCAGAGGGGTATGGTAAGTGCTCAGTGAAGCTCCCAGTAAATCTCAGCCATCATTAAGCTATTAAAAGGGACAGTGATTCTCCAACTCCAGAACATCTCTGGTATAGAATTAAAGAATATAAATGAGAGCACAGGTACAAGTGTCATGGACATGGAGCGCTGTAATGTTAACCTCTTACCTTCACATGCTCCTATAGACATATACAGGCATAGGCACCCCATACAGCTAGGGCCATGCACACATGTACACCCCAAAGCTGGCCTCACCCCTGCCTACCCCATCCAAGGAATGGCAAGCACGAAGCTCTGCTGTTGTCCTCTTGAGCAAAAGCCAAGGCCCTGGCCTCTCCATCTAGGTGTGTGTAGATGACGTGGGAGCACCAGTTCTCTATGTCTTGTCTGAGCTTCCTTCATATCCCATGAGGCTGTATATTTCCTTCCCAGCACCTGTCTTGGGCTTGGACTCAAAGGACCCTTCTGAGGACAGGGCATAGAGCTGGCTGCTCTGGAGAGGACTCAGCCTGGCCAGTAGGTAGTTGCTCCCTGCTGAGGGGCTCTGGCTAGGCTATGGGCCTGTGGCTGGAGGACTGGCCTCAGCGGGGCTTAGTCTACGAATGTAGATGGGCTCCAGAAAAGGAGAATCACTGACCATCTTCTTTCCATGCCCTGCGTTGAGCTTCCCTGAGTTTGTGGCATGGGCTCAACCTTTCGTAACTGCACTTCCTGCTCTCTGGCAGACCCTGCAAGCTTACTACAGGGCCTGTCCATGCATCAGCTGTATGTGTGCATGCTGCTCTGCTGGGTGCCTTCCAGTTAGCCTTGCCCCTGACTTTTCCTGCTCATCTCACATCCTTACCTCAAGGTCTCCAAATGAATCCAGACCACTGCCTAGAGCCTGCTGCAGGGGCAGTAGGAATATGGCCCTCATGCTAACAGTCTTCTTTCCCTATGGCTCAAGCACAAGGGGCCCGTGGACGGGCAAGGGGGGAGTAAGACAGGGCAGCAGTGGTCACTCTCCCTCGCTGGTGAGGCTGATGTGTTGGGAAAGCCAGACTTGACTTCTGTCCTCACTGTAAACAGAAAGCTTCTGTAGTGGACTCTAAAGTGGGAGGTATGTAACCCCTTTGCATATGAGATAATCTTTTGGAGTGTGGGAGAACATAATCTAACTTCCAGTTATATTTATTGTTATTGCAAAAGATTAACAAATTATCATTCATTCATATTGAATGTGTGAATTGGCCCTATCTCCCACCTGAGTCTGCAGTCATGACAGATGGAGCCTTTCAGGTGTCCTAAGGGAAGATGGGGTTCACCTCACAATGCTAAAGGTGAAAAGGGGAGTGCCGACCCTGCCCTTTGTTTTGGCATTTTTATTTCCATACTTTGTGGTTTGTATGTGCCCAGTTAAACGGATGTACAGATTAGATAATCTGGCTTTAACTCCAACCTTCACGAGATGCACACATGCCTTAAAAAGATTCTTACAAAGAAACTAGAATTAGGAGACAATTCTGACAACACAAAAACAAGTGAACAAAAATCAAATGACTGACCTGACGTGTCCACTAGGCTTGATATGAGCTTGGTCAACTAAAACATGAGACAGAATGAATGACCATCTGGTCAGGTTGGATAAGAAGTAACTTTTGGCAAAATCTCTGAAGTCTGGATTTACACTTCGTGGAAGGAATCTTGACCTTTCCCCAAGTATATTATGCCTTGAGATAATAATCCTGTATAAGGCCGCATAAGCAAAACGACATTTGAAAATGAGTTTCATCTTTAGCTCATCCTTTTACAAATTTCTATTCCTTGTGCATGATTGAAGTGTACACATTTTTTAGTTAAAATATAAGCATATAGAAGGCACAAGTTCAATATTTTTCATGATAAGGATGTGTAATTAAACTGGTTAGGAGACTCATCGACTAGAGGGGGACATGGTGGCCCCAGGCTGTAAGAACAGGCCACACCGTCCACTGGGCCGCTTGCTTTGTGCTAAGATGACACTTTGTTCTGAGCCTCACAGTGTCTTGACCATGTTCCTGGAACCTTCTTGTTGGAGGGAGTTCATCTTCCCCTATGACTCTGTCCCTAGTCTAAGGTGTCCCACAGGAAGCTTGAGGGCGGGAAGTTTTCCAGCCCAGGAGCCTGAGCTCAGCGGGGCAGGAAGAGGGAGCAGCTCCTCCGTGGGGGACCTTTGAGAGCCCAGGAGCAGGATTTCGAGGGACACCTGGTGGGGAGCAAAAGGTGCTGAGTCTGTCTTTGACCTTGAGCCCAGCTTGTTTCTCCTGCATCCTCCCCCAAAAGGGGCTTTGCCTGTCATTCTGCAGTTCTAGTGTGGGGTCTGGGCGCAGTTCTTTTCCCTCTCCAGCCTCGGAGTCTTCCTCTGTGGACTGCGCAGATAGGACTGGTGGCACGGACCAGCTCTGCAGCCCTGGAGTCAGGAGCAGAGCCCCCCGGCTCCCAGCCCGCCGTAGCCGCTCCTGGCACCGAGCGAGCCGCGATGACAATGGCTGCATTGTGCTTCATGTCCCTTCCCATCAACATTTCTGTGCTGGACTCCTTCCACTCGCGGGTCGTCTCCAGAGCTCAGAAAATGAGGTGATCAGTGGGACGAGTAAGGAAGGGGGGTTGGGAGAGGGGCGATTGGGCAACCCGGCTGCACAAACACGGGAGGTCAAAGATTGCGCCCAGCCCGCCCAGGCCGGGAATGGAATAAAGGGACGCGGGGCGCCGGAGGCTGCACAGAAGCGAGTCCGACTGTGCTCGCTGCTCAGCGCCGCACCCGGAAGATGAGGCTCGCCGTGGGAGCCCTGCTGGTCTGCGCCGTCCTGGGTGAGTGCGGGCACGGGGTAGCACCGCAGAGTCGCTGGCCCGCGCGTTCCCTGCAACCCGGGCGGCCACCGCGCAGCCTGCATGCACTCCGCGCTCAGGCTGGAAGCCTGGGTGTCTGGGTGCCTTTCCATTGCCTCTCTACGCCCCACCCCTGGCCTTTGCTTGGGCTTCTAGACACCTTTCACTGCACTCACTGTCTTCTCCCCCTCCTCCTCTTTGTCCAGTAAATCTTGCAGCAGTGAAATACAATAAATCAGAGCACGTCTAACCAGGTTATCAAAACCCTTTGCTGCTGCCTCTTGTCAAGTCCGAACTCCTTAGCATGGCATTCAAGGCCTCCCGGGTCTGACCATTCCCCTTTCAGAGGCTGATGTCCCCTGGGTGCCCTGGGAGCTGTAGATGTCCTGCCAAGGAAGCGGTGCCATCGAGCGGTCAGAGCATGGGGTTTGAAGCCAGACTTCTTGGATCCAAGTCCTGGCCGGCTCCTCACCAGGGAGGGGGTCATCACAGCACTTGCCTGGGAGGGTCAAATGAGGGTCAGCGAGGTGGCAGATGCTGAGTACCAGTGGCAGATGTTGCACACATCCTGCTATGGGGCAGTGGCTGACGCCACACTCCCCGACCTCCTGAGGTGGGGCCCCCTTCATACTCTAACTTCTGCCTGCCATTCATGGGGCATTTGTCACACTGTTGGGGCTTCCACGTTTAGTTTTCTCTCCCCATAAGCTAGCAATTCCTTGAGAGAGGACCCCACGTTACTTGCCTTTATCCCCGCACAGAGCACTTCACAGGCTGTGCAAGGTAATGCTCCACTGAGGACACATTCTCGCCTATGGGAACTCTGGAGGCAGGGCTTTGTGGAGGGGCTGCCACAGGCTTATGTTGCCTCCTAGGATTTCCCATGGGCCAAGAGGGAAAATGGGGGTCGCTGGGGTGGCCATCCCTGGTGGCCCCTCCTCATGCATCCTGGAGAGCTGTGGGCCTCCTCTCCACAGGCTTTGTGGATCTTCTTCAGAGCCAGTGAGTCAGCCTTGCTGTGGTGGCCCACAAGGAGTGGAGATGACAGAGGGCCTTGGGGACAGGGCAAAAGCTCATGTGATAGGGATGCTGTCTCTGCAACCACATGGATTTTAATAGTTACCCATGGCTGGCTTCAGCTTTTTTTGTGAATGGCAGCCAAAAAGTGTGGTGAAAATGGAGGGATAGTTCAGTGGAGACAGAGGGGAGACTGTTGAATTTGTGGAGTTTTTAGTTCTTCCTAAACAGAGAGCAACAGACAAGAGTTACAGACAAATTAATTCTTTTCGTTAATTTACCCTCAACTACTGGCCAAGAAGGGGTGTAACTCAGAATGTTTTCTTCTTTTGTGCCCTGAGTAGCAGACCCAGAGTCTGGAGACCCAGATTCTAGGCCTGGCTTGGCCAACGACAAGCAGGGTGACCTTGGGTTAAAAAAAAAAAAAGGCATCATTCTCTGAGTCTCACTCCCTCTTCTCAAAAAGATGGCAATTCCTCCCCCGCTGGTTTTCCATAGTTGAGGTAGCAAGCCAATGTGTTGGGGTAGCTGAAAACGCCCTGTGCATACTGAGGCTTATGTTCCATGGGGGGCCAGGGGCCAGGACAGTGATGGGAGGAGACAAGGCGGATACAGAGGAGCAGATTGTCATCTCCAGCTGGGAGGTGATGGCCATGCCTGCACCCCTCTGGCCAGCAGAGGGTGGTCAGTAGGAAACTGGGAGGCCATTAGGGCAACCTTCTATTGGCTCAGACTCAGAATGCAGTAGAACTTGTGCCCTGTAGTGTTCATGGACAGGAGTGAGAGGAGGACAGGACTGAGGGGATGTGGCTGTCAAGGCCTTTCTAGGGGCGATGCTGTCTCTCCCTCAGCATAGGGAGTGGGCCCTTCCACCTCTGGCCTCTCTCCCCCAGGGCTGTGTCTGGCTGTCCCTGATAAAACTGTGAGATGGTGTGCAGTGTCGGAGCATGAGGCCACTAAGTGCCAGAGTTTCCGCGACCATATGAAAAGCGTCATTCCATCCGATGGTCCCAGTGTTGCTTGTGTGAAGAAAGCCTCCTACCTTGATTGCATCAGGGCCATTGCGGTAAGTCGCTGCTGCCTAAAAGAGAGTGGAAGAAAGCCATACTTTCTCTGTTTCCAGTCACTTTGGAACAATTCTTTACTCACAGGTAGGAGGCTGATATATGGGGCAGTCAACCTTGACTTACTAAAATCACTTCAAAAGTGGAAATGGGGAGGTTTTCTTTAATGTGTCTGGAAAGCAAAAGTCAAAAAGCACATTAACTTTTGCTTTCCAGACACAGTAGACGCAAGGGTGACTGTTTTGAGACCCTAGGTTCTCTGAACTTGGCGAAAATATAAGAATGCCTGCTATCAGGCTGGGCGCGGTGGCTCATGCCTGAAATCCTAGCACTTTGGGAGGCTGAGGCAGGTGGATCACCTGAGGTCAGGAGTTCGAGACCAGCCTGGCCAACATGGCGAAACCCCATCTCTACTAAAAAATATAAAAATTAGCTGGGCATGGTGGTGCATGCCTGTAATCCCAGCTACTTGGGAGGCTGAGGCAGGAGAATCACTTGAACCGGGGAGGCAGAGGTTGCAGTGAGCCAAGATCCTGCCACTGCACTCCAGCCTAGGTGACAGAGTGAGGCTCCATCTCAAAATAAATAAATAAATAAGAATGCCCACTATCAAAATTATTATATAACCTTCTTTGGCAGCTTTTGATACACAACTGGGAAGATGAGTGATGCATGCAGGGGGAAGAGTAAAGTGTCCTGATTGCAGGTGACAGCTGATCTTTTTGTTCTTAGGTCTACAAAAATGCTCTTCATTCTTTCAACGTTGCCCCTGCCCATCTGTACATGTCAGATCCTGTGCTGGGCAATGGGGCTGCAGTGGTGAATTAAACACATTGGTCCTTACCCTCAGGGAGCTCATGGGCTAGTCAGGAGAGCAGAAAAACACACGAATAAGTAAACTACTAATTCCAAAATGTGGGGATGTACAATGGAGGGAAAAAGGAGAGTGTTCTGACAGGGACTCACAGAAAAACCTGCTTTGTCCTGGGTGGTCAGAGACCATCTCTCTGAGAGAGATGTAATGAAGGACTGAGCCTGGGTGGGCTCCAGTGTAAAATACACCAGGCAGCAAACAAGAGCATATGCAAAGGGCCTGAGGCAGAGCAGAGTGGGCTTATTTAAGTTGCTAGTGGGAGGCCAGGGTGATGGGAGCTGTCAAAGATAAGCACAGCCAGATATTAGTTTAGGCAGTGACAATAGGTTTCATTCAGTAACTGCTGACAGTGGGGGAAAGAGCTAGGCTCCATTCTGATTTGTGCAGTGGTGATGTGAGCATTTTAAAGGGAGAATGAGGGAGGGGAGAACGCAGGGCTCTGTAGAGTCAGAGAAGTAAAAAGGTAGAAAGGGCTGGTCAGTGTAAATGTGAGGAGGCCAGCTGTGTCTGATAGCTGGCAGTTCTCTCGATTAGGACTCTATTCTCCCGCAGAGACTGCGAGACAGACACTCTATCCATCCTGATGATTGTGTTGCAAAGGAATGGCTCTCAGTCCTTGAGAGAGATGCTTGTGAGTTTCAAGAGATACATATTCACAGTTTTAAGTCCTTTTTAGTAAATTCTCTTGGAAAGGGAGGTCAGGGGCCTATCATCAGTTGTGTGTTGAGTAGAAGAAACAGGTACATTTTCCTGGCAGCACTGAGTTTTCTCAGGCAAGCACTTTAAGGGGAACCGGGCCATCCTAGGGACACAGATTTGTTCTGCTAGGAGCCATGCCAGAGTCTGGTCAGGTCTCTTAGTGCAGAGGTTTGGACAGATGTGTCAAGTGTGGGAAATTCTACAGTTCTCAGCACAAAGCAAGCAGTAGGTTAGCCGAAGGGAAAAGGTGGAAGAAACATCCAGATGCAGCCTGGCTTCCCTCAATCCCCGCGCTGGGGTTTTCCGTGTCTTTCTGCTGGCTTCCCCTTGGCTTCCCTCCAGCCTTCTCTCTGTAGCTTTCCCTCTTCTGGGTTTGGTTATTTTGACTTGTGAGAGCTTGCTTGATTATAATCCTGTCCCTCCCAGCTGGCGCAGGTTCCCCTGGGAACCCTGCAGCTCTAGGGCTGGACGCTGTGTTTTAGGCCTTAGCTCTTTGGCTCCCTGAGCCCCCGAGGCACCAGTGATTTCTTGGTGTCTTGGCAAAGAAAGACCAGGTTCCTGACCACTCTCCCAACCCCACTGCAATGGGCAAAGCTCTCGTTTGTTTGCTTCATTTTTTAAAAAATATATATATATTTTATTATACTTTAAGTTCTAGGGTACAAGTGCACAACATGCAGGTTTGTTACATATGTACACATGTGCCATGTTGGTGTGCTGCACCCTGTTTGCTTCATTTTTATTCAACAATGTGAGGACTGGGGAAGGGAAGGTGTTTGCAGATTAAACAAAACCACGAAGTGTGTTTCATATATAAGGTCTAGTTGTTGTGGAACAGAAAGGCCCATGATGTCTGTTAATTTTGTTTTGTATTGTGGTATATTAAAAATATGTTTTACAACCCAAATATCCATTGATGAGTGAATAGATAAATAAAATGTGGTAAACACAAATGATGAAATATTTTTAGCCTTAAAAATAAATGAAACTCTGATATATGCTACACTGAGATGAACCTTGAAAACATAAGTGAAGCAAGCTAGATACAAAAGGACAAATATTGTAAGATTCCACTTTTTTTTTTTTTTTTTTTTTGAGACGGAGTTTCGCTCTGTCGCCCAGGCTGGAGTGCAGTGGCGCGATCTCGACTCACTGCAAGCTCCGCCTCCCGGGTTCACGCCATTCTCCTGCCTCAGCCTCCCGTGTAGCTGGGACTACAGGCGCGCGCCACCATGCCCGGCTAATTTTTGTATTTTTAGTAGAGACGGGGTTTCACCGTGTTAGCCAGTATGGTCTCGATCTCCTGACCTCGTGATCCGCCCGTCTCGGCCTCCCAAAGTTCCACTTTTATGAAGTATCTAGAATAGTCAAATTTATAGAAACAGAAAGTAGCATAATGACTACCAGGGGCTGGAGTGGGGGAGAAATAGGAGGTAATTGTTTAATGTGTAAAGAGTTTCAGTTTCTGGAGATGGATAGATGTGATGGCTATAAAACAACGTGAATGCATGTACTTAATGCCACTAAAATGTACACTTGAAAATGGTTAAAATTGGCTGGGTGCGGTGGCTCACGCCTGTAATCCCAGCACTTTGGGAGGCCGAGGCGGGTGGATCACCTGAGGTCAGGAGTTTGAGACCAGCCTGGCCAACATGGTGAAACCCCATCTCTACTAAAAAAAATACAAAAATTAGCCGGGTGTGATGGCAGGCGCCTTAATCCCAGCTACTTGGGAGGCAGAGGCAGGAGAATCGTTTGAACCCTGGAGGCAGAGGTTACAGTGAGCCGAGATTGAGCCATTGCACTCAAGCCTGAGGGACAAGAGCGAGACTGCTGATATAGTTTGTCTTACAACATATTTTATTTCATTTAGAAATACTATTGTCTTATTACTTGATTGTAACACAACAAAGTTCATGGAACTATAGCTTTTGCTTTGTAATTTTTTTTTTTTTTTTTGAGAGTCTTGCTCTGTCACCTAGGCTAGAGTGCAGTGGTACAATCTCGGCTCACTGCAACCTCTGCATCCCAGGTTCAAGCGATTCTCCTGCCTCAGCTTCCCAAGTGGCTGGTATTACAGGCATGTGCCACCAAGCCCAGCTAATTTTTGTTTGTTTGTTTTGGTAGAGACAGTGTTTCACCATATTGGCTAGGCTGGTCTCGAACTCCTAACCTCAGGTGATCCACTTGCCTAGGCTTCCCAAAGTGCTGGAAGTACAAGGTATGAGCCACTATACCTGGCCTGCTTTGTAATTTGATCAATAAGAAATCTTCATAGAGAACTGGCAAGGGCTTCTGGAAAAATCATTTTGATTAAAGACATTTAAAACAAAAAAGGAGTAAAACTATGTGTTTAAGTGTCTAAATAAAAGATGGTTGGGCTCACTTTAAGGATTTACATAAAAAGAAAATAAATTATAGATCTAGTAAGAAGGCAGCTATAATATTTCAAGGGACCTGTTGATGTAAAGATGAGGGCTTACAGAAGCACAAAGTCAAAAAGGAACATAACCTGAAGTAACAGTGTAATGATAAGAAATAAACCCGGAATGTCTGCACTGAAATCCCAGCTCCATGACTTACTGGCTATGTGGCCCAGGGAAGTGACTTAACCTTTCTGTGCCTCATATTTCTCACTTGTAAAATGGAGCTGAGAGAGAAAGAGAGATGAGCTGCCCATGTGTTGGAGTAGACAATTATACCAGAGATGAGCAAAAATGGAAATAATAATCAAGCTTTTGATCATTCAGTACATAGTATCACCAAGAAGCTAAACCCAGAGAAAGTGCCCAATCCCTCAGCAAAAGGGTCATGCAGTTTTATGGACCCAGGACAGGAAGGAAGAGCATTGAGTACTGAGTCAGAGTGAAGACGAATGTTTTCAAGGTTCCCATCTTCCCCCAGAAAAAAAATCTCCACAGAAGCACCTGAGGAAGACCTCAAAGGAAGTCTCAAAATAAAGAGGGCTCTGAGCAAAGGTCATGGGCTAGGAATGAAAACAGGTGTAAGAAGAGCGTGGCCAGCCCAAGAGAGCTGTGTCCTTGACAGCAGAGTCCCCTCCAGAGACTGCATTGCACTGGCTGTGCTCTGAGTCTGGGGTGGCGAGGGCGGCTTTCTCCCACGGAGCCTGCCAGGTTAAGCCTTCGTAATTGCCTACGGTAAAGTCACGTAGGATTTTTGGCCAGGAGCTGGGCACCTCACCGGGGAAAAGAGAAACACAATCCATCACTCCCTCTATGCAGAAGGAATAGGAATGTGGTGGCTAAGTGCCCTTGCGAGGGAGACAGAGTCAACTGAAGCCAGCAGGGCTGTGCGTGGTCTAGTCAAGTTCTGGCCCTGGGTCCGTGGAGTCCTGGTAGCCACTCTCTACTTGTGTGGGTTGAGGTGGGCCTTCCTTGGAAGTCAAGGCTTCATCCAGGACTGGCCTGTTCTCTTTCAGGCAAACGAAGCGGATGCTGTGACACTGGATGCAGGTTTGGTGTATGATGCTTACCTGGCTCCCAATAACCTGAAGCCTGTGGTGGCAGAGTTCTATGGGTCAAAAGAGGGTAAGTTCTCCCTGGGACCCCAGGAAGGAGTTGTCATCCTTATTCTATATGCTGAGTGCTGTGTTTTACAGGCAGGTTTTGGATATCAGATATAATGAACATTCATCTTTGGAGAGTGAGTAGAGAATGAGGGGCCCTGTCAGCTGCCACAGCCACACATCAAGGCCTCTGGGGGCTTTGGGCTGGCTGAGGACTGGTGCTCCTAAAACTGAGCCCTGGGCCAGGGGCATATGCTTATCAGAGAAACACAGCAGGCTGTGTGCAGCTTGACCTGAAGGCTACTGCGGTCTACTGATATGTCTAGGGTCCCTGGAGGCCTCTGGAGCCATAGGTACCACTCACACAGGAGGGGTCACTCTGGAGCACACACTCAGAGGCCAGCAGCCCTGCAAGTCTTCTGAGATCAACCTGACTGTCTCTGGGCCTGTGCCAGGGGACATGAAATACTTTGATGGGCCTCTGTTACCACAGCTCCAGTTTCCTGGTGGCTGAGGTTGGTAGGTGTAGGCAGACACGCTGCAGGGCCAGGGGAGGCAAAGCATTCAGGACACATGTGCGTGTGGCCTTCTTGCCCCTGTTTGCCTGGAGGGGTAATATTATAAATATTCCTTCTATGGTCTTCTCTCTCCCCTGCAACCCTAGGAAGGTTTTCCTGATTCCCCACTCCTTATCGCCCAGTCCAGTAAAAGCATGGCCTCTCCGCTCCCCTCCCTCCTCAAGAGTCCGGTGGTGATGAGCCATGTTTCCCTGCACCAGGCTGAGGGCCTTCCATTCACACTGTGCCTTTGCAGATCCACAGACTTTCTATTATGCTGTTGCTGTGGTGAAGAAGGATAGTGGCTTCCAGATGAACCAGCTTCGAGGCAAGAAGTCCTGCCACACGGGTCTAGGCAGGTCCGCTGGGTGGAACATCCCCATAGGCTTACTTTACTGTGACTTACCTGAGCCACGTAAACCTCTTGAGAAAGGTAAGCTGGCAGGAGTCTGGGTGCCCTCGAGCAGCTGCCTCTGCTCCAGATGCCCACACAGGCTGCACTAGACAGTCACCATCAGCAGACATGTGGGATGAACTCAGGTGGGGGAAAGAGGTTAACAGACTTTAAACTGGCAGGTCTGCTGCACCAGCAGCACTTGGGAGGTGGAGCTGAGCTTTTTTCTGCTCTGAGCTTCCAAAACCCCAGCAGAGGCTGTTCTGATGAGTGAGGAAAGGGCGCAAGGCTCGGCAGAGGGTTTCAGTCTAGGCGATGGTGGTTCTCTTGTCCACTTCTCTGGATTTCTTTCCTGGAGGTTTCTCTGGAGCCCTGCACCTCTCTTAAGCAGTTCTCATGTCTGGGGCATGGATCCCAGAGGGGACCTCTCTCTGAGCTGTTCCAGCCTCTGACAAAGCAGGGAGAAGGTGCTCTGAGAAAGACCCGAGATAGGCCTTGGTTAGTGGGAAGCATAGGCCTGTTTCCTCTGATGGATGGTGGCCAGACAGAGGTCAACTTGTTCCTATTAGAAATCCTTGATCTTGATGAGTTAGCATAAGGGCAAGCTGGGGCTGCATGTGCTGGTTTGGTTTTAGTCCCCTCTGTTCCCTGATGGGCCTGGGTGGGGTGATGCCATTGGCTGTGGCCAGCCTCACTCATGCTCTGTTGTCCATTTCTCTGTGCTGAGCAGCAGTGGCCAATTTCTTCTCGGGCAGCTGTGCCCCTTGTGCGGATGGGACGGACTTCCCCCAGCTGTGTCAACTGTGTCCAGGGTGTGGCTGCTCCACCCTTAACCAATACTTCGGCTACTCGGGAGCCTTCAAGTGAGTGAGATGTCTGCTGCTCCATGGTGGCCAAAGTGCCAAATGTCCTCAGGGTGAGAGTTCTTTGCTGGTCCAAAGCCGAGCCCTGCCTGCCTACAGGGGCATCGAGGTGGCCTAATCCCCTCCCAGTGAGTCAGAAGCACAACCTGGGACTCCTAGGCCAAGCCAGCCCATGTTCCCTTTCATCTGACCCTGACAAGTAGGTCCTTTTCCTGGGGACCCTTCCTTTCTCCCCAGAGCCCTCAAGCCTGGTCAGTGTCTCCTCTCGGTGGATCGGGCAGAGCCTGAAAGGACAATCATGCCTCTAGTGTCTGGGCCCACTGTCCAGGGACTGGCCCTCTTCCCTCAATCTCAGCAGTGTTACCTGCTCAGCACACTGCCTGTCTCCTGCCCCCATCACCGTCTCTATCTGGGAAGCTGATTTCTTGCTTTCTCTTTTTACCTTGATTATATCCTAAAGTTTTACAACCAGCCAAAGGCACATTTTCACCCTCAGGAGACACTATACCATTATCTTCTATTCCAGAAGTTTAAAAGCTCTTTTCACATGAAAATATCTTCAGTTGCATTTTGCTTCTTTGGGTTATGAGGGCTTTTTATCTCGTGTGAGCTCATTCCCCCATCTCAGCACTACGCTGGAGGTCTGCACACCATGGTGTTGCTTCAGCTACGGGGCTGCACCAGGCTCTATCCTAGTGTGAGTGCTGGACAGTGTGATCAGACTCTCCAGGTGCAGGAGAAGGGCCTGCCCTGCAGGAGCCCTGCTGATGTGTTTCTTTGACCCAGGTGTCTGAAGGATGGTGCTGGGGATGTGGCCTTTGTCAAGCACTCGACTATATTTGGTAAGAATGGGACAAGAATCCACCAGGGCCACTCCAAGTAGTGGGTGTTCTTTTTCTGTGTTCCCTTTTTCATGCTCAGTAATTGGAAATGAGCATACTGTATTTCTCCTTTATCATTGCCTGGGTTTCCACCTGTGCAGAGTTAGGTACCTACGGGGTCCCCATCTGGATTCCTGGGCCTCTTTCCATCATTCAATCTCTCCACACGGTGCCTCTGCCTCTGGGGTAGTGTTGCCATAACCAAAGACTGGGGGTTGGTGCTGCTAAGATCAGGCTCATGGTGGAATGAGGAGCAATCACTGCTACATGGGCATCAGAAGCCTTTACCTGGCTGTGGGCTCTTGAGCGAGTCATTCTCCCGCATGTTCTCTGGCCTTCAGTGCTCACTCCAGACCTCTCAGCTCATACTTTCTATGATCAATTGAATTTCAAGGATGGGCACCACAGCCCATGGCTCTCCTGTGTTAAGCTCACCTGGGCTTTCCCTCCCCAGAGAACTTGGCAAACAAGGCTGACAGGGACCAGTATGAGCTGCTTTGCCTGGACAACACCCGGAAGCCGGTAGATGAATACAAGGACTGCCACTTGGCCCAGGTCCCTTCTCATACCGTCGTGGCCCGAAGTATGGGCGGCAAGGAGGACTTGATCTGGGAGCTTCTCAACCAGGCCCAGGTATCCCCACCTGCCATCCTCCCCTCCAGCTTAGTGCTCCCTGCTTGGATTTGGGGGTTTTCCTCCTGGCCATCTTGTCACTCTGGAAGTCTGTGTGTTCAGGATACAGTGGGAGCCATGCCACATGTCACTAAGTTCTCTAAAAGCTGGGACTCCCCACAGAGCAGCAGGGAGCCTGCTGTGGTGCTACCGTCTGCCGCCCTTGCCTTTCTGGCTGGTGACACCTGAAGAGGCTCTGTATTGCTCTGTTGCATTCCTTTCTACCTAAACTTCAAGGCCCAAAGCTAAACCCCTCCCCAAGGAGGCTTTCCATGACCCTCCCAGAAGGAAATGGTCTCTCTCCCCATGCCCCTCAGCCCGGCTGTGAGGGGGCTGCCTGCACAGCGGCTTTACTTCCCAAGAGCTGTGTGATTTGGGCTCAGCCAGCTTCCTCTTGCCGAGCCGTCCCATCTGTCCACTGAGAGTTTGACTGGTAACCACACAGGGCAGCCTCTGGATTAGCCACGTTTCTTGTTCTCACCGATGTCTCAACCCGTTCCGGGAGACAGGCACAGAAGCAGGTTCAGGCAAATCGCGGACCCACGAGGGCTACAGGCAGAGGAAGTGCTGGGTGAGCAGGAGCAGGTCCGACTGCCCTCTCTCCTGGCATCTTGAACTTTTTCATGTTGTTTCCTGCAGAGATTTCTTTTCTCTTCAGTCCCATTTCTCAGCCTCCTTTCTTCTGTGTTGCCATCCACTATTCTGTTTTTCTATGAACAGGAACATTTTGGCAAAGACAAATCAAAAGAATTCCAACTATTCAGCTCTCCTCATGGGAAGGACCTGCTGTTTAAGGACTCTGCCCACGGGTTTTTAAAAGTCCCCCCCAGGATGGATGCCAAGATGTACCTGGGCTATGAGTATGTCACTGCCATCCGGAATCTACGGGAAGGCACATGTGAGTACCTGGGAAGAACCAGGTGACCACAAGCACTTGGGAAACCTGGTGAGCACAGGGGCCAGAGATTGAGTCTTTTCAGGGACCTGCACGCCTCTCCTGATGCTCCTTTTTCTGACCTGTCTGTGAGCCCAGTGTTAGACTGATGCTGAATGGCGTTAGTCATTATGAGATGGCCTTGATGTCACCATGGGCTTTACAGGAAATCCACATTTAAAATGACGTGGGTTGGTTCCAGTATTTCCTTTGCATCAATCAGGACTGCCTTACCTACTCTGTGAAGGCAATTAGCTTATCACAGAGTAAGTGAAATAGAACAAAATTGCTATATATTGCACATCTCCAGCCAGTCAACATGTACCATAATGAAGAGGTGCTCTAAGAGAGGTTGATCCCAGTCCTGGATTTCACTGAGTCACTGTGGTTTTGCTTGACCATTCATTTATTCAGCAGACATTTATTGAACATCTAGCCATATGCTCTGCTAGGTGCTGGACATAGGATGGCATGACAAATATATATTTGATTCTGTTGTCCTGGAAATTTCAAACTGGGGAGAAGATAAATGTTTAATGAATAGTCATGCTATTGGATGATGAATTACAAAGTAAGAGATATGTTTAAAAGGGGAAAAATATGACAACAAAATACCATGGCCCTATGAGACTGCAAAACAAAGAAAAATAGGCCCTGGACTTGGCGTTAAGGCAAAGCTTCCTTGAGGAAGTGACTCTTGAGCTCAGTCTGAAAGATGAGCAGATGTACATTTATTCATCAGACATTTATTATGCTGACCATGTGCTAGCATTGCCCTAACCCTGAGGATGCCCTGGTGAACAAGACAGGCAGGGCCCTTTCTGTGTTGGAGCTTCTGTTCTCCTGCAGAAAACCTGACAATAAACAATGAACATATAAATAAGAACACCTCCAGTAGTTAAGTGCTATCTGAAAAACAAGAAGGAAAAAAACAGCCAGAGGTCATATAGTGCCCAGAGGCTGGAGAGGAAAGTTGGCTTCTCGGAAGACATAAAAAACTAAATTTAAATGAGAAGTCAACCAAGAGATTGTGCATTGACTTTGCTTTCTAAGGTGATTAATTCCTTGAATGGGGTCTGTTTGTTTATTGCTGGCAAATCCCAGCATTTGCATGAAGACAGTGAGTAGTGCTGACAAACACCAGGCAACAGCTAGGGCCGCTTCTGATCTTTGTTCTTTTTTTATGCCATAGGCCCAGAAGCCCCAACAGATGAATGCAAGCCTGTGAAGTGGTGTGCGCTGAGCCACCACGAGAGGCTCAAGTGTGATGAGTGGAGTGTTAACAGTGTAGGGAAAATAGAGTGTGTATCAGCAGAGACCACCGAAGACTGCATCGCCAAGATCATGGTATGTCACTCCAGCCTTCCTAGGGCAGCGTCCCTGTCATTGCTGCCTGCTGGCCCCCAAGACTGAGCTAGGGAGTGTTCCTGGGAATGATGCAAAAACCTGGCTCCCAGGAACCTTGCCCTGACTATGTGAGCACAGCCCCACCGGAGGTTCAGAATCTTTGAGCTTGTGGATCTGAAGGGTGCCCACAGGGCTCAGTTTCCTCCTTGTATGAGTGTATGGTGAAAGGGCAGGCTGAGCAGTGCCTGCTTAGGGAGGCTGGACCATGGTGTGGGTGTCCTGAGACCAGTGGTGTGCCACGATCACTGAGATAAGATCCTGAGTACATGGTAGGATCCAATCAGGTACAAATTTGCTTTGTTGATCAAAAGAGTATCCTAGCCTGGCATGGTGGCATGCACCTGTAGTCCCAGCTACTTCGAAAGCTGAGGCAGGAGGATTGCTTGAGCCCAGGAGTTCAGGGCTAGCAACTTAGCAGGACCTTGTCTCTAACAACATTTTTTTTTTAAGAAAGAATATTCCATGTTGGCTTACAGAGAATTTTTAAAATCCTGAATGATATAAAGAAGAAATAAAAAGTACTTATAATCATGTAATTCAGAGAAAATTCCCTTATTGGGATCATTTCATGTAGGTTGCTTGCTACCTTTTACTCACTCACAGTATCTAGTAAGCTTTTCCCATATCATAAATCATTCTTGTAAAACCTAATCTGGAGCTTCTGTGTTAGTGCACACATCGAGATGGGGGAGTATGGTTTGCCTAGAGAGAACATGAAGTGCCAAGCTCCACTCCCCCTCCTCCCCACATTTCTTGCCCTCTGTGTCTCTTCCATTTGGCTATTCTTGAGTTGGATCCTTTATAATAAATCAGCAAATATATTGAAACAAAGATGCATATTATAAAGGTACTTCCTGCCATTGTCAACAGATTTTTGCTGAAATATGTTAATTCTACTTTTTGAGCACTTATGAATAACCATGTATCTTCAGAACTATCTACCATGAAGCAAAAAGGGACCATCAAGCTCATTATTTTATATTTCATACAATTTATAGATATCACTTTATGCTATTTTAACATATATTCCATTTTAATTTTTGTCTGAGTCAAGACAAGAAAAACCAAACTAAGTTAAAGCAAAGCCTACAAATTCAAAACCTGAGTCTATACAAATCTGTTAGCAGTTTGAGTGGCTGGGCTTCAATATTATACTCTGGATGTGATACAATAGATAAAGTTTTTTACGTCTGTAAAAAAAAGGAAGAGCAAAAGACTCTTGGGAACATGTGAAATCTTAAATGAAGATTAAGTACAACCAAATGTAAACATATTTTAAAAGGTTCTTCTTGGACATCATAATTTGCTCTCCTATGAAGATGTCATCGTTTGAGCCTTTAATGTTGGAAATAGCTTACAGATGTTGGGGCAGAAACCAAAGACCAACATTGCCATGTTCTGTGAGACCACGTCCAAGTGGATGATTGCTGGATAGGTATGTTTCATGCATAACATTTAGTTCATAAAATTATATGCTACTTTAGGAGGTCCAGGGCCCATGGATTAATGAAACAAAAGTAACTAATCTCATTGCTAGTAAAGAATTATTGGAAACAAAGTTGAAAGACATAGTTTATTTGGTCCCACACCTGTGACACATCATCACTGTCAATGGGAAGCCACTGACCTGTCCCAATTTCCCAAGGTTGTTATCATGGACATCATGGCTGCAGTAGAAAGTGAAGGTGAGTGTGGAAAACAGATCCCAAAGTGACCAGTGCCCTCGGTTATTGCAGTAATCATGTTCATGAGTAGACACACAGGACTTCCAAAGGGAGTCATCATCTCGCATAGAAACATCATTACTGGTATTACTGGGATGGCAGAAAGGATTCCCAGACTGGAGGAGGAAGATGACTACATTGGATATTTACCTGTGGCCCATGTTCTAGAATTAAGCTTTGAGCTTCTTTGTTTTTCTCATGGATGCCTGCTTGGCTCCTCTTCACCCCAGACTTCAGTGGATCAGTCTTTAAAAGTAAAAAATGGGCTGCCCACTGTGGCATGCAGCTGTAGTACCAGCTACTCAGGAGGCTAAGGTAGGAGGATTGCTTGAGCCCAGGAGTTTGAGTCCAGCCTGGGAAACATAGTGAGACACCATCTCAAAAAAATAAAAAATAAAAAAATAAAAACCAGAAGCAAAGGGTGTACTTCTGGGTTGAGACCAACACTGATGGCAGCTGTTCTGGAAATCATGGATCAGATCTACCAAAATGTCATGAATTAAGTGTATGAAATCAGTAGTCTTCAACACAATCTGTTTATTCTGGCTTATAATTATAAAATGGAACACATTTCAAAAGAGCATAGTACTGGATTGTGTGACAGCTTTGTTTTCTGGAAACTGTGAAGCTAGCTAGGTGGAAATATTCAGCTTTTATTGTATGAAAGTGCTCCACTTTCTGCAACACGCAGCAAGTTCATGAATACAGACTCACTGAACCTACAGGGGCTGGAACAATTACAGATGTGTGGATTACAAGACTGGCAGAAGTGAGAGTCCCATTAGTTTGCTGTGAAATTAAATTAAAGAACTGGGAGGAAGGTGGATACTTTAATACTGAAAAACCACATCCCAGAGGTAGAATTCTTATCGGTGGCTAAAATGTGACAATGGGATGCTACAGAAATGAAGCAGAAACAAAAGCTGATTTATTTGAAGATGGAAATGGACAGAAGTGATTATGTCCTAGAGATGCTGAAGAGTTTGATGGTTGTTTACAGATGATCGATCATAAAAAGGACCTTGTAAAACTACAGGCAGGAGACTATGTTTCCCTTGGGAAAGTAGAGCCAACTCTGAAGAATCTCCCAGTAATAGATGACGTTTGTGCATTTGCAAACAGTTAATTGTTCTTATGTCATTGGATTTGTTGTGCCAAATCAAAAGGAACTAACAGAACTAACTTGAAAGAAAGGACTTACAGGAACTTGAGAGTAGCTCTCTAACAGTTGTGAAACAGAAGATGAGGTGCAGTAGTCCCCCTTTATGTGAGGTTTCGCTTTCTTGGGTTATACCTACAGTCAACCGTGGTCCAAAAATGTTAAGATATTTTGAGAGAGAGAGAGAGCACATTAACATAACTTTTATTATAGTATGTTATAATTGTTTTATTATTGTTGTTGTTAATCTCTTACTGTGCCTAATTTATAAACTTTATCATAGGCTTGTATGTATAGGAAATAAACATTGTATAGGGTTTCAGGTTCCAAGACTGGGGGTCTTGGAACATATCCCTTGAGGATAAGAGGGGACTACCATACGTAAAGTACTTTCTGAAGCTGCTATTTGGGCGTGTCTGAAAAAGTTTGAAAATCTATTAAAAATTGGTTTGAGCCCTGACCCATGAATCCTGAAACTGGTCTGGTGACAGGTGCCTTCAAGCTAAAACACAAAGAATTTAATACACATTACCAGGCAGACTCTGAGCGAATGTGTGGAAGAAATGATTTTTCTCTTTTGGCATCAGTTTGCTACAGTGAGCTCAAATCAAATAGGAAATTATTTGAAATGCATGTTTCAAACTGTGAGGCAAACTCCATTCTTCATATTCAACCTAGATTTTTACTTCTTAAGACATCACCATTTTCAACAGACAGGATTAGTAAAATAGTAGGAGAGCAAACTTGTGTCTGTCTTTTTCCTTTTCCCCTCCTACAACTACCTTTACCTAACCTGTGACTGTATTGTCAGTATAAGGAGTTTTCTGAATCATAGTGAGGAAGCAGATTTCTAAAACCTCAAGTTTCTAAACATGACCTATATATTCAGTTTATGTTTAAAGTTTGGATGTGTAGAGGGAGTTATGGAAAATATATAAAGTGGCTGTTGGGGGGTGCTTTTTAACTTACAGTATTAAAAAAATGCAAGGCTATTGATGTGAAATTACATACATTTCAAATGCTTATGAATCAAATCATTATTGAGGATAATATTTGCTGATGTGTAATTACTATCTTGCATGAATTAAGAGAAATAAATATAGCCATACTTACGTTTTAAAGAAAAAAATGATATTTTAAGACTGATATCTATTCCATAGCATGGATGTGCTTCCACTTATTTAGCTATTTCTCTGTCATTGAGCATTTAGTTTAATTTTCTTTTTGCTATTATAAATCACACCTGTTATTTTTGCCCACTTACACATTTTGTCCAAATAGTTGCCCACCAATCTGATTGTTCTTTTATGGTTTATTACTAGAAAGTATATTGCCAGGCCAAAGGGAAATCTTACAAACCTTGTTGAATCTAAGCATCTCTGAAATTTGGGGCTTACTAGAGCTGAGATTTAGAACATTTGAAAATATTTGACTCATTCATTAAACATGTTGTATGCACCAAACACGGAAATAGCACTCAGCCAAGGAGGCTGACATTAGAGGCTAGAGCCCCCCTTCAGAAGGTGCTGTGTTCCACAGCCACAGCCACGAGTCCCTGACTCCACTCATCCATCTGCACGTGAGAATTCTTGGTGTCAGAAATGTGTCGTAGGAGTGTCTCTGGGACAGTGTGTCCTACAAGAGGGCAAGAGGACTGAATGTGGGTCTTTGCTCTTGAACTAGGCACCTGGAGTTGATGATCAGTTCATGATGGTTGGGTGAAAATGAGAGTACATTTGATTTTCTCTGCTGAGTGTGCCTGGCTGATCTTTTGGGGGTTCAGTATCAGCATCTGCTATCTCCCTGGCATTCATGTGCTGGAAAGGCTGCTTCAAGGAAACAGCTGGAAAAGTGGGTGGCACAGGAAACAGCCTCTTTTCATCTGCTGTGATTTGCTGTGTCTTTGCAGAATGGAGAAGCTGATGCCATGAGCTTGGATGGAGGGTTTGTCTACATAGCGGGCAAGTGTGGTCTGGTGCCTGTCTTGGCAGAAAACTACAATAGTAAGTGGTGGGGAGCACCTCTCTGTGTTTTCTTCCCTCAGGGCCATGGAGAGAGGAGATGGAAAAATCACAGTCTGATTCATACCACAGCTGCCATAAAGCTTTCCCTCTCTGAGCACCTCCTACTTTGCAAGCTCTGGGCTCCTTCATCTCAAATCCCCACAGTCATCTTGAAGGTTGGGAGTTATAGTACATTCCAGAAATGGGAAATGAAAGTTCTGCACTGGGAAGTCCTCACTAAAGATGACCCCATTGCAAAGGACAGCTGGGATTTCTGGCAGTCTTCCAGGTTCCAAAACTCACACTTCTCTCACTGCCCTGTTGCTAGGATTTAAATATAGTTGGCTAGCACGCCTCTGTGGTCTCAGTGCAGACAGAGCAGGAAACTTGACATTCGCAGTTTGTGGATAAATTCTAGAGGCCAGGAGGTGAAATGGACTTGCATGATCCAGAGAGTCTGGACTTGTTGGGAATTGATGACATGTATAGATAATTTTCTCTGACTTTCTTTATTCTTAGCTGCAGCATAAAAAAAAGGCATGGTTTCCCAATCTATAAATCAGGGTTTAATGCCTTTTTCATTTTCTTTTCTCCTGCAGAGAGCGATAATTGTGAGGATACACCAGAGGCAGGTGAGTTTGAATTGGTAACCTCTGGAGTTAAAAGATAAATTCCCATTGTTTTGGGGAATTGGTTAGATTTAAAATTCAAGTATATAAGGTGCTGTAAGAGACCAATTTTCACAATGCGAGAGAATCATGGAAGGATAGTAATGGATAATGATGGTTATCCCTTTACACTTGCCATGGCTTGCACACAGGATTTTTCATTTAATGCTATAAGGTAGGTTTTGGCATCCTCTGAGGATACACAAGTGGACCCTAAGCTGAGGGAGTTTACAGACAGATCGTCTAGGATTATACATCTAGGAAGGGAAATCCAGGTCTTTCCCACTGATCCTCACCTGACATGACATGAGGCCTGCACATTTTCAGATAAGAGTAAGCACCAACCAAGGAACTTTGCTTATTTATTCCTTACAGGGCTCAATAGAGAGCCTCACACAGGCAGATATCAAGGAACATAAAATTATCTGACCTTCTAGCCAGGGCTGGGTCCAGGAACCCAGGCCAACCTGGCTTCTCACCCAGGGCTCTGGGTAAGGGTACATCTGAAGAAACAGAGCAGGAGCAAGTCAGGAAGTCTTACACCAAGGTGAGCACTGGCCCCCTATGCTCAGGCCCCTGCAGGTCACATTCCAGACAGCCATTACTGTACAAGTCTGTCCTTGCCACTTCCACTGATTATAACCTCCCAGCCTCTCCCCATCACTTGGGGAGCTAAGCCCTTCAGCAGATATAGAAAAAGCCATTCTTATTCTATGGATAATAAAGATTCTGTTTTCTGTTGGAAACTGTAATCTGAATTAAACTGGCAAACTGAAATCATAGGTTGATGTTCTATTTCCCATTTTAAGGACCAGTATATATTTGCTGCTGAAAATGGAAGCTGACTTGATATTGACATTTTCCATTTTGCATATTTATTTTGGTATAAAACTATATTCTCCTTATCAGAAAATGTTTGGCTCAGTTTTTTCTCTTTTGCTTATTGATCTTTTACTACTATATCTCAACATATGTTAATTTATGAAAGTTTGTGGTTACATTAGCTGTTTCAGTATCCATTCCTCTGATAGGACTCATTGGATGGTGAATTGCTGGCTTATAACTTCAGTGACTTTATGCACTTAGGGAAGGGTTATACACCCAGCCATTGATCTAATGATGGTGTTTTCACAATATTTTGTTTTTAAAGTTCAGATTAATCTTCTCCTGACAGAGTTCCTTGTACTTCCCCTCAGTCAGATACTGGGAAGATCCTCTCAAGACACAATGACTGATTGAGGATATCTTTGCTTCCCTAGGGAAATTGATTGGAAGCAGACACTCTGGAAGCCCCAGAGGTGTTAATACATCCTTTTCTGGTGTCTTTCTTGTAGGGTATTTTGCTATAGCAGTGGTGAAGAAATCAGCTTCTGACCTCACCTGGGACAATCTGAAAGGCAAGAAGTCCTGCCATACGGCAGTTGGCAGAACCGCTGGCTGGAACATCCCCATGGGCCTGCTCTACAATAAGATCAACCACTGCAGATTTGGTGAGTGAATATTGGGAAGGAGGGCTGGTGAGGGCCATGCCAGAAAGCAGGGTCCTGCCTTAGGGAAGAGGAGTGTGGCATAAGGTGCTGTGGGCTCTGGTTCTAGAGAAGTAGAATTTGGTCAAAGAACAGTAGAATTTGCTGTCCTCAAGGACATAGCAACAAGGGCTGGAAGGACTGGAACTGGGTTGCTGAGTTGGGACGGTTCATTTAGGTTGAACATATTAGCATGAGTGAATATACATTTATCTCTCAGGAGAAAGACCAGAGGTGAGCAGTGCATGGCTGGTATGGTCATGAGAAACCCAGGCTCCTTCACACTTTCTGCTCCTCTATTCTGAGCATAAGACTTCCATCTTCAAGGTCACCCCATGGTTGCCATCGCATCCATGATCCAGGCAGCCCCAGTCACCAAGGGGTTACAGCAAATGGAAGTTTATGCCACCTTTTTAAAGGAGCTCTCTAGGAAGTCTAACCAGTTATTTCAGCAAACTTCTCATTGCCCAGAACTTAGGTACATCACCATACCTAGCTGTAAAAAAGAAATGTAATCGTTCATCTGGAAATGTCCCTACCCCAGATAAAACCAGATTTTTGTTACAAAGTACAAGGAGAAACAGATATTGGGTAGACAGGTAGCAATCCCTGCCACAAGGTTTTGTATGGTATGTGAGTGTGGGAGATCCCGGGTCTCTTCATGGTGTTGGCAATCTCACCAAGTCCCTACCCAGCTCCTAGGACCCTTCTAAGCAGTAGAAATCACCTCATTTTCTATGTCCTCTGAATACCACCAGGTATGAGCTTATTTCTACCCCGCTTAAACTTTTAAGTGTAAGTTCTCCTACAGACAGATGTTTTCCAGTGGTTCTGATTTACATTAGCTTCCTAAGTACTTTGTCCCTGCCACCTCCAAATTTGGGCAACTCTTTAAAAAAGAAAAGGCCTCTAAATCTGGTTATTAACCCAGAAAACCCTGTGGGGTCAGGGAAGTGGTGATGAGAGTATGCCTCTGTACCAGGGTGCTTTGTGACACCACTTAGACATGAAGCAAAGTGTGGCCAAGGTGACATTCAGAAAACTCAGGATCCCCACTGACAAAGGCACTACCTCTGCCCTCCTGAACCTCCTAGCACTTTTATGGCCACAGGAGAGCAGCTGAGCTGCAAAGAAAATTCCCCATCCCTTTCCTGAGGTTGGAGATGTAGCAAAGGCTCTTCTAATGAATGGCAGGGAATGGGGACATCTGAAAACAGGTGGCACAAGCTCAGGAAGCAAGACCTTCAGTCTTCATCTTTTTCTGTTCCCTTTCATGACATTTTTCATCTCTTCTTTGTTTAGCGTAGTGATGACATCATTATTGTGCTCAAATAAATCCCCTCTGCCCTGAATTGTAATGGTCATTAACTCCTTTTCCCAATCTCAATAGGTTCCCCTTTAAAGCCTATAGCCTGGCAAGTCCTGGGTTGGTGGTGGCTGGTCACAGAATTAATGAATATGTTCTACTTATTATGGGCCATGCAGCCCTGTTATCTCTTAAATAAAAGCTGCTTGCATTGACTCAGGAAAAGCTGACTTCCTCTTGTCCTTCTGCACAGATGAATTTTTCAGTGAAGGTTGTGCCCCTGGGTCTAAGAAAGACTCCAGTCTCTGTAAGCTGTGTATGGGCTCAGGCCTAAACCTGTGTGAACCCAACAACAAAGAGGGATACTACGGCTACACAGGCGCTTTCAGGTGAGTCTTTTAACCCTGAAACAAATAGAATAATATACAAGCCCTGGCCAGATTTCTTTTAGGAACTAAGGTAAGATTCTTAGGTTCCTATTCCATTAGTGCGGCATGTATTAAGAGAGTATATTTCACAACCAGATATAGAGCCACATGGGGAGGGGCAGCCAGACTCCCCCAGGATGCTGACATGGCTGTCAAAGACAGCAGAGACTTGTGTTTGGTACAGTTTAGCAGTTGTCAACGGGTGATTTGACCCCCACGGGACATTTGGCAATGTTTGCATATATTTTTTATTGTGACAATGTTGGGGTGGGGGAGGAAGTGCTACTAGCATCTAACACGTAGAAGCCACTAAACATTCAACAATGCACAGGATAGCATGGTACAACAAACAATTATCCAGCCCCAAGTGTCACTAGTGCCTCGGCAATGATACCCTACTGTAGTTGAATAAACACTGAGTGGAGAGTTTGGCTCAAGCTTTTCCATGCACCTCTGGATAATCCAGAACAATACTCATCTGGAAATACAGAATAGTACATGATTCCTAAATTCCTAACTACAATTGTACTTTATGGAGTGCCTATCATTCATTTTCATAGAGATACCTGTGTACCTTGCTATTTTTTTTTTTTTTTTTTTTTTTTTGGAGACAGGAGCTCTCTCTGTTGCCCAGGCTGGAGTGTAGTGGCACACTCATGGTTCACTGCAGCCTCAACCTGCTGAGCTCAAGCGATCCTCCCACCTCAGCCTCCCTAGTAGCTGGGATTACAGGCATGCACCATCACACCCAGCTAATTTTTGTATTTTTTTGTAGAGACAGGGTTTTGCCATGTTGCCTAGGCTGGTCTCAAACTCCTGGGCTCAAGCAATCCTCCTGTCTTGGCCTCCCAAAGTGCTGGTACTCACAGGCGTGGGCCACGTCTGGCCCTACCTTATTACTTTTTAACTACCCATTCTGCTTTAGGCCTTCTGTTATTTGGTGGTTCATGAATCCATGAACTGCACAATGATGATGGTATTATAACTGAGCTTCCCCGTAATGATGTAAAAAACAAAGGTCATTCCTATTTTCCAGTTAGAGCCACTTTGTAAGTTAGATTAAGTACAATTCACATTCCCCAAGTTTCTAATTTCACAAAGTAGAGCATGTTGTTTTCATAAAGATTGAAGAGTTTGGGGGACTTAAAATAGAGTTCCCCTTTGCATTTTTGTACCTTGTCTTTTTCTGGTGATAACATATGTTTGAGAATTATAGGTCATGAGAAAAGGCTCAAATAACATGTATGTATAAACATGCTTAAAATAAATGTGTATAAAGGCTTCTTTTTCTAAACATGTCTTATAAAACTTAGCTATGAAGTAAAATGTACCAGACTGATAAAAAGACTCCAAACTCCAAAGAAAATAAAATTAAATCAATATGTGGCACAATAGGTACCCCGTCTTCTCAGCTAGCTACCCCCAAAACTCTTGAACCGATGCAGTAATAGGCAGGTTCTTTTCCTTGAAGCAAGGGGATTAAAGTACATGGAGAGCAGGGTTCAGTCCATTGTCCAAAAGTCCAACCCACTCGGCTCATTGAGGAGGGCCTTGTGTAGATTTTGAAGTACACACTAGTTCATCATCTGTGTGGTATGCCCTTTCAAAGGACTGGAAGACAGTCAAAATTAAAATTAGAACCCTACTAACCAGAGTTTATTTTGTTATTATTTCTTTTCTGAAACTTCTTGGGGACTTGTAGCTCAGAGCTGTGTTACAACCCCCATTACCACACCCAGAGATATGTGGCCTGGGAGTTAGTAGAGTCAGGTGCCTTTATGCCATGTTTTGCCATATTCTCTGCATTTCTCAAAAACAAAAACAAAAAAACCCACAACATAGCAAATGCTCCATAAATGTTAAAATTCTTTTTCAAAGGAATGAAGGACAGCACAAATTGCAATTTGTGATGGAGTTTCAGTCTCTCACAAATGTTGCCTAGACATTCGCCTTGTATGAGAACCTGAAGGAACTGAGTTTTTCATTCATATGCTGGGGGAGGCATCACCTCACTGAAAATCAATTCCCTACTATCCTTGTTGATGTCAGGGAAATTATGTCATCTCTCAGAGAAACAGTACAAAAAATTAAGATTTAGTATGTGGAACTGAGATTGTAAAACTACAATCAATTCAGAGTGTTTTGTTTTTGTTCTCTTTATTCCTTACATTGCTTACTGTTAGAATGGAAGTTACAGTTGCTGTTTTCAGATGGCTGTCCTGAATCTATAAGGTAGCCCCCTGAATGACAGATAAGTCACTCTGACCGCCTTTTTTTTTCTCTCCCACTTCTGGACCTCTGCAGGTGTCTGGTTGAGAAGGGAGATGTGGCCTTTGTGAAACACCAGACTGTCCCACAGAACACTGGGGGTAAGTGCACCTGCTCCTCTGTCCCCCTAGATCACTAGATCCTGGTCACTGGTATTCACTTGTATTCAGGGATGCCTTTGTGGAAGTATTATGTACACTGTCAGACTTCAAAGCTCTGATTCTCAGTCTGTCTGCTCAGTGAAGAGAGACATGTTCACCTGAGTGCGCAGAATGATCAGGATTATGGGGCCCCCAATGGCCCTAAATCCTCCCCAACACACACTCCCACAGCTGCAAGCCTTGTGCTCCTTTCCCCTAAATACTTCAGTGCCTATTTCCTAAGAATAAGACAATCTCTTGCATACCCACAGTATGATTACCAAGATCAGGATCTTTTACATTATGTGGATTTAATACTCGTCACGTCCACAGTCCACATTTAACTGTTGTCAGTTATCCCAGTAATGCCTTTTATAGCTATTTACTGTACTTCTGGGTTGTGTCCATTGAGAAGGCCTAGAGGCAATGGCATACCAGCAGGAGTAAGCACCAAGATATTGGCTTGTAAGTACTCTTCTTTACTAAAAGGAACCAGAACTCCTTGGAAAAATAGCTGACTTCAGGGCTGGGGCAGGAAAAATAGATGCTGAGCCTAGAACAACACACTGAAGTGCTCAAACAGTGATGGGACACTCAAAGCATACAAGAACCAATTTGAAGGATCTCCTGTTGCCAAGTCTGGGAATTTTGAGCATTAAAATAAATAATGATAGCAGTAAGGGATAATAGCCCATTGAAAGAAATAAGAATGCATGAGGCAATACTGATTAAACAAATGAAGAAGGGAAAACTAATCAATGTGGAAGGAATGATAGAGTTAGAAAACTATCACTTGGCAACCAATATATTGATAACTGATTCAAGCAAGAATCAATGGGTGTTAAGCCGGGCGCAGTGGCTCACGCCTGTAATCCCAGAACTTTGGGAGGCCGAGGCGGGTGGATCATGAGGTCAGGAGATCGAGACCATCCTGGCCAACAAGGTGAAACCCCGTCTCTACTAAAAATACAAAAAATTAGCCGGGCGCGGTGGTGGGCGCCTGTAGTCCCAGCTACTCGGGAGGCTGAGGCAGGAGAATGGCGTGAACCTGGGAAGCGGAGCTTGCAGTGAGCCGAGATTGCGCCACTGCAGTCCGCAGTCCGGCCTGGGCGACAGAGCGAGACTCCGTCTCAAAAAAAAAAAAAAAAAAAAAAAGAATCAATGGGTGTTAACTTGTGGGTGAACGTTGGACAGCCATAATATTAATAAAAACAAACAAAACAAAGCAAAACAAACATTGGCCAGACTGAGCACTCCACACCTGACCCCTCAGTATCACTAAGTGCTAGCAGAGCCCACTGGAATTCAAGCTGTGAATACTTCCCTGCCTTCTCTCATGTTCATTCCCCAACTCCTCACTTTTCCTGGGCAACTCATCCAGAATGAACCGGCTCAGCACCAGCCCCTCCAGGAAGCCTTCCCAGATGGCATACCCTGTCCTACAAGAAGACTCCTCTGTTCATATTGCCATTATGATTGAATTCACCACACTCTGTAATACACTTTGGCTACAGAAACTCTTTGAGCTCTTTTTCTTCATCTTATATTCCCAGAACCTAGTGTAGCACATAGTACACAGCAGTTGCTAAGAATTTGTTTGCAGAAATATTGGGTTGACTAATTTTCCTTTCTTCCCTCGTATTATTGCTTTTTCCTTTAAGAGAGTGTTACCCTAAGCTTGGCTCTTTGCCACCCTTGATTTCTTTTGGTACTTTTCTGAGTAGAGCTCCCTTCTTTAAGCTTTGACTCTCTTACTCTTTGCAATGACTCAAAAATTCTTCCCTCCTGCATAGAATTAAGATAGGAGGCCTGACATCCAATCTCAATTCCATTCCAGTCTATTTCCCAAGGTGTCACTTTTATGTAGAGAGTACATTGGCATTGCAATTGTATTTTTTTACGTGTGTATATGGATGTCCTCATATATTGTAGTTGTATATATACAATCCATATACAACTCAACTGTCCTCATCTTTCTGTCAACGTTCCCTCCTCTTCTCCCAGCCTCTATCCTTATAGAGAATCCTGCTATACTCCCTGCCCATCAGGCCTAGATTAAGTCTGTCAGTCAATATCTTATTTCTTCAAAACGTGTCTTTTTTCAAACTAAATTTTGAAATAATTGTGTGTATTTAAGGTAGACAACATGATTTTTAAGAGCCAAAGTAATTTTGATGTATTGTAAGTTTGGGAACTACTGGTCTAATACCCCTGACTTAATATCACATTCCTGATAAATATTACTAAATGTAAGTCACATCATGTCTGATTCATCATACTTATATTTTGCACCTTCTTACCTTCTTCTGTTATTAATTTGTTGCTTTTTCAACTTATATTTTAGATTGAGGGTACATATGCAGGTTTGTTACATGGTATACTGCATGATGCTGAGGTTTGCGGTATGATTGAACCTGTCACCCAGGTAGTGAGCATAGCACACAACAGGTAGCTTTTCAACTCTTGCCCCCCTCTCTCCCTCCTCCAAAATCTGTCTTAAGTGCTATGGTATATACAAGAAGGAAGACACAAAACCACGTGGGCTTTTTTTTTTTCTTTTTTTTCTTTTTGAGATGGAGTCTCACTTTGTTGCTAGGCTGGAGTGCAGTGATGTGATCTCAGCTCACTGCAAACTCCGCCTCCCAGATTTAAGTGATTCTCCTGCCTCAGCCTCCCAAGTAGCTGGGACTACAGGCGTGCACCACCACGACCAGCTAATTTTTGTATTTTTAGTAGAGACGGGGTTTCACCATGTTGGCCAGGATGGTCTCCATCTCTTGGCCTCATGATCCGCCCACCTCGGCCTCTCAAAAGTGCTGGGATTACAGGTGTGACCCACCGCGCTCAGCCCACATGGGCTCTTTTATCACAATTTGTGTGTGTGTGTGTGTGTGTGTGTGTGTGTATGTGCATATTATAGGTGTGTGTAGGAAAAAGAATGTTAGAAATGTACCAATTTTGAAGGCGTAGACTATGAAATTACAAATGCTTCAAAATTTTCTTCCCAATACTTACGTGGCATTTTATAAATTTCCACCAATAAACGTGTATTATTTTTATTGAAAAAGCATATTTTTAACATGCCCTTCTAGATGCCCTCCTAGCCAGACTGAATCACCTCCCATTTGATTTTTCTTAATTTTCTACCTTTAGGTTCTGGCTCATTCATTAACATCAATTTCCATTCATAAGTCCTCACAAACCCACTTTTCCTCTTGCCTGAGTGCCTCACATACCCTACTGCCTGAGATGGTTCCAGAGGCGGTCTCCTCTCTCCCTTAGAAACACCAGGCACACACCTGCCCCCAGTCTCGCCTGCACTCTCCTTTCCTCCCGCAGAGAGGCATTCCTTTCTCCTCCTCTCATCCTACACACACTATAAGAGACAACTGAAATCTTGCCTCCTCCAGCCAGCTTCTTAATTCATTTGTTCTCAAAGCCCTGGTTTGAGCTCACACAGCATCTAGAGTGTTTTACAAAATATAAAATATTATTATCCCTGCCCTGAATTTTTTGTTTTGGTATGTGTGTTATTTTCCCCTCCAATAAGATTGTGCCTTGGAGAGGGCTGAGAACATAGTATCATAGATAAATGAATAAAATAACATAAAATAAAATAAAAATACATATACCCTTTGAACTAACTATTCCACTTCTATGTAAGCACAATTATATGCCAGTAACACTCATTTTAACGCTACTTTAGTGGCAAAAAATTGTAAACACCTCAGATGCCTATTAAAAGAGGAATGGTTTAAAGATACTATTATAGCCACACTATGAAATATAATACAGTAGTTAAGAAGAACGAGCTTGATTTGTATGTACTGACAAGAAGAATCTATAAGGTATGTAAACAGTTGAAAAAAAAGCTACAGAGTTTTACATTTGTCAAGATCTAACACTAAACAAAATTAGAAACATGTGAAATCCATATACACACGTAGAAAAATACATATAATGAGCCGTGGATGGAAACTCGCAAATGTGATATTAAAGACTAGCACTATAAGACTGAGTGAGATTTGGAGAGTATAGGAAAGGAGGCTTTTAGTTAATATAGAGAGATATTCAAAAATTTATGAGTGTGATCTCATGTATTAGTTATTCGGTTAAAGAAACAAAATTAAATGAAAAATACATTTTTAAAAAGGTTGCAATTCTGAATTATGGGAGAGAAATAAAAATTAGCAAAACATATTTGCAAAGTGGCTCAGGAGGAAGGAGCTGAAACCCTAAGAATGGGTGAGTTTTTTTTTTTTTTCAGAGACAATACAGAAAAGAAGAGGCAAAGGGGCCGAGATGGGATACAGACCTGTATCACACAGGTGTGTGCACATTCTCATTTAGAACTGGAACAAGGGAGTCAGATTTAAAATTCTGGTGCAGATTCCAAAGGTGTTCTCTGAGGAAAAGTTCTTTTGTTTGGAGATGCCATGTGTTACAGCACAGAAATTGATCAACCTGGCTTAGAGCGTCACATTCTTCCTCTGTTGGAGCAAGAGGTACAGAAGGAATTGGAATTTAGTGGAATTGAAGATCTTTTTGAACAGCATCTGCAGAATGTAGTTCATTCTCACCTGGCTGGGTAGGGAAGGTTGGAAGGGGATGGTCAATAATCATTCCTGGTCACTGTGAGTCTGGCATCACCTTGTAGACCACATGGGTGTCTCTTCCTGTCCACATCACTGTAACCCCAGTGTGGGCACTTCTGCTGGCGAGAAGGCCCAGGTTCTCTACACACCACTGAGTCAGTTCCATCTCCCCAGCGGGGCACCTTGACCAAAGCCATCAGCTGAACCACCTTCTTCCTGTCCCTAGGAAAAAACCCTGATCCATGGGCTAAGAATCTGAATGAAAAAGACTATGAGTTGCTGTGCCTTGATGGTACCAGGAAACCTGTGGAGGAGTATGCGAACTGCCACCTGGCCAGAGCCCCGAATCACGCTGTGGTCACACGGAAAGATAAGGAAGCTTGCGTCCACAAGATATTACGTCAACAGCAGGTATGGACCAGCCAGGTCCTCCCACCTTTTCTTCCTAGATGGCCATAGGCTATTCGGGGGGAGTTTACAACAAAGTGCAGCCATGACTCCAGCACTTTCTTTTTGAAAACTAGAATTCCATGCATTGTGCATTTCATGCCATGCATTGTGGACTAGAGTATCAGGGTTCAAATCACAGCTCCACAGCTTCCTAGTTGTGCCATCTTGGGTATGTTACATAACCTCTCTATGCCTCAGCTTCCTCATATATAAAATTGTAATAATAATATTTTTACCTACTTCTCAGTTAACATGAGTATTAAGTGAAGACATGCACCCAAACGGCATAGGAAAATTCCATTTCCTATAGGACGTGCTCAAAATATGTTAGCTGTGTAATTATGGAACTAGACCTCTCAGGCCCAGCTCTGCTTCTAGCTCCTGGTCACTGGTGATTAGATCTGATCCATGTACTCTTGGGACTAGGAATCTGCCTTTCTGCTCCCCCTAACCTTGTTCAGGGGTACCCTCATTTCCCCTACTCCTGTCCTTCCCGAAAATGAAGAAGACAGCTCCTGTTTCCCAGCGCTTGTTGATACGAGTCATGAAGAGTGGATTTCTGTTCCTCTTGCCTAGGCAGACTGAGCACTGTTCTCAACAGTCTGAAAAACACAGGACCCTTGCCCTCGGAGAGCCTGCCCTCTGGGGGAACAACCACTCAGGGCCAGCCTTGTTGAAGACAGGGGCTGCCTGAGTATTCTAATCCTAAAGGCCCCTCCACACACACACATCACCTTCCTTTTGGGCATAGCTGCCTGCTGTTGATTCACCATTACCTTTTTTTAAAAAAAATAAGAGTATATTTGAAGTCCTTTTAAGGTACATGACAATAATAAGCATTTAACATACATTTCCTAGCTGCTATATGGAAAGTTCAACATTTTGCAGTCATCATTTCACTTACAACCTTTGGAGATCTGGAGAAGCTGAGTGGCTTGCCCAAGAAAGGATTCAAAATGCAGTCAAACATGAACTTTTAAGAACTACCTCTGCCACTCCTCTGGGAGGGTTCACATTTAACATCTTCTTTGACAATAACATCTGAAGGGACATGTTATTGTCCTCTCATTTCCTATAAGCAGCCCCCAGTGAAGGGCAATGAAGTGGGGAAGAGAGGTCAGAGTAGGCAGGCATGGGTGTGGGTGGGAGGGACTTATCAGAGGAAGGTGGGACCAGGGACCCTATAGATGATTTTGGGGGCATCATGAAAGCATGCAGCTGGGGCCCTAAGTGGATAAATGGCAGATAAAGGAGGTGGAAAATTCCCAAGACATACTCCGTAGCTTCCCTTTTTCCCCAGGGCTGGTTCAGAGCTTTCAGACTCTTCTCATCCATGTGTTCCCAGCTGCTAAAGACCACAAGGTCCTCACGGACTTTCTGTTCACTTGACAGCACCTATTTGGAAGCAACGTAACTGACTGCTCGGGCAACTTTTGTTTGTTCCGGTCGGAAACCAAGGACCTTCTGTTCAGAGATGACACAGTATGTTTGGCCAAACTTCATGACAGAAACACATATGAAAAATACTTAGGAGAAGAATATGTCAAGGCTGTTGGTAACCTGAGAAAATGCTCCACCTCATGTGAGTAGGAGGAACAGCATGGGGAAGTGGCAACCAAACATGGTGGTGAGTGCTGGGATGGTGGGTGGGTACAGGAGGGGTAGGCTGTGGCCCTTGGGATAGGACAACATGGACAAAATGAAATGGTGAGTGAACAATCTAAGCCCGGCATGTATGACAGGCTAGACTGTAGGGGCAGATAGTAAGGGGATACAGGCTCAGAGCACTAAGGTAGTGAACTTATTGGGTATAGAGAATTCCATCTTATTTCTAAGAAAAGGACTGGGTTTATGTGTACATGCCATTGCTCTGCAGTAAACTTTTGATTAGAGTTGCCTTGTCCAATATGGTAGCCACCAGCAAGATGTGACTATTTAAATTTAAGTTAATTAAAATTAAACTAAATAAAAGATGTATTTCTTCAATCCCACCTAGCTGCATTTCAAGTGCTCAACAGCCACATGTGGCTCCATATTGGTCAGCAAAGAGAATGTTTGCATCATCACAGAAAGCTCTTTCAGACAGTGCTGCTCTAGACAGCTTCAACAATGATAGGTTCTGGTAACCATAAAGTTGCTATGCATACTACTCATTTGGAACACCAGTTTCTGAGAACTGAAATAGAATAAAACACATCTTTGCAGTATAACTATGTTGGGTGTAACTGAGTCACCTGAAAAAGTTTGGAAGCTGGGGAATAACATGTGGTGTAGGGCAGTTAGTCTTTCCACAGGAGTATGCAGATAAGGGAGTCTTGATCCTTATTAAAATGCTGATTCTCAGAGCCTTGAGATACTGATTTAGAAAGTCTGTGCTAGGTCAGGTATCCGCATTTGAAAAGCTGCCCCCATGTAATTCTGACGGAAGCAGCAATGTGCTTGTCTAGGTTCGCTATTGTGAGAATCAAGTTGATATTTACCTAACCTATATCCTCCACAAAAGCAGACAGTCTGGCTCTGCTCTTCTTTCCTCCATCCTTAGCCCACAGCACAGAAACTGGCACATTGCAGGTGCTTTTTGCTATGTCAGTTCCTCACCTGCTTAAAGAGGTCAGGGAGGACAGTCTTCCTGGGCGACTCCTGGCCTCAGGAACTCAGATGTGTGAGCCTCGCCCATAAGAAACAAGGTGGAGGACCCTGTAGGGCAGGAAAATCATGTTAACAGCTTTGGCGTGGGGCACTCCCCAGGATAGGCACAGGAGCTGTGCAGGCAAGTAGAAAAGAGCACTGGGAGAACGGCCCAGTTCACAGAAGAGGAGGCAGCAAGTCTGCACACTTTGTACTATGCTGAAATTGTTCAATCACTCGACAGTTCAGAAATAAATATAGGAAGATTTTGAAAATCCTACCTCTCTGCTCTGCTCCACAGCACTCCTGGAAGCCTGCACTTTCCGTAGACCTTAAAATCTCAGAGGTAGGGCTGCCACCAAGGTGAAGATGGGAACGCAGATGATCCATGAGTTTGCCCTGGTTTCACTGGCCCAAGTGGTTTGTGCTAACCACGTCTGTCTTCACAGCTCTGTGTTGCCATGTGTGCTGAACAAAAAATAAAAATTATTATTGATTTTATATTTCAAAAACTCCATTCTTTCCTAAATATTTTCAACAAAGGATTTCTTTATGCATTCTGCCTAAATACCTATGCAACTGAGCCCTTCCTTCTCAGCTCAAGATTCGTCTGGTCTTTCCCTACAGCTTTGTGTGTGCCATGGCCACATCTCCTGGGTACAGTTCAAGGAGACATCTTTTCTAAAAGGGTCTGCGTGATCATTAAAATATAATCAAATGTATACTGGTGTGTGTGTGCACGTGCGCGTGCGTGTGTCATGCTAAGGAAGGGGCAAGAAGGAGGATGCAGAGTGAGTTACAGAGATCAAGTACTCAAGTGAGTACAGAAAGACTACAGAAGACTTACCTTTATTTGGTATTTTAAATGAATTCCATCAGGCTGAGGTCCTGATTCTAACTAGCTGAAAAAAGTGAAACACTGACATCTTTTTTGCTGAAAAGCATTCCCTGAGCTTGATGCCACAGCAGTTACTGCCCTGTCTCCTGCCCTTCTCAGCCCAGCTTCCTGTAAGGTGGAGGCTGACTTTTCTGTCTCACTTATTATTGGCTGAACATACAGAATTTGGTCTTCTGCTTCACCAACTTACCTGAATGTACCCTGGCAAAAGTCACCGTCTACCTGCCAACTGTTAAACCAATTCAGGTCTTCCATTCCTGAGCCCATTTCCTGCAGTTGATAAAGTTGACCACTCCCTCCTCCTTGGAACTCTTTTCCTCAGTTTCTCTGACATGGCAGGTCTCTGCTTTGATTCCTACCTCTCTCTGTTCATTTGTAGTCTTCACTGTGGGCTCATCCTACTGGCCTGGAAACCTTAGGGAAATCTTCCTGGGGTTTTCTCTTGATCTGGTCAGTGCTCCTCTCACTTTGCAGGCCCTCCTTCAGTGATGCTCATGACTCCTAGGCATCTGTATCTATAGCTGTGACCCCAGCCTCCAGCAGTATCCCTGCACTTATACATCCTACTACCTACCTGTGGGTCTATACTCGAGTCTTGCAGCAGTCAGAAACCCAACAAATCAAAAATTGAAGTGATCATCCTGTTCTTCTCTCTCTTGCTTCCCTAAACCAACTGTTGTTATAGTATATTCCATATCAGCTGAAGACCTGGTCATCTACCCAATCACATAAGCCATAAATAGAGGGGTGAAATTTCAGTTCGCCATTTTCCCTCACACTACATCCAGCGTCACCAAGTTCTGTTGATTTTGCTTTCTAAATAACTTCAGTTGGCTCCTTTCTTTTCCTGACTCCTAACACAGCCTCATCTTATACTCAAATACAGAAGTGCAGATAAGGGGTATCTGGACACAACATTCCACACCTCTCTCAACTGTCTAGTATTCAAGAAAATAGGACTCTGGGTCCACTTTGCAGTCCAGACCTGATATGGACCGTTTTACACACAGCCCTGCTTTCCTCTGAGCCTATCAACGATCTGCCTTATTTAATATTAACCTAAACTTACCCCAAATCCTATAACTCTGCCTTTTCCTTTGTTTGGTGAGATACCCCATGGCTCCCCTGGGACGCAGTCTGTCTCATTGCAATGGATCAATAAACCTAATTTTATTACACTACAGGTATATTCCTGGAAGTCTTAGACAACTGGGCTAAAACAAAAATATTCAACATCCATTCTTAATTATTAAATTAGTTACTAAAATAGGATAGACAGATGTTATTTGGCCATAATTTTATATACATGTAAACAAAAGCTAATACATACCTAATGATGAAGAAACAGAAGCATTCCTACTAAAGTTAGGAACATGAAAAAAATTGATTACTATCTATCTTATTTTACAGTGTTTTAGAACAGGTGGCCAATCCAATTATACAAGAAAAATAAGTTATAATATTTAAAGAAATGCCAAAATTACTTTTATTTGTAAGTGATTATACACCTAGGAAATCCATGAGAACCAAATAATAATAAAGTATTATGGCCAGGCGCAGTGGTTCATGCCTATAATCCCAGCATTTTGGGAGGCTGAGGTGGGTGGATCACCTGAGGTCAGGAGTTCAAGACCAGCCTGGCCAACATGGCGAAACCCCATCTCTTCTAAAAATACAAAAATTAGCCTGGTTTGGTGGCACACACCTGTAGTCCCAGCTACTCAGGAGGCTGAAGCATGAGAAGTGCTTGATCCTGGGAGGCAGAGGTTGCAGTGAGCCAAGGTCGCACCAGAGCACTCCAGCCTAGTGACAGAGCAAGACTCTGTCTGGAAAATAATAAAAATAATAATAATAGGCAGGGCGTGGTGGCTCACACCTGTAATCTCAGCACTTTGGGAGGCCAAGTCGGGCGGATCACCTGAGGTCAGGAGTTCGAGACCAGCTTGACAACATGGAGAAACTCCATCTCTACTTAAAATAAAAATTAGCCGGGCGTAGTGGTGCATGCCTGTAATCCCAGCTACTCGGGAGGCTGAGGCGGGAGAATTGCTTGAACCTGGGAGGCAGAAGTTGTGGTGAGCCGAGATCGCACCATTGCACTCCAGTCTAGACAACAAGAGCAAAACTCTGTCTCAAAATAATAAAAATAATAATAATAATAAATAAAGTGGTAAAAGTGGTAAGATAAAATTCAGTAAAGTGAAAGGAAATATTAAAATAAAAAATAACTTTCTTTTATACAAATAATAGTGAGTTAGGACAATAATAATTAACAAGAATAAATAAAATGTATCATTTAGTAAATTAATAAAAGCTACATTTAAACCACACTTATCAAAGTAAAAAATAATGTAAAGAAGACATATTGCTTTGGATAGGAAGACTCAGTATTGTAAAGATGTCAATTCTCCCTAAATTAATCAATATACAATTTTTTAACTTGACAAAATGATACTAATCCTCAACTAAAAAACAAAAGTGAGACAGATAAGAAAAATTCTGATGAGAGTGGAAGAGCTCTTCCAGCTGTTAAAATGTAATGATAAGCTCCTGAACCTTGGCCTTAGCAATGATTTTTTGGCTATCACATCAAAAGCCCAGGCCACAAAAGCAAAAATAAATAAATGGGACTACATCAAGCTGAAAAGCTTCTGCATAGCAAAGACAACAAGCAACAAAATGAAATGGCAACCTATGGATTGGAAAAAATATTTGCAAACTATATATCTAATAAGATACAACAAATTGATAAAGAACTCATACAACTCAATAGCAGGAAAACAAATGATCCCAGTTAAAAATGGGCAAAAACCTGAAAAGACATTTCTCCAAGAAGAAAAATGGCCAAGATGGATATGAAAAGGTGTTCAACATCACTAATCATAAGGGAAATGTGAATTGAAACCATTATGAGACACTAGATAATAATAGGATGACTATTATCAAAAAGTCAAAAGATATTAATCATAAACGTGGATAAGGGTGAAGAGAACAGAAAACCTTTGTGCATTGTTGGTGAGAATGTACAGCCATTGTGGAAAACAGTATGGAGGTTTCTAAATAAACTGAAAATAGGGCTACATATGACCCAACAATCCCTCTTTAGGGGATATACACAAATAAAATGAGATAGCCACCTTGTAGAGATAAATGTGATCCCACGTTCATTGCAGCATTGCAGCCAATATAGGGAAGCAACCTAAATGCCTGTTGAAGAATGAATGGATAAAGAAACTGTATACACACACACACACACACAATGGAATATTATTCAGCCCTAAAAAGAATATCTTGCCATTTGCCACAACATGGATGAAACTGGAGGATATTAAGTGAAATAAGGCAGATACAGAAAGAAAAATATTACACGATTTCACTCACATGGGGAATCTAAAGAAAACACTCAAATACAGGTATACAGAGATAACAAAACCTGAGGTGGAGGAGGGTGGAGAGATGTAGGTCAGAGGATACAAAGCAGCAGATAGGAGGGCTAGGCGCAGTGGCTCACTCCTGTAATCCCAGGACTTTGGGAGGCAGAGGTGGGCAGATTGCTTGAGTCCAGGAGTTTGAGACCAGCCTAGGCAACATGACAAAACCCCATCTCTGCAAAAAAAAAAAAAAAAACAAAAAAAACCCCAAAAAACCAAAACAACAACAAACAAACAAGCAAACAAAACACACACACACAAAAAAAATTAGCGAGGAGTGCTGGTGCCCACCTGTAGTCCCAGCTACTCAGGAGGATGGATTGAGCCTGGGAGGTCGAGGCTGCAGTGAGCAGTGATTTGATCGTGCCACTGCACTCCAGCCTGGGGACAGGAGACCCCGTCTCAAACAAAACAAAACCAAGTAGCAGATATGCATGATGAACAAGCCTAGAGATCTAATGTACAACATAAGGACCACAGTATAGGTAATAAATTCTACTTTATTTGGGATTCCTCCTTCACTGTAGTAATCTTTTTTTAACTATGTATGTATCTCATAACATGTTGTATACCTTAAATATATTCAACGAAGCTTATTTTAAAAAATGAAATGTATAATGATGACTGGAAAGGGTGGTAGTCACATGGAAATAATGAAGCAGAATAAAAGTTCCAGATATTAAATGCAAATGAGAATTTATTACATGATAAAGCTGGCATTATACTCGGGGGGGACAGATAGGCTACTCACTGAAGTGTTTAGAAGCAGAGTAGCTGAAAATTTTGGCGCAGAAGAAAATCTCGTGGACCTCCAACTTACCGGTTAAAGTAAAAACTTTCGAAACGTATAAAGGTTTAAATATAAAATTAAAATCGTAAAAACAATTACTATGTTAACATATTTCTTATATAGTACTTAGATTTTCCAACATTCCACAAACCTAGTAGCAATTAAGGAAAATATTAATTTCAGATCATATAAAATTCAGAAGTCCTGTAAGACAAAAATAGACAAATAAAATGTGAAGATTTTTAAGAAAGAACAAAGGGCTAATCTATATTTTGAAATCAGTATAAAAAGACGAACAGAATTTGAGATGTGAGCGCGGACAGCTCTGCTGGGCCCTCCAGGCCCTCCGCCCGGTAGAACCCGGAGCCCTGGCCGCGGCTGCCCCACCGGGCCCATTTCTTGAAGCAGCGGCGAACCACTTTTCCTCCCCGACCTGCCGGCTGCAGGGTCTCCCCGCCCAACCCTGCCAGGCTCAGACGAAGCTTCTGCTGAGCCGCCTGGACGCAGCGCCCCTGGGTGGCGGCAGGTATAGCAGGGCGGGAAGCAGGGAGGCGGCCCCAACGCCGCGGAGGCCACCAGCGGGTGCAGAGGGCCAGGAAAGCTGGTCTGCGCGCGGCTCAGCTGCCTCCGTAGGCCATGGAGCCGAGCAGATCCGGGTCTTCGGGTGGCCGCAATGTCCCAAGTGGACGACACCCACCTAGTCCCGAGGACAACCGACAAAGTCCTTAATGGGCCCAGAAGGTGAGGGGAGTCCGGCAATGAGGGGTGGTAGGGTTAGCGGCCATCGCCCAGCTCGTCTTCCTTCTACCAGACGCTGGTGCTGGAAAAGAGAAGTGTAAGAATAACTTGCGCCATTAGGCCCATCGGAAAGGCCCACCACCCTTTAGGAAGATTACTGGCTGTTTATAGAAGGCCCGTGTATATCCTATGAAGAAGCTGCTCTCAACTTCCCCCCCAGCCTTTTAAAAGAAAACATTTGCTACATCGAGCCGTTCTAGGTGTAAAGAGGTTGTGACTTATGATAGAGTTAGAAAATCACACATCTTGTAAATTCCCATTTGTTAAAAAAATAATAATAATAATAATAATAATAATAATAATAATAGGACATAAATGGCTTCTGGAGATGACTTTTTGCAATGAAGTTGTTAGACCACCTCTGGAAGTGACAGCAGGAGCCACACATCCACGTTTATTAAGTGAGTTAGAGCAGGAGTCCCCAACCCCTGGATCTAGGTTGCACGCTCCTTATGAGACTCTAATAATGCCTGATGATCTGAGGTGGAACAGTTTCATCCTGAAACCATGCCCCTACCTTCCATGGAAAAATTGCCTTCCGTGAAACCATTCCCTGGTGCCAAAGAGGTTGGGGACCACTGGGTTAGAGGACATGGGGCAGAAGACCTGAGAAGGAAGAGAGGACAGTTCTGTGCCACACTGGTCATATTTAGAAGACATTTTCATATTCCAACCATTGTTCTGTGTGTGCATTTTATTTCTCACGACTGTATATGTAGTTAACAATACTATTTTTTAGGGAGGTGGGGGGGTCAGCCCCCCGCCTGGCCAGCCGCCCCGTCCGGGAGGGAGGTGGGGGGGTCAGCCCCCCGCCCGGCCAGCCGCCCCGTCTGGGAGGTGAGGGGCGCCTCTGCCCGGCCGCCCCTACTGGGAAGTGAGGAGCCCCTCTGCCAGGCCAGCCGCCCCGTCCGGGAGGGAGGTGGGGGGGTCAGCCCCCCGCCCGGCCAGCCGCCCTGTCCGGGAGGGAGGTGGGGGGGTCAGCCCTCCGCCCGGCCAGCCGCCCCGTCTGGGAGGTGAGGGGCGCCTCTGCCCGGCCGCCCCTACTGGGAAGTGAGGAGCCCCTCTGCCCGGCCAGCCGCCCCGTCCGGGAGGGAGGTGGGGGGGTCGGCCCCCCGCCCGACCAGCCGCCCCATCCGGGAGGGAGGTGGGGGGGTCAGCCCCCCGCCCGGCCAGCCGCCCTGTCCGGGAGGGAGGTGGGGGTGTCAGCCCCACGCCCGGCCAGCCGCCTCGTCCGGGAGGGAGGTGGGGGGGTCAGCCCCCCGCCCGGCCAGCCGCCCCGTCCGGGAGGGAGGTGGGGGGGGTCAGCCCCCCTGCCCGGCCAGTGGCCCCGTCCGGGAGGTGAGGGGCGCCTCTGCCCGGCTGCCCCTACTGGGAAGTGAGGAGCCCCTCTGCCCGGCCAGCCGCCCGTCCGGGAGGGAGAGTGGGGGGTCAGCCCCCCCCCGCCCGGCCAGCCGCCCTGTCCGGGAGGTGAGGGGCGCCTCTGCCCAGCCACCACCCGGTCTGGGAGGTGTGCCCAACAGCTCATTGAGAACGGGCCAGGATGACAATGGCGGCCTTGTGGAATAGAAAGGCGGGAAAGGCGGGGAAAAGATTGAGAAATCGGATGGTTGCCGTGTCTGTGTAGAAAGAAGTAGACATGGGAGACTTTTCATTTTGTTCTGCACTAAGAAAAATTCCTCTGTCTTGGGATCCTGTTGATCTGTGACCTTACCCCCAACCCTGTGCTCTCTGAAACATGTGCTGTGTCCACTCAGGGTTAAATGGATTAAGGGCGGTGCAAGATGTGCTTTGTTAAACAGATGCTTGAAGGCAGCATGCTCGTTAAGAGTCATCGCCAATCCCTAATCTCAAGTAATCAGGGACACAAACACTGCGGAAGGCCGCAGGGTCCTCTGCCTAGGAAAACCAGAGACCTTTGTTCACTTGTTTATCTGCTGACCTTCCCTCCACTATTGTCCCATGACCCTGCCAAATCCCCCTCTGTGAGAAACACCCAAGAATTATCAATAAAAAAATAAATTAAAAAAAAAAAAAAAAAACAATACTATTTTTTGAACTATCTACCCTTTCTAGATGTTCTGAAATGCCTATGTTAAAATTAGAGATAGTAAAATAACACATTTTGTAAATCTTTTTGTTAAAATTCATATGTAATGTTGTTTTGGTTGGGGGGGGTGGCCAAACCACCTGTTAATAATACACATTGTGTTTGTGCACTGGTTCAGGGGAGGAGAGAGGAAAGGAAGTGTAAGAGCTCTATGCCAATGTGCTTATAGTGAGGCAAGGTTAACCATTGTCTCATGCCTGGGCATTTTGTTTTACTTATCTGGGTATATTGTGGATCTAAAGGACAAATGAGTCCTGACTTTACATCTAGTCTTTCTAGATGTTAAAGAGGTTGCTAGTGTATGACAAAAGTAGTTAGTAAACTAATATATTTTGTACATTTCGTTTTAAGATTCCCAGGAAAGACAGTCTTCTGAAAATTTGAGCATTATTGCCCAGTGGGTTGATGGAGATGGGAAGGTGTAGGCCAGAATGTTCATACTTGGAAGACTCAGTCATAACTGTTTTTACATGTGTTCACTTTATTCAAGACTTCTGTGCATATAGTGGACGAATTAACTTCTTACCTGAAACATCTTATCTATGTAGATGTTCAGAATTGCCTGATGTATGTTAAGTGTAGAGGTAGTAAAATATCACCTTGTAAATATCTTTTTGCTAAAATTCTTGGGAAGTACTGTCTTTTGGAAGTGGAATTGTGAAGCCACCTCTGTAAGCAGTATAGTACTGTCTATACTTGTTCAATGGTTTAGAAATGGGAGGGAAGAAATTGCCAAAGGTAATATGCTAGTGTGTTCATACTTGGACATTTCACTTGCCATTTTTCTGTCTGTTTTGTGCATTTTGTTTTGCTGTGTATGTAGAGTACATAATGGACAAATGAGTCCTAATTTTGCAACATTTGGTCTCTAGATGTTTAAGAAGTTGCCAGTGTATGACAAAGTATCTAGTAAAATTAGCACATTTTGCACACTTTGTATTGAAATTCATAGGAAAGCTTGTCTTCTGTAAATGATTTTTGGGTATGAATTTGTTCAGCCATCTCTAAGCGTTACACATGCCTGTACCTGTCCACTGGATTGAAGACAGAGAGAAGGGAGTGAGGAAGGACTGGTTCAAGGTCAAAATTGTCATATTTAGAAGATACCTCCGATTATAGCCACTGATACATGTGCAATTTTATTTTACAGTGCTATGTACACAGTGGAAAGTTATATGAAATATCTGGTCTCTCTAGATAGTTAGAAATGCTTGATGTATTTAAAAGTAGAAATAGTATAATAACACTTTTTGTAAATAGCTTTTAAAAACTGATGGGAAATACTGTGTTTGCAAGTGGGATTGTTAAATCACCTCTGTGAACAGTGTTACTTGTTCATTCAGTTGAGGAAGGTGAGAGGGAAGAAATTACAAAAGATGTTTTGCTATTGTGTACTAGAAAATTTCAGTTTATCCATTGCCTTATATGTTAAATGCATTGCAAGTAACTTTGCTATACTACATATTGTGTTATATACTGGAAAAATGAGTCCTAATTTTAAAATATCCACTCTCTAGATACTAAAGAGGTTGCCAATGTATGACAAAAATAGTAAAGTAACACATTTTGTACACTTTGTGTTAACGTTTATAAAAAGACTATCTTCTGAAAACGACTTTTGGAAGTGAAATGATAACATCAACCCTAAGTGACACATGGGCCCATATCCACCAGGTTGGTGGTGCAGAGGAGCTGGAAGAAATGAAGGATTCTAGATCAGAATATTCCTATTTAGAAGACAGTTTAAGATAAACCATGTGTGTAGTTTATTCAACCCTACTGATGCAAGAGAATAGGGTCTGGAGGCAGGAAACATAAAGCAGATTCATGCAGACTTCCTAGAAATAAATGAAATGGAAACACATCAGCTATGACAGGACATATACTCTCCAACAGAGTAAATGACTTTGTAACTTTATTTCATCCTCTCCATTTACATAGGGCGTACATCAAGTAAATGACTAGGGTGTATACTAAGTAAATGACTTTGTAACTTTATTTCATCCTCTTCATTTACATAAGGCATATACCAAGTAACCAATGGAAACCTTGAGAGGGTATTTAAACCCGAGAAAATTCTGTAACTGGGCTCTTGAGCCCCTAAGCACAGGCCTTCTCCCACCCTGTGGAGCGTACTTTCATTTCATAAATCTCTGCTTTTGTTGTTTCATTCTTTCCTTGCTTTGTGTGTTTTGTCCAATTCTTGGTTCAATATGCCCAGAACCTGGACACCCTCCACTGGTAACATATTTTGGCAAGGCAGCCAGGAGGTAAGCCCAAAGTTTGGGATTTTTCATCTTTTCTTTTCCACTCCATACAGGGGAATCTCTCCCTCTGTCTCTTTTTCCTTTCCAACTCGGGACCCTTGGTGGGCAGCGCCTAAACACGGAGGCAACCGCAGGTTTCTGGGTGGGGCCATCCTGAAGGACTTTTTTCTATCTTTTCTGGTTGTGGTCCCTGATTCCTATGTGTGGCGCAGCTCAGGGCAAACTTGCAGCTCAGGGTGAACTTGCATGTGTTTCAGGCGACGGAAACCCTACTTGACTGGCTAAGGACAAAAGAAGCCTACTCAGCTTCCATTTCCTATCATTACAGTTCATGGCTATCATGCTAGTGGAACAGGAAGCATGGGATAATGTGGCCTTATCAAATTATAAGGATGCTAAACGCCAGTGATTACACCCAGGAACCAAAGGACAGCTCACAATTGCCTCTGGAGGGAAAATATGCAAAGCGGCACTGGTGCCCACGTAAGGTCAGAGATGCCTGACACTCTTAAGACTGGACCCCAAAGGGGGATTCCCCAGGGGATCCTCCAGACTTCAACCTCTCCAAAGGGGATGCCCTTGGCAGCAGTTCTAAGGACTAGTACTAAGCCCTCCTTAGAATTTTCTCTTGCAGTTGCAATACTGTTTGGCCCCAATATGGTTTGGATTCTGGCATTTGCTGTTGAATGGGAAAGCGGGATGCAGTTGCATGTATCCAGGCTTTGGTGCTGCTGTTCTAAGCAGGGGCAGGCCTAGTTATTATGTGATGTTCTCCTTTGGTGCTGTTTGACCCCAGTGTTCTTTCGAGTCTGGGGAGGTTTGGCCTTTAAAAATCAAACTGCCATGGAAATTGCTTTACCTGAAATAATAGTTCACAGCCTTCATTGGATTGCTTATTGGGTACACAAAGTAAAATTGGCAAGCTTGTATTGCTATCTCATGGTTAGGGTTCCAAGGTAAAAGCTATTGAATCTTCATTTGTGTGTGTGTATACACATGTCTAGATGTGTTTATTTGCACATTTGTTATATGTTGTGTTTTGGCATATAAGTAAAAGAGCACTCATAAATTAAGTAAATAAGTCGAAGCAATTTTCAAGTTCACATGACTTAAGTATAACTTTCCTAAACAGGCTAGTTTTAAAATTATTGGTGAAGTAAAAATAGAAATGCCTTCAGAATTGTCAGCATATATTTTTGTCTGGGTTTTATATTTGTCTCTGCTAGATATTTTGAGGTGTTAGGGTTTGGCATAGAAGGTTATAAAACTATAAACCCAGCCAAAACAAAACGATCTCGTTTGCGTTTTTTTTTTTTTTTTTTTTTTTTTTTTTGACAAATGAGCATAATTTAATGTTAGCTAAATCTTCTGGGTTACTGGCAAAAATACGTATGTATTAACTTTGAGGCTCTTACTTAGGTTTAAGTGCACACCTGGCTATTCAAAATGTGGTTAACAGGGAAATAACTGACTTTAAAAGATAGTGTCTAACATTTCGGTTTACAGAGGTAATCTAGATAAACTGTTAAAAGTGAAACAATTGAGTACAGTGAATGGGACAAATGTTTTAGATAAGCTTTTTGTGTAAAGTCTTAAAATCATTTTTGATGCTCATTTAAGATCTGGGCCATTTCCAATTAGAAAGGTTGTGATATGGGGAAATATGTTTCTAAAATTGTGGAATTGTTCTTAACTATAAATTCCCATATCTGATAGTTCAGGATTTCTAGCTTTTTAGCGTTTCACTAAAGTTTTAGGTTACTAAGGATAAGAATTCTAGTTAACACATAATTCTGTATACAAAACATGCCAGAAAGTTTGTGTTATTAGTGAGAAAAAGAATAATTTAGAAGTTATCTAAAAGTTAGTTCAAATTACAGATTTGAAAAGGTTACTTATGAAACAATGTAGTAAGGAACCAGTAAGTAGAGGAGAACGATATGGAAAAAGTTTAGATAATAAAATATTCTTTAAAACCTGATAGAGAATTGGAGATATTTGGCTAATTAACATTTTCATAGTGAAAGCTGTTAGTCTTGATAAAAGTAAAATAAGCATTGTAAAGAAATGCATCGGCAGTTTGGCAATTCCTTTTTACTATAGTTAAGCATGAAGCCGGATTTGGTGTGGAGCCAAATTTCACATACATGCTTGCATTGCTTCACACTGTTTACTGTTTTGTGTGGATAGTGCTGGCACTGGAGTACTTATTGGTTATGTGCCTATAGTGTATTTCTTGATTGCACAGGATGTATGGTGATATTGGTGAACTTAAGGATACTGAATTGTGTATCAGGAACAAAATATTCATTATGTGGGTTTTGGGGGGCCCTAGGTAAACACTGTAGCCTCCAGGGTAGATTGAGAAGGAAAAATTTAGGGTTGGGTTCCTATTTGTTTTTGCTTCTAATTTTCATTTGTTTGCCATTTATTCTCCTCTGGCTTTGCTTGTGTATGCACATATAAAATCATATATATTTTTTTTAAATTTCTAGTGGAAGGCTTTTATTTGGTTCTGTGAATAGTTATTTTGTTCCCTATGCATTTCTAGCAAGTCATCATTTGTTCCATTTATCTGGAATTCCTAGGCTACCTTTGTCAGGCTGGCAGGAATTGATGGAGCACACCAGCTTTTTAACCTTGAACTAACTCAAATTCTGTTTATGATACTTTAAGTGTGTTGAGTATATTTTCATAAACAGAATTTGAGTCATATTTCTCTGTCTGCCCATTTTCTCCAAAATTCGTAAACTATTTGTGAATATTCTTAATTCATGGCAATGTGTTTGTTTGCATATAGTCAAGCAGGGTTCCTAGGGCTGCTTTGGGAGACAGAACCCAGAAACCTGGCATACTGGCAAAAGGGTAAGAATTTCTTACCAGCCAGACTCTGGTCTCTGTCTCTCTGTGCAAACTGCATAAATGAATAGTAAAAGTCACTGTTTATCTCCTCTGTAAAGTTTTGATTAATATAAAAAAAGAATTCTGAGGCCGATCTTAAGCTGTAGTGAATCTGGTGTGCTTTGTGTCTTTCTGTATTGTTTTGTCATAAAGAGGGGTACCTTAGAATAAAATGTGTGCTTAGGACCCCATAGACCTGCTGTTCAAGACACACCAGCAGACTGGTCAGTCATGTCTTTGGGAGCTTGACCTTGTAACCATGTGGCCATGCTTTCTCTTTTCACAGTGGCAGCCTGGGTTTAGGGTTCAATTCCTGGCTTAGGGAATGAGTCCTTTATCTTCTGTCTGTGTATTTATATGTGTTGTGTGTGTACTATAAAAGAGCATTAATTAATTAGCTTAATAATAATAAGAGCTTAAATCAAATATTTTATCAGAAAAGTAAAAAATGTAATGCCTTCTATTTACTTCATGTAACTTAAGTAATCTTTGGGAAATAAAGACAGTTTTAAAGATTATTGGTAAAATAAAAATATCTTCAAAATGTAAATATTTAGTCTAAATTATGCAGGTCAGATATTAGATTTGCAAAATGCTTTAAGGTCATAAACCGCTTCTTTGACTTTTAAAAATTGCTCAATTTATTTTGGAGCATTAGATTCTAGATAAGGCCTGGGGACAAATAGAATTAGCCATGTCCCCTAGCTATGCAAAGAAGGTTATAAAGAAAGGAGATTTTATATAAGAAAGGATCTTATATCGTAAATTCGTGTCCTAAAGTAAAATAAGCGGTTGTTAAAAAAGAGGGATGTTTAGGACAAGTTAGAAAGTCAAAGCATGTCGTAGATGGTCTGTGTAAGTCATGAAATAATTTACAAAAGAGAATTTATGCAAGAAATATACAATTTAACGGTGATTAGACCTCCTAAATGCTTCATAAAATGCCACTATGACTCTTAACTCTACAACTTGCCTGCTTTACAGCTCGGTAAGGCCTGAGACACGTGGAGTCAGATGCTGGAGTCAGACCTTAAGTGTACTTCTCTCTGGGTCCTAGACTCCACAACTAATATATAATTAAAATCCTTAACTTACCAAAGTTTTCACCAAAAGTAAAACTCGCTAAGAGTTAACATTGTAACATGTAAGTGAGACTACTGAAGCAACAGTTTTACATGCAAGTTACGTAAGAAAAGTGAATGCATTTTCAGTGAAAGATTATAACAAGGCATGGGAATGTAGATTTTTTTTTCTGTCTAAAGGGTTAAAGGATTGTTTTAAGTTAGGATAAAGCTAAAAGTTTGAATGAGTTGTGGAAGATTTATAAAAATTAATATTGTAAAAAATTATGTGTGTGAACATATTGACTAAATTTAAAGGGGTATTTTCTGGTTTTTCCATAAATTGAACATCAAAATAAAAGCACAAACAGGGTTTTCTTAAAGCACCGATCTGCTCTTTAACAAACATTTGTAAAGGATTATAAAAGGTTTATGAGAATCTCACCTTATGGTCAAACGGATTAAGATTGGAAAGATATGTCTACAAGGTTTTCTTAAAAATTGGGGTTGACATTAATAGCACACTAATGCAAGGGTGAAATTTGGCTTTCTCTCTTGAACAAGATTTTCATGCAGTATTAAAAGATAATGAAAGATCTTTGTTTGCCTTTTGAATAAACTACCCCCCCACCAAAAAAAAGGAAGGGAAAGACAAGAGACAGATTGTTTGTAAAGTAAGTCTTCCATCTATCAACATGGAAAGGTTTTTGCCTTTTAAAACATTTTTGAGTCATCATTTTGCTAAATGAATGACTATGGTAACCTGGAATTCCATTTCATAATGTCAAGTGTTTTAAATCTTTAACATATTTAATAGGCTTCCCAAAATCAAATTTCAGCTTCAAAATTGTCTTTTCTAACCTCTAACTTTGAGATGCTGCAGAGGGCCCCTGAAGCATCCAAAAGAGAGGTAAACAGAATTATTTGACATGTTTAATTACATGGGAAGCATTGTCAAAAAGAAAAAAATTTAATCTTCTTCAGGTTATATTTTAGTGAATAATATTAATATATGTTCCAAAATTGTATGAGATTTCTAAAATTCCAATATGTCTGAGTATATGCTATCAATCATAATTATGATTATTATGTTATTGTAGACCACAGAAATAACCAAATTTCCTTGTCAATTGTGTTTTTAACTATAACTATTTAAAGTCATTTCCACAGTTAATTGCTTAATGCTGATGCAGTTTCTGAAAACTTCACAAGCATGCAAAGTCCTAGAATATGGTGTCTTTTAGGAGATTCATGAAAGATTGGAAAGGACCCTAAAAAGCACTCTTGAATACAGGTTTCTAATAAGTTTAGAATTATATCATTTGAACTGGGTAAGAATTCCTGGAACTTTAATGAAAAGACTGACTGAGTTCTAAAACTGCTAACCCAAGTAGAACAAAAATTAATTAAATACCAAGAAAATACTTTGCCAGATTTTCATGCTAAATCAGCTGATACTGAAACTGTTTAGATATAAAATTTGAATAAACTCCATCATTTAAATCAAATTACCTATGATAACCCATCAGTTATCAGTGTTATGCACCTAATTTGGGGAAACAACTGGTATTCAAGAGGATATGAGTCTAATGTTAATTAAGCATGAACTCATGGAGAACCAGGATGGCCACCTTGTCCTTCCTAAGTCGTTAAAGCTTTTGTTAGTAAAATTTCTGCATTACATGACTCGTCACGGAAAAGATAAAATGATCCAAATTGAATATATTGATGTGGTGACTTATAAATTGCTAAAATAGTTTATAACCAATGTTTGGTCCCATATTCCTGGGAAAACAATCAAAGCTTCAGGTACATCCAGTCACCTGATAGGCCATTTAAACATTTTATAGAGGGATTTTATTCAATTGTTATTTTCAGTGCATGTTTTCTGGTTGTATAAAAGCTTTCCCATGCAAGAGGGCTGATGTTATAACACTAAGTTATTATGCCACCAAGTATTTTCACAAGGTAAAGAAAGCTTTTTATGGTTCACTGAGGACAATCAACTCCTTCACAACCTAGAAACTGAAGATTGTATCTTCTGAAAACATTGGATAAAGACTGTCCTTGCCATCCACACTACAGCAAAACTTCTGGACTTTGAACTTTGGGTTCATGATCTCACAACTGAGAAGAGTCCCTCCACACTCTTGGAACTGTACACCCATTGGAACCCTTAAGGTAAAGCTAACCAGGGAAGTTTCTCTCCCGAAGAAGATGGCATCCTTGATGTGAACAGCTTTTCCCAAGATCATGAATCAAGACTTCTCTATTATCATGAGACTCTTATCTTTGAATATTTTTTCCTTGCTTTTGCCTCTATGAAGAATAGAAGTGGAAAAAGGATCTGTTGTGTACAATTATGGGTTATACTTTTATTTGTGAAGAATTTTGCAGCCAGCTTTAGGTCCTTTTTCCATGATTTGGAATAAAAGAGGCAAATGTATCCCTCATAATAGGCTCCATAGCAGTTTACTGTAAAGGCTATGGTTACATAATAGACTAAATTATCTTAAGAAAGTTATGCTAAATAATAGAGTTGGCTAAACAGAAGAGTATCTGTGCAGCTGCTGGCACTCATGGCCTATGGAGAAAACATCAGGTATTATAGAGATTCAGTTGTAGCAAATTAATGAAGAGACTGCTTAGTTAAGTGAGTAGACTCTTTAGCTCATTGTTTAATCTATTTGAGTTTAGGAGGTTTGGTTTATGGTGACCCTGGATAAGGAGCATACTTACTCTCAACTCTTGGTATTATCCTCCTGATAGTCATAATAATAGTCTCCCTGGTGTGCTGTATTCTCTCAACGGTTTTAAATGTTTGCATGCTGCCACCTCTAGAATGTCAAATGGCCTCTCTTCAACTGGAATGACAAGAGCTGAAAGAAATTGCAGCCATGAGGACACTGTAACCTACGAATGATGTGCTGAGTCCAAAAGCCCAAAGTGTTGGTAACTGAGAGTGGTGCTAAGTAAGGCCCTAAGTTTTGGTCACACTCTCACTTAAGTGAGAACCTGACCAAAAAAGTGGAATTTTTTTTTTTTTTTTTTTTTTTGAGATGGAGTCTCACTCTGTCACCCGGGCTGGAGTGCAGTGGCACGATCTCGGCTCACTGCAAGCTCCACTTCCCGGGTTCACGCCATTTTTCTGTCTCAGCCTCCCGAGTAGCTGGGACTACAGGCACCTGCCACCACGCCCGGCTAATTTTTTTGTATTTTTAGTGGAGACGGGGTTTCACCATGTTAGCCAGGATGGTCTCGATCTCCTAACCTCATGATCTGCCCACCTCGGCCTCCCAAAGTGCTGGGATAACAGGCGTGAGCCACTGCACCTGGCCAAAAAGGGGAATTTTTTTTAAACAAAATTATGGGAGGTCATTTTTTTGTACTGAGCCCATGCGCCAGGCCCCAACAGACCAAACTAAACCAAAACGGAGTCACGTATGCCAAGACCTTAAGGAAACACATAGATCCTAGAACAGACCACAGGCCAGGTTTTGTTTTTCTCCTACAAATCTCTATAACAAACATTCCTGACAGCATAGATATCCACCCCCTGAGTTCCCATTAAATCTTTTAACCAAATTAATTTCCTCTCGCCAAAAGACCATCAAGCTTCAGATGATCATGCAACAAAAGTTTCATCCAGTTCCACCACCCCTGGCCATCAAGGAGCTACCCTGCCTTCACTAGAAAGAGCAGAGCAGGACTTCTGTGATCCTCAATAGGTAGGGACTAGGCCTCAAGCCAACATGAAGCAGTTACAAAAGAAAGACCATCGGCCCCTCCACCTCCCATAAAGATTTATGGGGATCCCATCTCTGGAGGGAAATGAGGCAGAAGAATAGGGTCTGTAGGCAAGGAATATAAGGCAGATGCATGCTCACTTCCTAGAACTAAATCAAATGGAAACACTTCAGCTATGATGGGAAATGTCTTCTGTATTTACATAGGGCATACACTGAGTAACCAATGGAAACCTCTAGAGGGTATTTAAACCCCAGAAAATTCTGTAACCGGGCTATTGAGCCCCTATGCTCAAGCCCTCTGCCACCCTGTGGAGTGTACTTTTGTTTTCAATAAACCTCTGCTTTTGTTGCTTCATTCTTTCCTTGCTTTGTTTGTGCATTTTGTCCAATTATTTGTTCAAGAAGCCAAGAACCTGGACACCCTCCAGTAGTAACACTACTGGACATATAGTGGACAAAATTAAGTCCTTATTTGAAACATCTAGTCTTCTAGATGTTTAGAAGTGCACACAGTATGTTAAAAGTAGAGGTAGTAAATAACACATTTTGTAGATATCCTTTTGATTCATATGAAACATTGTCTTTTGGAAATTGATCAAACCACTTCACATTATATTTATGCTGATTCAGGGAGGAAGGAGCAGAAGAAAGTGCAAAGGGCTTTATATCAGTGTGTTTACAGTATGACACAATTGACTGTTGTCCCTTATATCTGCATTTCCTTTTACTTTGCTGTGTATACAAACAAACATTTACATAGCTTTGGAATTTTGAATTGGTAAATATTCATGATGTGTGAAAAAGCATGATACATACTGTATGATCCCAATTGCATAACATTGGATGGTGTCCTAATTTATAACATCTAGTCTTTCTAGATGTTAAAGAGATTGCCAGCATATAACAAAACTAGAGTTAGTAAACTAATACATTGAGTACACTTTGTGTTAAAAATTCATAGGAAAGATTGTTCTTAAAAATGCTTCAAAAGTAGAATTGTTAAAATCCCCCCTAAGCATTACAGATGTTTATACCTGTCCACTGGATTGATAGAGATAGGAAGGGGAAGGGCTTTAGGCCATGTTCCTATTTAGAAGACACATCCAAATTATAGCCTTGCTTTGTATGTGCACCATTTATTCAATGCTACTGTGTATAAAGTGGAAAACTCAAGTCCTATTTAAAACACCTAGTCTTCTTAGATGTTTAAAAGTGCACAATATAGATTAAAAATAGAGGGCTAAAGTAACACCCTTTATGCATTTTTGTGGTTGGTGTTATTTCCTAGGGATGGTTGCATTTGAGAATGGAATTTTTAAACTTGATGCTGACTGTTCATCAGGTGTCGGCAGGTGGGAAGAGGAGGAGGTATGCAGGGAGAAGGGTTCTGGGCCCGTGAGTTAGATTAGTTCAGATGATCTAGCCATTGTTCTGTATGTGAATTTTAGTTAATATTGGTGTGTTTTAAAGAATAAACAAGTCTTAATGCTCAAGGTAGTTTAAAAGTGGAGGTAGTAAAATATCCCTTTATAAATGTCCTTTTGTTAGTTTTTAGGAAGACCTGCCTTCTGGGAGTAATCTTTGTTAATCCACCCCTTGGAGCTAGACATAGTCCTGTACTTAGTCACTGGCATGCTAGAAGAGGGAGAAGGGGAAGGGTGAAGGGAAGGGCTTTTTGCTAGTATCTCGGTATCCAGAAGATAGTGTGAGATAACAGCCATAGGTCTAACAGCATTTTAGTAAAGTGCCTGCATTTATTGTGGACAAAGTTTATTTTTTGGAACACTTAACCTTTATGAATGTCCTGAGGAGACAATGTATGATTAAAAGTAGAGCTAGCGAATTAGCCAATTTGTAAATATCTTTTTGTTATAATTGATAGAAAAGATGCATATTGGACATGGAATTGTTAAACCACCACTGAGCAGTGTATATCAGGACTTGCTCATTAAGTTGGCAGCAGGGGGGCAAAAGGAAGCATAAAGGGAGAGATATATGCAGATATACATTTACATTTTGATGATAGCCACTGATGTATGTGCATCTCTTTCGGCTGTACTATAGGAATACATTAAGTAATTCAGTGAAAATATGCCTTCTTGCTAATATTTTCATGGCATAGAACTACTAATGAATTCTCTTAGAAACATTATACTTAGTGTATTCTGTTGCTTTATGTTTCATTTTAAATTGAACATTAAGGGAATGCAGTATTTTAATTGGAACTCTGCCAATGCTTTTATCTCAAGGTATGATGCCATTTTTGTCTTTTATAAAATTTTTGTTCCAAGAAAGGCAGGATTACATTTTTTCCTAATAGATTGAGTTGGTGTAGTGTTTTCTTGACTATCAAAATACTCATATAGCTTTAGGATTTTGAATTGGTAAATATTCATGATGTGTAAAAAAGCATGACACATAAAATTGCATGATCTCAATCCCATAAATTTGGATGTTGTTGTCTATACACACACAGGACCTAGAAGGACAAGTCAAACTGTAAACTGCCTGTGATTGTGGATGACTTTGCTCTTTGCTTCATGTGTTTTCCAGTTTCCTAAAATGCACGTTAGCTTTTTAAAAATAAAAGATATTTTAAAAACATTAAAAAAGAGATGAACATTGTGATAAAAAATAGGCAAAAAATACTAGAGACAGTTACTAGATAACACACATAGAGCCAACACACATCTAAAATTTGAAGCAACTCACTCATAAAGAAATAGAATGCATGAGAACATGCACTTTTTTAGATCAGCTAAAGTTAAAGAAAAACTACTAATACCCAGAGGTGGGAAAGGAATAGAGAAAACAGTTACGGTTACTACTTTTGATGTGACTCTAGATTGGAGAAATCTTTCTCTAGAGGGATGTTTCGCCAAATCTATTATACTTCAAACACATATGTCCTTTATTCTTGATTGCACTTCTAGGAATATATCCCATGGAAGTACTCTCACAGGGTGTTTATAATAAGGTGAAAAAATGAAATCCTAAATTTCCATCATTAGAGGACCACAGTGATTTAGGATATATCTAAACACTGGGATACTCTGCAGCATTTACAGAGAGTGCAGTAGAGCTATATGAACTGCTGGGGAAAGGTGGTTCAGTAAAACAAGTTTCATAATCAGATGTATAGTATATAATCATATATTTGAATAAAAACATGAACATATATGCTTGCGTGTGTGTGAAAGGACAGTTACATATGAGCAGTAGCCTTGGAAGGACAGAGAAAAAAATAATTATTTTAATTTTGCATTTTTATGTACCATTCAACTTCTCAAAATGAAGATCTATTACCTCAATTACTTTTTTCAAGTGGCTCTCGGGGAGAAGTTTAATAGTAAAATAATCTGAATTTTGCAGTTCCTGGTATTATGCAATTGTGTATTTTAAGGTCTAAGGAAAGTATGCCCAGATAATTCTCCAAAGGTCCCAGCTAGATTCTGTTAATATCAAGAAGGATTTAGAAGTAGAAGAGACCCCTTCTGTGTTTAACAGACAAAAAGTTATCCTTGAATGTGAAGGAAAAAGTGCCATTGGGTGGAAAAGGCTGGGAAGGATGAACAGAAGTTGAATGGAATGTTCCCTTGTAGAACACCATGGTTCCTCTTCTCATCTACGTCACTGTAACGCCAGCATGTGCACTTCCACATGCCAGCGAGCAGTAATGACAGCACGCTTTCAGTAAAGCCAGGACAGCTGTGGCTGACATCATCTTCCTTCTTCCCCCAGGGACGAACCTAGAAGTGTGGCACTGTTCCTCTGTAGTACCAGGCAGCCTATGACTGAGGCTCAGGGCTGTAATCTGGCCTGGCCTTAAATCCCCCTCCTTGGTCTCAAAAGGTTAAGACATCATTTGTTCTCTGTGCTGCTCCATCAGCAGATAGGGACCACCTAGGACCTCCGGGTGTTTCCTTCCCAGATCAAGTCATTTAAATAAGTGCAAACTGGGTGCCTGCTAAGAGCCAGCAGTTTTGGTATAGAGCCAGACCTTCCCTATGCCTACACCTGAAAAATGAATGATTACATTGTACAATGTATGCTGTGGGACTGTCCAAAGTATCAGAGCTGAATAAGCTTAGATATGGTGCAATCAAGTGAGTGAGTCAGCTCTGAAGTGGAGCTCTTTGTCAGGACCTCTTGTGTTTCCAGTGGACTCACCTTTCTCCCCTTCCATCCTTTAAGGGACTGGAGGGAGCTGCCCAAGCTGCCTGGCCAGATGTCTGTGGACTAAGTGTGACTGATGGATATAGGGGACTGATCCTACTTGTATCTGACGAAGAATATTGAATGATGTTAGAGAAAATCCTAAATGGTGCCTCTATTCAGATGTAATTATTCTTACCAGCAGATTCTACTTTCTGAGAAGCTAAAATTAGAAATTAAATTTGGTAGGCTAGGGTGACATGTCCTCAAACCCGCTAAGGCAGGGATGTGAAGCAGGAGGATGTCAGACAGGAGCCTGGGGCACAGCAATGGACACAGTAGGCCTGGGATCATTCATTCAACAGTTGACCAGTGCCTCCCATGAGCCAAGTACTGTTCAGGGATGGGGAATACAGAGGTGCATACTATAATCTCTTTAAAAATAACGTGTTCGTTTGTATTTACTGCTCTTATCCATACAGCCTTCTTATTAGTACATATGTACAGAGGAATGTCTTAAATATTTATCAGATACTATAGGTAGAAAAATAGAGGTGATTTGTGGCTTTCATTATTGCTTGAGTTTTTAATATAATAAGCATGTGTTAAATTCTGTTTTTAAAAATCCTCTAAACGTTTTTTTAAACAAAGCCATAGCAGGGGAATCCCATGATTGGTATCCCTAGGTCTGAGGTATGTTCCATTGTACATTGGAGCTTTGGGGAGCGGATGGAAGAAGGTGTCTGGTGAATGGGACATTTTAGTTTATGGAAGAGAAGAGAAAAATTCCCTGACTACAACTGGTTTCATTGTAACTTTCCATCTGCTATTGGAATCAAGAACTAAAAACTTATCAGCAGGCAGCAGTCAGTATCGCATGTCCTTCCTCTGCATTCGTGCCCACGGAGCTCCTGATGGAGATGGGTGAGTACAGGGAAGCAACTAATCTCACCCCTCCTGCTCATTCCTGAGAATGGGAGTGCTAACTTCTCACTGAGTGTGGGAGCTGTGCACATTTCTTCTGCCCAGGAAACATACTGAAGAAAAAAAGTCTCTTTTCTTGAACCTTTTTTCTTCCTTTCCCAACTTCACCACCACGGCAGCCCTCTTCATTCACATAGCTCTGACCAAATATCCTCAGCGAGTTAAGACAGTTACGGTTGGAACTCTCCGTGTCTGGCTCTTCCTTCTTCCCTGCATCTTTGGTCCCCAGTCAGGAGGTCTAATGGTAATATCCAGTGATTTTTCTAAAGAGGAATCAGTGGTTATATTATACAAGGGGTGTGTGCGTGTGTTTTGGGTGGTGAATACAGAGCAGCGGTTAGGACCATAAGAAATAAGAGAAATGGAATGTGGCATGACCGCTGCCAGTTCTGATATTTTTGAAATTGGTAATTTAAAATAAAGTAGTTGGTTTACTTACTTAAGCCTCACATCTTAACCGTCCTTCCTTGATCTGGAGTTCCTATCGCCTACCTTTATCAATTAAAAATGCCTTGAAAATGAATCCTACTATGTTAAAGCATACGGTTAAGTAGATAGAAGCCCAATTGCCTGGGATGAAGTCCCAAGTCTGCTCATTACTATATATCCTTGGGGAGGTTACTCAACCCTGCTTCAGTTTCCCCTCTGTAAAATTAGAAAATGAGTCAGTGTGAGAATTAAACAAATTAATACATTAGGCAGGGCGTGGTGGCTTGTGCCTGTAATCCCACCACTCTGGGGGGCTGAAGCAGGAGGATCACTTGAGCCCAGGAGCTCAAGACCAGCCCAGGCAGCAGAGAGAGACTGTGTCTCTACAAAAATAAAAATAAAAAAACTACCTGGGCATGGTGTTTGTGCCTGTAGTCCCAGCTATTTGGGAGGCTGAAGCAGGAGGATCACTTGAGCCCAGGAGTTCCAGGTTACAGTGAGCCCTATTGTCACTGCACTCCAGCCTGGGCAACAGAGTGAGACCCTGCCTGAAAAAAAAAATTAAAAGTATTTAGAATGATGCTTGGCACCAGGAAGTGCTCATTAACATTAGAAACTATCTTCATGCCCCACTGTCTTCCCCATACACCATAGTCTTGCTTCCATCCCCACACTGCCCCATCCCTTGCTTATCCCCTTGAGCTCAGACTCATTCAAAGCCTTGTCAAAGGAGCCTCTCTGCTACAGAAGATGCTACTGACCACTTATAGGACATGTCTGTTTTACTCCTGTGCCACTGACTCTTCCTTCTTAGGCTTTTTTGTGGGTTCCTTTCCTCATTCTTCATGTTCTCCATGATTTTAATGACCACTTATTTATTCCTGACTCCCAAATGAAAATCTAGTATATACTTGTGGAACTTTATTTGTGTTTACTCATCACTTGCTTGACATAAGCTTTTAGATTTCCCAGAAGCACCTAAAACTCAACATATAGAAAAGAGACAATTTTCATTCTGGCTACTCTTACGTTGGATCCACAGCCCCAAGCCCTCTCCCGTTGAGGTCCCTAATTCATTTAATGGCTTTCTCATCTTCCTAGTCACCCACACCCACCACCTAGGATGCAGCCTTGATAACATTCCTTTTACTTAATTCACAATATCCAACTAATCACATCCTACGTATTTTAACTCTCAGACATCTCTCAAATTTGTGCTCTCATTTTCATACCTATTTCTGTCTCTGTATTAGACTCTGAGCATCCTTTGCCTAAATACTGCATCTTTTGCCTAAATGCTCTCAGCTGGTCTCTCTGTCTGAAGTTTTTTTTTTCCTCTCAAGTCATAGTCCTCCATAGATCTGTCAATTATCTATGTCACCCCAAATGAAACTTCTACACTTGATCTTAGCCAAAAGGCCGAGAAGCGATCCCCAAATGAAACTTCTTATTGCATTCTGGACAAACTCTTAAGTTCCTCAACATAGCACAGAAAATCCCTTCTGGTCTGATTCCTGCCAACCTTTCTAGCTTCATCTCCTGTCACTCCTACTTAAATTACTGCTCTAATCAATTTTTATAGATTTTATAATTGATGATTTGGCATCTGTTGATCACTAGGCCAAACTAACAGCCAACATTGTTTACATTTCCCCTGTGGCCTGGCTTTTGAGGGTGTGCCTAAATCATATTGCAAATCTTCCTAATACAACCCTTAACATCTGTGTTTCGCTTCTTGCCCAATCAAAAACATCTCTATCTAGCTACTCGCTGACACATTAGTAATAAAGGAAGAGTCCCAGTTCCTTTTTTTTTTTTCCTTTTTTTGGAGGCAGGGTCTTGCTCTGTTGCCCAGGCTGGAGTGCAGTGGCATGTGATCACAGCTCACGGTAACCTGGAATTCCTGGGCTCAAGCGCTCCTGCCTCAGTCTCCCAAGTAGCTGAGACTGCAGGCATATGCCACCATGCCTGGCTAATTATTTTTTAATTAAAGAAAATGTTTTAGGCCGAGGTGGGTGGATCACGAGGTTAGGAGATCGAGACCATCCTGGCTAACATGGTGAAACCCCGTCTCTACTAAAAATACAAAAAATTAGCCGGGCATGGTGGCAGGCGCCTGTAGTCCCAGCTACTCGGGAGGCTGAGGCAGGAGAATGGCGTGAACCCGGGAGGCGGAGCTTGCAGTGAGCCGAGATCGCACCACTGCACTCCAGCCTGGGCAACAGAGCGAGACTCTGTCTCAAAAAAAAAAAAAAAAAAAAAGAAAAAAGAAAATGTTTTTTGCAGAGACAGAGTCTCACTATGTTGCCCAGGCTGGTCTTGAATTCTTGGCCTCAAGCAATCCTCCTGCCTTGGCCTCCCAAAGCGCTGGGATTAATAGCTGTGAGTCACCGGGTCCTCCCCCAGTTCCTCTCTTTTTCCTTGTCCCTGTGCATGGTGAGGTTTTGTGTGGCCCTGAGTGGTATCAAGCTAAATAACAAGCAGAGAGGGACGCTCTAAAAGAAAATAATATTTATTCTGGAATAGGCATTGCAATGGGACTACGCATGCCATAGTCAACTATGTGCATATTCAGGGGGGTGTAAAGGAAGACAAAGATTTTTAAAGAAAAAATGAGTCAGATTCCATAATTGTTTTAAGATAATTATCCTTGGCTACAAGGATCAAATGGCAAGGATGGCATCAGTACTAGGTTGGACAGGGAGTTGCTGGGTAGCCGTCCTAACAGATGTATTTTTTTGTGTGTAAGGTTGCGATGGCCTTTGTGCAAGTCTGTGGTTTTTGCAGTCTTTTGTGACAGTTTTTGTCATCAGGCATGGGTGCCTGAGAACCCTCCCTCCATGGCCTTTCACCAGCTCCATTTTTCTGATTAAAAAAAAAAATACAAGTGACTCCATTTTGATGCTGACAACTTTTTCAATGGCAATGTGGAACTGTAATAAACTTTTTTCAATCTTTCAGTGACACTGACATCTTCATGTCTCTACTCAGCCATACAATTAAATTAAATAATGTGTACATTTTAAAACAATGACAGCTGTTTAATGACAGAGACTGTGAACTGGGACCCTCTAGGCTGGCCACTTTTGGTGTTTTATTTGGGCCACAAGTTTTTGAATGCTTTCAATTACCTACAGAAAATTTCAAAAGTGGAAAATTTCCTATAAAAATCTGCCTTTATTGCTTCTCTTGAAAACTGGAAGAACCGGCCACCCAGGTCCCATAACACCTACCTGGCTGAATAGGGTCGGCCCTACTTTCAGCAGAAATACCTCCTGCAGTTTTCAACAGCCCCAGCTCTCCTGGGCGTTGATTTTCCTAGTTGCTTCCTTTAATGCAGACATTTGAGTTTGCAGCCCTAGATTGACAGTGTAGGGGCACTGAATTACTTAGGGTTCCCACATACATCGTTTCTTACACTCATTTTCTTCTGCACAGCACCTTTTTTTCCTTTAACCACTCGCAGATGCTAACTCATTCTTCAGGACTCAATTCCAATGTCCAGAAGCTTTTCTCTGAACTCATGATGGACTCCGCGTCCCATTATGTATTCCCACATCGCTCCGTACATCCATCTGTCACATCCCTTGTCACATTAAATTCAGATTAAATGTTTGTAGGATGCTTGAGTTCTTCACAAGTCTCACGTCACTTAGCGACGGTCGGGAACTCCTCAGTGGTAGTTTCGGGAGCCATTCATTCATTTTATTCATTTCATCATTCTTTCAACAGTCATAACGTAGGTGACGACGACTGACTCATCTCTTAAAAGATGTGTGTGTCCCTCGACAAATAACCTGTCTGCCCCTATCGTTCTGTAGGAGGACGGAGTCCCAGAGAACTACAACTCCCATCAAGCACTTGGGGGATCGCCGCGGCTGAGGGAGAGACTATGGCTTAGGAACCACCATTCGCGTGAGGCTCTGCTCCCCGCGCCTGCGCAGAGTGCAGGGCCACGTCGCTTTTGCTGTACCGGGGACCACGCGTCTCATCCATGGCTTCCGCGGACTCGCGCCGGGTGGCAGATGGCGGCGGTGCCGGGGGCACCTTCCAGCCCTACCTAGACACCTTGCGGCAGGAGCTGCAGCAGACGGACCCAACGCTGTTGTCAGTAGTGGTGGCGGTTCTTGCGGTGCTGCTGACGCTAGGTAAAAGGCGGCCGGTGGTCATGGCGGGTTTGGGGCGGGCAGAGGTCCGGGCTTTGGCTGCACCGCTGCAGGCCGGGGACGCGGGGCTGAGAGGGCGCCTTGAGGGCATCAGGAGGGTGAGACCCACCCAGTCTACACCCCACCCTCTCTCCTGAAGCAGCGGCAGCAGCTGGGCGTTAAGGGGGATGCCGGGCAACCCCCGGAGTTAACGTCCTGGTCCTTGGGGCGCAGATTGCTCTTCGTCATCTGCCCTGTTACGCTTGAGCGCGCTGTTCCTCGCCTTCCGCTGTTCTCACTGCAAAGACTCAGGGTCTTGACACCAACTTTCAGCCTCCCGTGTTTGCGTGCGGGCGCTGGGATACCAAGGTAGTGAGATAGCACCTGAGTCCCAGTCAGAGTAAGGACTGCAAAGAAAAGTTGACAGTTGACAGTGCCTGGCTCTCAGTGGATCCCTAACAACAGCAATAGTAACCATTATGATAAAAGTCAGTTCCAGGTGAATGAGGTGTTTCGTCACAGACTTCTGTGAATTTCCCCACCCCAGCCATGCACATATACTGATTCCCAAGGCGTAATTTTTGTTGTTTTTCTCTGTCTATTCCACAGTCTTCTGGAAGTTAATCCGGAGCAGAAGGAGCAGTCAGAGAGCTGTTCTTCTTGTTGGCCTTTGTGATTCCGGGAAAACGTTGCTCTTTGTCAGGGTAAATGATTTCATTGACACCCCTGTTAAGCTTAATAGAAAATTTTATAGATCCCAGTATTCCTGTCATCTCACGGTTTATTTTGTAAAAGAAGCTGATGCTGTTAAATTTGGAAGTTAATTCTTGACTTACTTGGGAGAACAAAAAGACTCGTAGAAACCCATAATTGAGAAATATTGGTCATTTCTCCTTTTTTTTTTCTGTTTGCCCTTGCCAGATGCTGATATTTAGTCTTTATCACATTCAAGGATTTTATTTAATTAGTTTCATTCCAGAATAGCAGAAGGCATAGAAGCTAGTGTCCTACAGTTTATAATTCCTTCGTTAACAAATTCTTAGGACAGTTTATCGAAGACACTTTTTCACAGGGTGATCCTTCTTTGACATAGTGGGCTAGTTAGGCTTCTTTTTACTAATATTTATTTTTAATACATTTAGTATTTTTAACAGTGTATTTTAATGTGGTGAATAGGAGAGGTTTTCTGCTTTTTAACTCTTCTTTTTGAGAGTATAAATTATTTCCCTTCCATTAAAGAAATACCTCCATTTTTTTTTTTTTTTTTTTTTTGAGGGAGTGTCTCACTCCAATGCCCAGGCTGGAGTGCAGTGGCGAGATCTCTGCTCATTGCAGCCTTGACCTCTGGGACTCAGATGATTCTCCCACCTCAGCCTCCGAGTAGCTGGGACTACAGGCGTGCAACACTACGCCCGGCTGATTTTTTATATTTTTTGTAGAGATGAGATTTTGCCATGTTGCCCAGGCTTCAAATCATTTTTGTTGGTTAAAAATCTTTACAGAAGCTTGGCAAATTTGGCCACTAACTGTCTTTTGAGAATAATGTTGTTTTTATTCCACTGAGGAGTAAAATATGCAATTAATTAGATTTTTTTCTACAGGTAAAAAAAATCAATATCGTCTTTTTCACCTGTCGGAAGCAGCATTCATTTACTTAACCTTACACCTGGGAGACTTAGAATAATATAACTCAATTTAGGTGTGCTATTAAAATGTTGAATATCACCCATCTTGTTTTTTTTACAGTTGTTAACAGGCCTTTATAGAGACACTCAGACGTCCATTACTGACAGCTGTGCTGTATACAGAGTCAACAATAACAGGGTAAGATGTTTGTGGAGTTTTGGAGTCTGACAGTCTTACTTTACTGTGGTGTGTCAGTTAAGGACATTTTTAGGATGAGTTCATCTGAGGATGTAAGTACCATTTGTAGCTTATTTTTATGGAGAAACATATTCTTTGTGACAAATTCTCTTGACAATCTGTACAGTAGATTTAATCATGCCCTCCTCTGCATTGTTGTACCTTAATGTACAGTAATGTTATATCACATTTTATTCTTATTTTTTGTTTCTGTGTCTTCTTTCCAACTTTACAATGAGTTCTTAAGAGTGGGCATTAAACCTTTTAAGTTTTGAATAGGTAATACATGCACATGGGACAAAAATTCAAAAGGTTAGAAAAGATATTTGGTGAAAAGTAATTTTTCCTTTCCTTTCCCCACTACCTAGTTTTCTCCTCAGAAGCAGTGACTTACTTTTTTTTGTATGTAGTCTTCCGGATGTTCTGTGCATATACAAACATGTCTGTATATCCTTTATTGTTGTTTTTTTTTAAATGCTGTTCTGCCCATTATTTTTCTCATACGGCTGATACAACTTGGGCTTTTCTTATTGTCCTACATTTGTATACATAGTACCATCTGGTTGGTTTATGAGCTGCATAGTACTCCACTCTGTTGCTATACCATAAAATTAAATTCTTACTTAATCTGGACCGTGTTAATAGACATTTAGTTTTGTTATTATAACCTTTGCTTTTACAAACAGTGCTGCAATGGATATCTTACAGAGTATATATGAGTGTATTTCAAATATAAGGAATCATGGGGCCTGGCTTGGTGGCTCACGCCTGTAATCCCAGCACTTTGGGAGACCAAGGTAGGCCGATCACTTGAGGTCAGGAGTTCAAGACCAGCCTGGCCAACATGATGAAATCCTGTCTCTACTAAAAATACAAAAATTAGCCGGGTGTGGTGGTGGGCGCCTGTAACCCAGCTACTCGGGAGGCTGAGGCATGAGAATCATTTTAACCCGGGAGGTGGAGGTGGCAGTGAGCCAAGATTGCGCCACTGCACTCCAGCCTGGGCAATAGAGCGAGACTAAGTCTCAAAAAAAAAAAAAAAATATAAGGAATCATGGGAAAGACATTTTACATACCTCTGTAACTTCAGAATGTAGACAGTGACTACCAAACCGATTGTAATGCATAAGTTTGTTTGTTTGTTTTTGAGACAGGAGTCTCACTCTGTTGCCCAGGCTGGAGTGCAGTGGCATGATCTTGGCTCACTGCAACCTCTGCCTCCCGAGTTGAAGCGATTCTCCTGCCTCAGCCTCCTGAGTAGCTGGGATTACAGGCGCCCACCACCATGCCTGGCTAATTTTTGTATTTTTAGTAGAGATGGGGTTTCACCATGTTGGCCAGGCTGGTCTTGAACTCCTGACCTCAAGTGATCCGCCCACCTCAGCTTCCCAAATTGCTGGGATTACAGGCGTGAGCCACTGCACCCAGCCATGTAATAAGTTTCGGTGAGTGAGTGGAGTGAGGGCTCGTTGGAGGATGTGGATGGATAGATGGATGAATTAGAATTGTGGTTTGAGACCTTTTCTTCTTCTCTTTGTCTTCTTTCCCCTTTCTCATGCCTCCAGAATTAAAGATTGTAAAGAAAAATAAAGGGACATGTTTTTAAATATCTTAGCGATATCTTTGTTTTTTTTTTCAATGATGACACTCTTTGTGGCCCAGACCTTTTTAAACTCCCAAGGATTCAGATTTTGAAATTCCAGGTTTGCAAGATCATCTAGTACCTGCACTAGATTTTTAACTTAGGATACTCCAGGATATGCTTTAAATCTGTACCTTCTAATATGTAGCCACTGGCCACATGTGACTGTTGAGCACCTAAACTAGGACTAGTCCAAATTGAGGCATGCTGTAAGTGTGAAGTACACACCAGATCTTGAAGACTTAGTATGGAAAAAAAGAACGTAAAGTATCATTAATAATTTCTTTTTTTATTACATTTTAAAAGATAATATTTTGGATATATTAGATTAAATAACTTAAAATTAATTTTACCAATTTCTTTTTACTTTTTTATTATGGTTACTGGAATATTTAAAATTACATATGTGGCTTCTGTTATTCTATATTTCTACTATATTTCTATTCTATCAATATTTCTACTGAATATATAGAGCATTTTTCCCTTCCCTCTTCACTCTTTCTCCTACCCCCTTACGTTTTCGATCTAATCTCTTTAGATAGTAATATACCTAGTAATGTATCTTCCAAATTGCTTAGGGTGTGTGGTATAGTGCTGCTTTTGAAATGGAGCAGTTAAGTCCCAACCTGGGATCTCCAGACTCTTAACAGTACTTAAAAAAAAAAGAGAGGGACTAATAAAAAACATATTTGTCTATAAAGAAATGCACAGGCTATGTGAAAGGTAAGGTCATAATAAACCCAGCTGGAATTGTGTTAAATCTGTGCAGGATACTGATTGCCTGCTTCTGAACTGTGGGTATGGTTGGCTGTGGATAATGTAGAACATGTAAGAAATGATGGTCTGCTGCATGTACCAGGCCACATCTAAGAGTCTTATTGTTGAGCACAGCCACGTTTACACTGAATATAAACTTTATTCACCATTCCAGGCCTTGACCTTATATTCAGGAATGGCAGCCTGGCATGGTGAATAGAACTTATTAGGGTGCATCGTAGATTTGCTCAGTAGGGGCTCAGGAATTGACACAAATGCTGACGGAGTTGGAACAAGTAAATTATATGTCTGGAAGATAAATATTTAAATAATTAGATTAAGGGTGGAAATGATAAAAGTGTACTTTGTTATAAAGATTGGAGATCCCAGTAAGAGTAATATGCTCTATGAAAAATTGTAAGTTCTTATATTACATTATTAGTTTATGAGTACTTGTTACTGTTTTCACATTTTTGCTTATACTCATACAGTACTCCTACTTTGCTATACTCACACTGGTTTATCTCCCAAGCCTCAGGTAGATCATGCTTCCCTGACTCCCCCAGACAGGTTTTTCCTGTACCCTCAAAACATTTATCAGTGTTCTCATTTTATATTTATGTGTAATTTTACATTATGTTCACCTTTCTCATAAATTTTGCCAGATCAGGAACCGTGTCTTTGGCCACTGTTACATCCCCAGAACGTTGACTAGTGTTTTATGAGTAGAAGATGCTTTGTGAACATTTGTTTGGTTAATTAGGTACCAGTTTGGTAGCCAATATATGATACTAAAGGTTTATATTGTGAACGTGGAACTGTATTGAAACGTTAATGTTATTGCTGCCATCCCCAGGGCAATAGTCTGACCTTGATTGACCTTCCCGGCCATGAGAGTTTGAGGCTTCAGTTCTTAGAGCGGTTTAAGTCTTCAGCCAGGTAAGAAGGAAAGAAGTGAAGTGGGCTTGTCTAGGTCTGTATCTGTATATCAAAGCCACTCATGTGATTTGCTCTGGTGGTGTTTGGGAGGCAGCATGGTATCCTGTGGTAGACCTTGAGGTGACCTTGGGGTCAGCCAGTTCTGGGTTGCAAGTCCACCTTCACCTGGATGATGAGGATTTTATGGGATTAAAATGCTTAAAAAGTGTTTTTTAGTGTTTAGGAAATGTTAACCCTTCTTGTCATTGTTACTAAATGTTTGCATTTATTCTGAAGGTGAATTTAATAATGTATATGACTATTAAAATCTGAAAAAAGAATTTTAAAGCTGGGATGAATCCTAGCAGTTTTTAAATGCCAACATCATTTATATATATAGTGTTTTTTTGTTTTTTTTTTTTGAGATGGAGTCTCACTCTGTTGTCCTGGCTGGAGTGCAGTGGTGTGATCTCGGCTCACTGCAACCTCCACCTCCTGGGTTCAAGTGATTCTCCTGCCTCAGCCTCCTGAGTAGCTGGGATTACAGGCACGCACCACCACACCCTGCTAATTTTTCATAATTTTAGTAGAGATGGGGTTTCACCATGTTGGCCAGGCTTGTCTCGAACTCCTGACCTCATGATCCGCTGGCCTCAGCCTCCCAAAGTGCTGGAATTACAGGCGTGAGCCACTGCACCTGGCCCATATATATTCTCAAATTACGTAAAATTGATGTTTCAAGAAGTACAGAACAATATTTCCATATTTCTTTTAGTGTGTGCTCTGGTGTTACTGACTCTTAAGTTCTTCCCTAAAAAGTCTTATGCTGCAGTTTCAGATGCTTCTTTTTTGGTCTCTAACATTAATAAGAACTGAAGAGGAAAATCAGTATGCCACATTTCACTGATTTGAAGACACATTTTAATATCTCTGAATTTAGAATATATCTTATAGTTGATGGTGTCATAGTTTAATTGGCAGTATTTTCTCTTAGCGGTCCCTAAAATAATGTCTTTAATTGGCAGCATTTTAGTTTTGATGGAATGAAGTAGTAGATTCTTTGCCTTTTATTGAAGATGTCTAGACTGAAATTTCATTATTGCATCTTTGCCCACAAGATGGTGGTGATGAACAATTTGTCACAGATAAGAAAATTCCTTGGACAATTGAGACAAATCTAGAGCTGGTAAATTTTGCCATAATTGGGTTTTTATTTCCAATTAAATGTTTTTTCTTTTTCTATTGCCAGTTCTAAATATTTTATGATTTGCAGTATAACTACTCTGTGATTCATGTATTTTGGGTAAATAAAACATGCAAAATATGAAGATAAAACTTAGTTCAAATAAATTATAATCATGATAACATGCAAGTTGAAAAGACATTTACTATATTGGTATGTGACTTTTTTTTAATCCTACTTTCTGGCTTCGCCAAGTTTCCCTAGTGGCTATTTTCCCTCTCCTGATTTGAACATATGCTGTTGCTGTTCTTATCATGGTTCCCCTCCCCCATCTTTTAAACATTGCCTATTTGATTGTCTGAATCCAATAATATCAGTTTCCTTTTCCTGAACCTTAAACACTTTAACTTTCATCTTCCTCACATCTTCCTTTTATTTATGCTCCTTTTTAACCCCCATCCATACTTTTTTTTCCTCTTACATTCAGTGATGAGAATTACCAGGATGCTTATGGTCTTTTGCTCCCCATTGCTTCTTGAATTTTACTTCTTCCCTTTAGATTCAGTTTTCCCTCACTGAGTATATCTTTTAGAAGTGTTTCCAGAGAGGGTGATGAGTAGTCAAATGTTTTCAGTCTTTGTTCATTTGTAACTCTATTTGGCCAGCATTTTGGAATGTCTCTTTTAGCTGAGTGCAGAGTCCTGGGTGGCAGCCGCATCACTCCTGACCTCATCCATCTGTTGCAGATGAGAATGTTTTTGCCAGTCAGTCTAATTGTCATTTCACTGTAGTAAGTCTGCCTGATTTGACCTTCTATCCAGGGATAGATTTTCTTCTGTTCAAGGATGGATTTAGCTTTATCATTCTTGGAATTCAGTTGTGCTATTCCAAACCAAAGATTCTCCTCAGTTTTGGAAAATTCTCACCATCGTTTCTCCAGGTAGTGCTGTTTCCCCATGATCATTTCTCACACTCTGGAATTCTTATGAATGTTATTGAACCTTATTATTTTTGCCTTTCTTGTTTCCTCTCTATCGTATCTTCCAGATCTTTCTACTTCGCATATTGTAAGATTCCCTCAGATTTGTTTTCTAGTTTATTACATTATTTTCAGCTGAGCATGATCTCTGCTTAACTTTTCCATTGATTTATTAATATCATTTACTATATTTGTCTAAAATACTTACCTTTTCAAACCAGCCTGTTTCTTTTTATACTATTCTATTTTTTATTGTAGTTTGTAGTATTTTCTTAAATAATTTTAAACATTTACTTTATAGATAGCTTTATTATCTTAGTTTTGGGGTGCTGATTATTCTCTTTGGGGTACCAGTTATTCTCCCTCATAATTATTTTATTCTGTGCCTTGTAATTTTTGCTCCAGAACCTTTCTTCAAGAGTGACACATCATTGATATTGTGGTGGTTCTTTAATCCCGTAGGATATGAAAGCCTTGCTCCATAAGCGGTTCATAGTTCCTTCTGTTGGGGCCATAGGGCTTCAATAAGTCTGGCCCAATTTTTATGTAAGCCTTTCCCCTTGGGGGTCTTACACCTGGAGAGAGTATAAATTCATACCCTATATCTGTGTGAGGCAGTGGAGGCCCGCTGTTTCTAAGGGAACTTTTTTTGCAAGCCCCGACCTCCCTGAGACTATTTTAAGTTGTAGGCTTTGTGCAGGGCATTCAGTTCTAGCTCCCCAGCTGCATGTTGGCCATTGCATGTCTCTTATCTCCACCTGGGCATTCAAACCCTTGTCCATAAGGCTTGTATTTTTTTTTTTTTTTTTGAGACGGAGTCTCGCTCTGTTGCCCAGGCTGGAGTGCAGTGGCGCGATCTTGGCTCGCTGCAAGCTCTGCCTCCCAGGTTTACGCCATTCTCCTGCCTCAGTCCCCTGAGTAGCTGGGACAACAGGCACCCGCCATCACACCAAGCTAATTTTTTGTATTTTTAGGAGAGACAGGGTTTCGCCGTGTTAGCCAGGATGGTCTCGATCTCCTGACCTCGTGATCCGCCCGCCTCGGCTTCCCAAAGTGCTGGGATTACAGGCGTGAGCCACCGCGCCTGGCCGGTTTTTTTGTTTTTTTGTTTTCTTTGAGATGGAGTTTCGCTTTGTCACCCAGGCTGGAGTGCAGTGGCATGATCTCAGTTCACTGCAACCTTCGCCTTCTGGGTTCAAGTAACTCTTCTGCCTCAGACTCTCAAGTAGCTGGGATTACAGGCTCCCGCCACCATATCTGGCTAATTGTTATATTTTTAGTAGAGATTGGGTTTCATCATGTTGCCCAGACTTGTCTCGAACTCCTGACCTCAAGTGATCTGCCTGTCTCGGCCCCCCAAAGTGCTGGGATTACAGGCGTGAGCCACCGCACCCGGCCCCCTAAGACCTGTTGTCTGCAGTTTCCCTGGGCTGCTGCACTTTAGCTTTGATATCTCTTTGTTTCTGTCACATGAGGAGTCCCACTATGGCTGCCTTAGTTCAGGCCCTACCTGGTCACTGTGCTTCTAGTTCAAGCGCCCTCTAAGATTGCTTTGTCTTCCATTTAGGCACCAATATTCTTCATAAGACAGAAAAGCATGAACTCCACAGGTCATTGTGTCACGCCTCACTGTCTGACTTGGTTCTCCTTCATTTCCCCATCTCCCTGTGTACCAGCTTACCTTGACTTCCCCAGGGAATGTGTTTCACGTATTTGTGGCTTGAACATACTGTAGGCTGAGTATCCCTTATCCAAAATGCTTGGAACCAGAAGTGTTTTGGATTTTAGACTTTGGATTTTTGGATTGGGGATACTCAACCTGTACTTTCCAGACAGCCTGTGCCCCAATTTTTGGTCTAGCTAAGATTCAACTCAACTGTTACATTCTCCTTAAAGTTGCCTTTGACCTGGTCTCATTTAAATGATCTTTCTCTTTATTCCTGTTACACATGTGCATAGTTTTGTCTTGGCATTTATCATATGGTTCTCTATATGATGATTTGTCTTGGAGGACAGGCATCATTTCTTACTGTCTTTTTTCAGCTTCAGTCATTGATACACAGTAGCACTCAATAGTTCCTTGTTAAATGAGGATTTATGTTATATGATAACATATGCACAGACCTGCATGTGTGTCTGCTGAGTGTTAATCACCAAGATTGACTTTGAAGAAGTTCAGGATAGTTTTTCAAGATAATGATGTCCTGTTACACGTTCACATGCCAGTTTTTCTTGTTTTCTCCCTCCAGGGCTATTGTGTTTGTTGTGGATAGTGCAGCATTCCAGCGAGAGGTGAAAGATGTGGCTGAGTTTCTGTATCAAGTCCTCATTGACAGTATGGGTCTGAAGAATACACCATCATTCTTAATAGCCTGCAATAAGCAAGGTGCCATCATGTTTTCTTGCAATAATAATTGAGTTTTTTGGGGATTGCTGCTACTAAGAATTATTTCCATTATTTACAGTTGTTATTATTGAGGATGAGATACAATTGCTGTAAAGAACTATAAATTGAAGGATTTTTAATCTTAAAATTTATTTCTACTCCTACCTTTTCACCAGTCTTCTAACCAGAAGACCAAGGAATGATAACCAAGTGACTGCTAACTGATTTTTCTTTGATACAGTGTTTTTTCTGATTATAAATTATTTTACTTTACCAAGTTAAGTTCATCAGATTGACAATATGTGATATCAGATGCACAGTTTTGCAGGGTGGAGTTTCTGCTTTCAAACAAGTTTACTGTACAGCACATTTTATCAAGGGAAGTTTGCTGAAGTTGTTTTCTTTTAACCTGATAACCATTGAAAACTTTTCTAGTAATCCCCAATAAAACTGGGCTTCAGTTCCGTTACCTGTACAATAAGACAGACTAGTGGATCTCTTCAGGTCTCTTCCAGATCTGAAATTCTGATTCTATGAAGAGTTCAAGGCATTTCTCAGAAGTGACCAGATAATATTGATAATGCCTTATTGGGAATGCAATTAGCGTCATTACCTGACCTCTTTATTTCCCTGATTGAATATAAGGAAGGGAGTTATTGTTTATTTGCCATGGGCTTTGTGCCAAACCAGAGCTTGTTTCTTACCTTTAGTACACTTAATGCTTTAAACATACCGTCTTAGGATCAATTGGAAACATGCTAAGTTTACTTTAAAATGACAGATAGGGCACTGTCTTTTGGCATGTGAAGGCACTTCTCATAATCACAGCACTGGTAGGTTTTCTTTCTGTTAAACTGAGTAAACTTATATGTTTTGAATTGAAAGGTCTATAAGGTGTGGAGAACTTTAGGGAAAGCTAAAGTCAGTTTTAGGGTCACCAGCATAATATGTTTATAAGCATTATCTTGGGAAAGCCCCTAGTGCAAGTATAAAGCTTACTTTGATAGAGAAGGAACTAGTGATAAAAGGTCTTTTTTTAAAAAAAGAGAAAAACTTACTGGTTTAAATAGGAATTTTCCTTCTGTGTAAGAAGTCTTGGGGAAAAAACTCATTCTCGTTTAAACTACAACAGTGTCTTTATTTCTTTACAGATATTGCAATGGCAAAATCAGCAAAGTTAATTCAACAGCAGCTGGAGAAAGAACTGTAAGTGTGAAAGAGGCCTGTTGGTTAATTATATATCTTAACACTTAGACTGTAAGCAGCATATTCATGTTTCTTTTGTTTGGTTTTATGTGATTATCACAATTATAGACTGAAGATTAGTGTGATAAATATTTGTTAAATAATTTACAAAATAATGGAATCACAAAAACTTACTAGGGTGCTTATAGATATTTTAAAATTTCATGGAAAGAAGATTTTTTTGAAACCATAAACTTAATTTATTTTACCATTGTTACTAAATCATTTATAGTTGAAAGGTTTTAGAAGCTAAAAAAGTTTACATGCCAACTTGAGAACGGTGTTATTTCAGTGAGTGGAAGTGTTTGTTCACCACTCAATAATGCCTGTGAAGTGGTATTTAAGGATGCATGTAAATAATAAAAAATAAAAACTGAGAATCAGGAAAAAAGAAATTAAAACATTTAAAAGCCACTTTGGAAATTATTGTTGACAGAATAAGAACAGAACACTGAGGAAGACTACAAGTCTTTGATACTACATTATAGCTTCTTAGATTGTTAAAATACTTGGCAATATTATATATCCTGCTTTGAGTGTTTCAAGGTTTGTAAATTGAGCTATAAGCTTTTGAATTTTAAGGCATCTAGCATGTCTTCTGCGTTATGCCAATTTGTAAGAGCTAGCCAAAAGCTGGTGTAGAAGAAATGATCAACATTTATAGTAAAGCAAGTTATGTTTTCTTATTGCTTTTGTGTAAGGCCTTGAAAAGGATCTGATGAGGAAAAACTGTATAAATTCAACTTTTAGAAACTTTTCTCCCCACTATGACTTACTGACTCCCTTATTCATTTAAGAAGCACCTGTAGTGCATCTAGTGGATGCCAAGACTGCAGTTGGGAGCAGCTGTAGGAGGAAATGTGTTCCTGTACTCAGGAGCTTAGAGTCTGGTAGAATCTAGTCAGCTTCGGGCATTGGCAAACTCCTGCCTGGGCCTGCAAGCCAAGAGTAAATCGACATTTTTAAAGGGCAGGTAAAAAACAGAAGAAAAATATGCGACAAAATATTTAATTTCTGGCTCTTTGCAGAACAATTTTGCCAGCCCTGCCTATGCCATTTTCAGTGGTTCCTTTCCCGTCTGGAGCTGCGAGTTTATCACCCTGTCCTCCTGTGCTCTTGATGCTCACTCTCTTGGATTGTATCTGTTGCTGCCATTAGGTTAATAAGGACATTGGAACAATTGGATGGTTGGGTTTTTCTAAAAATTCTCTTGAAATTGTTGGGAATTGTTTTGGGGAAGCCAAAACTGTCATAATGTTATTTGTGAATCAGTCTTGGGTTATTTTTAACAGTACAGTCCAAGTCTCCCGTGGTTAAAACACATGTTTTCCATAGGCTGTTTGCTTTTCACTCTATAGACTTAGAGAAAAACAATACAGAAGCCAATCCTTTTTTAAAAGCATTGAAAGGCAATGCTTTCTTAAAAGGCAGTGAAACAAAATGTTGACAAATTGTAAAGGTTAACATCAGTTAAAATTCGGAATCTGACTAATTTTAATCTCAGATTTATGAGAATTAGGCCCTGTTAGCTTAGAGGCATTTCATAGTCTCTCAATAACACGGTATATTATATTTACATGGCCTTGTGGCAAAAGCTGAATACATGTTTTACTTTTTTCCTTAAAAAATTTTTATTGTAAAATATCTTACTTATAATAGTATATATGTCACATGCATTAAGCTTAAAAAATATTAAAATGAATACCTATGTACTCACCACCATGCCTAGAAGGCCCCTGTTTCTCCCCAAAAGCTTTTCCCTCAAGAGGTCAGCAATATCCAGTTTTGTATTGTTTTTTAAAAATACTTTTACAGTGTGTGTGTGTGTGTGTGTGTGTGTGTGTGTGTGTGTTCCTTCCTAAACAAGGTATTGCTTAGTTTTGCCTGTGGATTCTTCACTAATTTTGAAGCAACTTTACAGAACAAGAAATGCTTTATTTTGTAAGAAAGAAGATTGGCAGCATGTATTCCTCTGCTTCTGGATAGCAGAAAGGGGAAGGGGAGGCCGACAAATGAGTGTTGCTTATGCACCCTTTATTAGGGCCAGCAGGTGGCAGTAAGGGGACTTACATTGGGAAGGTTTTGGTGGTTAAAGAGGTTGGATAATAGTAATTCTGCCCTAGTTAGATATGAGAATCTGGAGTTGGTGGATTTCTAAACTCCATATCCAAATAGACTCAAGATAAAAATACATACCCTATCTACCCACACTTAACTTTCAGAAACTTATGTTTTTATAACACTTAAAGCATGTATTTTAAAAATATATTTTTAGACGGCTTCATTCAGTAGATCCTCTTAGAAGGGGGCCTTGGGCTGAAAGAAAGTTGGTGTGACCTGGTCTACTGCTGACCTGCCTTCTAGCCCTGTGAGGTCTGACCCCCCCAGCCCGCCCCACCTACCTCACCTCTCTGTCCAAGAGAGGGACTTATAAATGCAAAGGATTATTCAACAATCTTAATAGCATAATTGGCAATTCTATAGTTAAGTTTTAAATGAGTGCTGAAATGTTTAGAAACTAATATGATTTAATTGCTGTATAAAAATTTTGCCTCCTGACTTCTTTCCTTTTGCCCCACAGCAACACCTTACGAGTTACCCGTTCTGCTGCCCCCAGCACACTGGACAGTTCCAGCACTGCCCCTGCTCAGCTGGGGAAGAAAGGCAAAGAGTTTGAATTCTCACAGTTGCCCCTCAAAGTGGAGTTCCTGGAGTGCAGTGCCAAGGGTGGAAGAGGGGACGTGGGCTCTGCTGACATCCAGGACTTGGAGAAATGGCTGGCTAAAATTGCCTGAGAGGCAGCTCTAAAGCACAAGACCTGGATGTGTGACACACAGTTTTGGAAAAAGGTCTGTGGTAGTCTGGAGTTGATGAGGAAGGGGTACAAGATGTGGTTAGAAACATTTCTTTGTTCTGGAAACAAAGTACTGTTGAAACCAGCTTGGAATTTTTTTTTTTTTTTTTTTTAAGTTCAGTTCTCCCTTATGGCTGCCTTTCAAACAAGTACCTTTTATCTGATGCCTGTATCTTCCCTTTGTTAAGGTGTAACTTGATGTAGGGTCAAGGTTTTTGTGACAACAGGCAGACTCCACACAGAGAGGATATGATGAGAATATGGCCATCACCTGAAAAGTTTTCTTATCTTCTGTGCTTTTGGTCCCTGGAAACAAATCCGCCTATGTATGAAGCTAGTTGATTTCCAGTTGCACTATTTCCAGTTGCCTCTGAAGTTCACAGGCAATACATTGTCTAGTCCTTTGCGAATTTCTCTGATTTGTGGGCACAGTTATGAAGTTTCCCCACATGTGAAGACAGGTACAAAATAGCAGAGCCAAGCAGACAGTGGGTCTATTCTTCATTAGCTCAGTGACTTGTCCACACTCGTCTTAGCACTTACGTTTCAAAAGCTTGTCACAAACCCTTGGAGTCATTCCCAGATAATAGAACTGGAAATGATAAATCCCCTAATGCCAAGGGTCTAGTGTGTTCTTAGTGGTTATACTGGGAAGTGTGTGGAGATTTAGGTGCTGCTCTGCTGCTCTGGATGGCTGAAGGCTCCTGGGCCATCTTCATGTGCTGCTTGAAGAGCTCCTATTTTGTACTCCTGGCTAGAATGCTGTGGAACAAATACAAAGTGAAAAAAGTTCTCTGTAGATTTCTGAAGTGCATATTCATTGATGCCAAGAAAAAAAAAAAGTTGCCTTTTTGAAGTGATGTTTTTTGCTGTCTTCTTAAACACAAGGCTTTTTTGAATGATTAGTATATTTCATGGTAAAGAAAACAGCCTGTCTGGCTCAAAGCAATTAAATAGAATGTAATGGTGAGTACAAATGAGTGCACATGTCAGGACTCAGGTCTAACTCCTTGTCTCCTGAGCCTAAAGATTGCAACATACACAAGAACACACTCCTATTCCTACCCCACACACTCAGGGACAAGCCCAACTAAAGCTTACAAGGAGACCAGGGTGGCTCTGTCCAGGGGAGAAGCCAGTTATGGAACAGTGCATTGAGAGCCATGGTAGGAGAGGCCCACAGTTCTCTGGAGCATGCAGCAGGGGCACCCCACCTGGCCTTGAGGATCAGGGGGAGTCAAAGGATAAAGCATGGGGCTGATGACGTCTGAGGGAGTGTGATCCTCCATGTATGGCCTCTGCCTGCTGTCTCACATGTCCCTTCTGGTGGTCACTTGGGCTCTAGGAGTATACGTCACCTCAGACCATCTGGCAGAAATACTCCAGGCTCCTACCCCAAAGCACATGTCAGCCTTGCTGCTGGAGCACGAAGACAATGTAAATGAAACATGAAATGGAGGAGTTGTGAGACCCTGACCCTGAGTCCTTACTTGAAAGCTGCTGCTGGTGTTCTGAGTGTCTTTTGGACTCTTATTTCTTGCCCTTTTCCTTATTAGGCAAGCAGTAACTTAGGAAGTAGGTAAGAGCAATAAATGTGACATGTTATGTCATCATAGTAGGAGCTCATGGGAATAAAAGTCAGTGGCTTGATGCTTCTGTTAGAGGCATGTGTCCCTCTCAGCCTCTTTTATTTTTTTCTGGTTAATATCTTACTTTATTGGAGGAAGCAGCACACCAGAAAAAGTGACTGAAGAAGGGCTGCAAGTTTGAGTTTGATTCAAGGCCTAAAGAAGGTCTTCCAAAAAAGGATAATTCTATCTGGAACACTGGTCTCAAATGTTAGTGGGCATCAGAATTACCTGCGATGCTTGTTAAACTGATTTGAGGACCCTACTCTCAGACAATTTGATTCAATAGCAAGTCTGGTATTGCCTCAGGAATCTGCATGCTTAATAAGTCTTTTGTCAGTCGCATGGCACCCCTAGAGATGATCTGGCCTGGAGTGTCACGTGTGCCTTTACTTTGTTTTTAAAGTCTCTTGGGGCACACACCCTGCTGAGTTTTTCTGACAGGGTCAAGTCAGCAGGCATGGGAACTCTGACCTTGCTTCTTACTCCTGTACTAGTAGCAGGCATTCCGTTCTTGTGGCTTTGGGCCAGGATGAGGTCATGGTGACTAGTCTTTGGGAACTGGGAAGGGTTTTGATGGGAGGTCAAATGTGCTCTCTCCACTCAGGTGGTGCCCTTTTGTGGCCCTGAGGGCATTTGACTAAAGTAGGCCCATTTCATGAGATGGGCAGGTGTGGCCAGAGTAGAAGGATGGATGTCAGGTCTTGGAGACGGGCCAACTAGGCACGACTGTATGACATAGATGAGACTTTTGAGCTTGAAACACCTTGGGAACATGGCAGTGTATGGACACCGAGACCTCCTAGGACAGCAGCTGCCTAATGCAAATGACCCTGTTCCCTGCTAAGGCTGCAGTGAGATGCCCTCATGGAGGGGCAGCTGTGATGAGTGAGCCCCAGGCACTCTGTTGGTGAATATGTCCACTTCTGGAATGGAATCTCCCTAGTGGGTATGGACACGGGCAGACCCAGAGGGGTCTAAGCACTGCACTGTTTCTTCCTTTGGCTCCTCTCCAGTCCGGGCCTTGGTAGCCTCTCCACTACCAGGTGCCTGACAGTCTACTGGGGGTTCCTAATCAACAGCAGCTGCTGTTGGTGGGGAGTCCCTGGGGTCTGTCACTTCTTCCCACTGCCTCTGTCTCAGTGCCTCCTGGGCTGTCAGTGTTCCCCTGTGGTCCTGCCTTGTATGAAGCGCTGGCCATGCTCTGTTGACTTAGATCATTTCAGCCAGTCTATGTTTTTTCTTGTTTTTGAAGTTTTGGGTTCAGCACAATTGTCAAAGCTTCAGTTGGCTCATGCCTGTCCTCACCTGAAGGCCATCAGTGGCAATTAAGATGCCTATCTCTTTATCTCATCCCTTCACACATTTAAGGAAAGGTGATCACCCACCTACCTTCATTTAAATGCGCAGGAAAACAATCCCACTTCCCTTCAACTGTAAACCTCGAGAAACTTGACTGCTCACAAGAGCCTTGTACGCATTTATCCATTGGGTAAAGGCCACGCCTTGCAGCAGACCATGGAAATACTAAACAAAACGCAATTCCTGCTTTAGAGGCTAGTAGCCCCATTCTGAGGTTAAGAAACGTGCCCTTTCAGTGTGGTTTCCCTGCTCTCTCAGTAGTGTGAGCTCCATCACTGCTGCACTTGACTCCTAAGCGCTGTGTGGGCTTGTGGTCAGCTGCCAGCCATGCAGCCCCAACGGGACTGCCACTTTTCCACTGGCCTCTGAAGTGCCAGTGTTCCCATGATGCTGATGTGTGAGGCACATGGCCATGTTCTGTTGACTTGAATATATTGTTTCAAGGGTTTTTTTGTTTTGTCGAGACAGAGTCTCACTCTGTCGCCCAGGCTGGAGTGGCAGTGGTGCCGTCTCGGCTCACTGCAACCTCTGCCTCCCGGGTTCAAGTGATTCTTCTGCCTTAGCCTCCCCAAGTAGCTGGGATTACAGGCCTGTGGGACCACTCCTGGCTAATTTTTAGTAGAGATGAGGTTTCACCATGTTGGCCAGTCTGTTCTCAAACTCCTGGCCTCAATGTCTCTTCTAATCAAAGATGGCTTCCTTGAGGTGGCAGCAGATTGGAGGGTGTTCTGGAACCTTTATAAGCTTTAAAAGGAAAGGTAATTAGTGAAGTTGGACTTGAAGAAGAGTGAGATTCCCGGGCAAGGGCAATTTACCTAATCTTGGCCTTTGTTCCTCTTTGGATTGGTCCCAGGACTGTGCTGGCTTTCTGAGCATCTTTTAGTCTGGAGATAACTGAGACCTGGAGGGGCCACTCAGGGATGTTCCTAACTGGTGTGGTGTGGGGCTGGGGATGGAATATGGCAGCTAGATGTTGTCAAAGGTCATTATAGTTCACCTTAAGTTCTTGCCTTTAAATGGCTTTCTGAAAATCACCAGAAGCATGAGAGATCCAGTCCCTGTACCCTCTCCCCCCTTCCTAATCCCCTAGCCATGGCAAGCAGAGTGGGGATGAAGGAATATATCGTACCCCTGACTCAGTTCTGCCTGGAGGCTCCCTTCCCATCAGCCTTTCAGCAGAATGGAGATTAGGGGAATGCGTGTGGATTTACTCTCATGAGTGTGTCCCATCTTTACCCCTTCGGAGTTGGTGGACAGCCCAACTCCACCAGTAGGAGGAAGAAGCAAAGCAGCAAAGGGCTTTAGGTAGTGGACATACCACCCAGGCATGACAAAAGGGACTCTGTGGAGCACACACTTCAGGAACTGTTTTTGAACCCCCCCATTTATGACTGCACCACTTAAACACAGACAAGAAGCTTTGTTTTGAGAATTAGGACAGTTTATTGTTTGACCAACATGCTGAGTCTTTTCCACATTTTACACAGTTTAATGTGAAATCAACATGGCGGCTATGTCTTCTGAGCCCATAACAGATGGAATTGCCACCCTCTGTGCTCCTCACAGCCAATCACTTTAAAGGGATGGGTGAGGGGAAAGTGAGGGGAGAAGTGGACACACACCGCGAGATGCAGGCTGGCCTTCAATGCTATGGAGGCTTCCCACCTCCTGAAGGAACCATCTAAACCCCTGCTGCAAGGATTTCCTGATGAAACCACACACTGCTGGGAGTGCCAACCAGACAGGGGTCTGGAGTCCAAGGAGTTTGCACATTGAGATCCCAAGGTTTTGGAACACCTAAATAGTTCATGTCAAACAAAAATTCAAAGGGTGTCCTGATCTGTGTGGGTGCCCATGACAATCAATCAGAGTAGACTTGGGGACTGGCCCTTGTGCAGTAGAGGAGCCCAAAATACCACCAATATTCTCACTCATATGCTGGGAAGAACCTAGTGTCCTAACCAAAAAGAGTAGAGATGGTCTGAGGAACACACCCACACACAGCAGTCCTTGCTGTGTAATAAATATGGAGTCACATTTGTTCACACACAGGGCAGCAATGGATGAAAAATGGAAACTTCACTGGTTCTGATCACTCCTAACTTGCTGGGTGATCTTAATAAGCAAGTTGCCCTTCTCCATCCTGGTTTTCCTGCCTGTAGACAGGAAAAGTTGTGACAGCTCTGCTTCACATAGCTGTAACAAGGTGACAATGCCTCACATTCTTTGGGGAGAGGCAGTTCGGAAACGAGTGTGCGCACAATCTGCTCGGTTGATGCACACAGACATCCTTCTGTTCAGCTGCCCCTCAAGTGGCTCAGACATGCCTCACTGTCCTCGGCTACCTGGTCCCATCTCATCCTGACATCCTCACCTGCCTTCCATCTTGTGAAGGAATGAGGCTGCTCTACCTGCAGGATGCTGAAGCCAGGAGGGCCATCCCTTTATTGTCACAACTGGTATCCCAGGGCAGGGCCTCCCCGCACTGGCTAGCCACCAGGATGATGCAGACGTTGCACCCCAGATGTGTCTGCACTCTTAACTACCACCATTTCAATCCTTGTTTCTGTTGCCAGAGATACTGAAACTGGTCTGGCCATTGCTCCCCTCAGACCTGGGAACATGACTGAATGTTTAAGGATGACAAGAAGAGAGCAGCGATAGATAGCAAGGAGGCCTCTGACCAAGGGAAACTGCTGCCAACAGCTACCAAGCCAACTAGCCTTGGATCACACAACTGCAGCCATGGTGCTCATGATTCTGATGTCACACCTTCATGTTGATGTATGTATGATCACCCAGCAAGTTAGGAGTGATCAGAACCAATGTGTTTCCACTTGTAAATAGGCTGTTTGCTTTTTCCATCTTACACTCAACTTTCCTGATGCCTGCAGAACAGGAGCTTTGTTGATAAGCTTTTAAGATTCACCCCCTTCACTCCCACCATCCCCAAAAAAGAAGGCCAAGAGGATCCTGCTAATCTGCCAGGTCACGTCTAGTCTTTGGGGAGAGGGACTGAATTGCTCAATTGAGAACATTTCCTCAAAGGAATCCTCCAATTTGCCCTCTGCTAACCCATCTGGATTCAGCAAAGATGCAATGCTCTTGCTGGGGTGCTGAGGCAATGCCATGACATCTTCTTCAAGAGCACCTAACAGTTTATTATGGAACCTTAACTCTGTGCCAATTCTACCTGCAAGCAAGGGGACAGGGATGGTGCCTGCTCAAGACAAAAATCAGGGAACCAACAACTTCTGAAAAAGAGGTCTGGCTGCCTTTCCACACCCCAGGAAGGGAGGGGCGGAAACCGCACGTGCCGAAGGGAGCGCCATGGAACCACTGAGATGGGAGGATGGGAGGAAGCCACCCTCAGCCTCAGAGGCCAAGGGGCTGGGGAGAACCCAAACTCAAAGAGAGGATGTTGTGTGCATGCTAGGAAAGGCAGGACTCACTAAGGCCATGTCAAACCAAATGCTATCTTTTACTGCTCCTCTAGGCCAGGATGGAAACACAGTCCACGGTGCCTTGGATGTGTGTGCCCCTGAGAAGGGAACTGAGTTTCTACTGTTTTATGGGATGTTTTTTTAAAAAAGCTAATCTTTAGTGCCAAGAAAATAAAAATCTACCATACGTTCATTCACTGAGACCCAGTGCAGATTCCTGTAAATGGGGCGGTCTCAGAGGCCACAGGTGATGGCCCCCGCTGCCAACCAGGCAGGACACTGTCATGTGGACTCCTGTAAATTCTCTCGAGGTAAGTAAGCACTCTTCCAACAAGCACCACTTGGGGGTGTGCCCATGGTGGGGGGACACTGGCCCACACAGGCATGCACACCCGTGCATATAAAGTACATAGAGAAATGGTGGAGATATTCCCGTGGGCTATGTTTGCCTGTAGTTTAACACAACTATGCATTATTTTATTGATGGCAAGACAATCACAAGTTATTTGACAATATTAAGTATTTCTTATTTCAACACGTTGCAGTACTTTTGAATTTCCAAAACTTATCACAATGCAAGTTCCAACTTGAGAGCAGGAGAAACAAGAATATACATTGAGCACATGTATCTCCGTGAGGATGTGTTTGTGGAAGGTGTATACACAAGTCTATCTCTATATATAATTATGTACACACATATAAAAACTAAACACATGACATCTGAAACACGTTCAAACATTGGTCCTTGCCTTCTGCAAGAGGTGCTCAGTGGGATCCTGCTTCCTCTCTTCTTCACCTGAAGATAAATTCCTTGCTAGAGATGAGCTCTGGCATACAGCCTCCTAGGCAGAGGGTGTGTGGCAGGCCCACTGCACAAATATCAGTCCTGCCAGATTCTGCTGCACTTACTGCCTGCCATTTCAGATTAATTTCTGAGAAGTTTCAAAATTCATTCCAACGACCTTGTGGAGTTCAGCCCACCATACCCCAGATGGTCATTCATCCCATCTATGACATGCCCAGCAGCAGCCTGGAGGGAGAGCCAATGACAGCAGGGAGGGTGGGGTTTACATTTTGGCCAGACTCACTGCCCATTGCACCTGGCTCTGTGCAGGCTCAGGGCAGTGAGTCTGAGTCTATTTGGAATGCTGGCCAAGTAGGTTATATCACTTAGTGGGAAGAGAGAGTTCTCTTCAGAGACTTTGCAGATTCTCAGGACTAAGCCATTCTCAGGAATGAATCAAAAATGGAAGAGATGGCTCTCTGGGGGCAAGCAGCCTTCTGGAGACCCCACCTGAACCACATCCTCAGGTGACCACAGCGCAGCCACAGTAGCCACAAAGATATGTCCACAAAGACTTCAACTGCGCCATGCCACTGGGGTGAAAACATAGCAACAAATCAGCTTTTCCAGAAAGCACTCAACAATATTAGCAGCTGAGGCTCTAAGAACATGGATCTTTCAAGGTGGTGGTTCTGCAGACAACACCCCCCCCCCCCCCCGCCTCCCCATCACAGAGGATCAACTCCAGGTGGTCCAGCTTCCCTGACATCCAGGAGGAAGGCTTCAGGATGGCACACTGCCCAACATCACACACTGAGTTTCTTAGACTTGGCCCAGGCATGTGTACTGACTGCTGGGTGGGCTGGTTAAAATATTTTCAGAAGTACACATGGCACCCCAGTCTATAAACCACGCACCACGCAGCTGCAATTGCCAACAGCACCTCGTCCTTCTGATGGCCTCTTGCTCTGCCAGTCCCTGAGGGCACAGAGAACACAAGGTTGCCTGTACCCTCAACCCCCTTCAAGGCTTTTCAGGGAAAGAGAAGGAGAGGTGGGAGCAGTTCCTCTGGGGGCTGCTGCCGGGCTGCCTAGAGCCCACAGACCTTGGTCTCAGCTCCACACGAGGTTGACGACCCACTCTGGCCATGGAAAGACAAGAGTCAGAGCTACCTTTTCAGAGGCTGATGTGTTCAACCAATGTTTGATTTAACTGGAGTAGGGCCTAGAGAGTGGGGCCAGATGGCCCCAGACTGAAGCCTAATTAATTTGCTCAGTTAATTGTTTTAATTTATTGGGCTGGGGATAGGAGGAAGGCAGAGGTGATGAATGGTTCAAAGAGAACAGGAAGGAGGAGGTGTGTGGAAAAGGTTCTCTATAAGTTTACAAATATACAAAAACAAAAAGCACATCTTTCAAATAAAAATGACTACATTTTTATCTGGCAAAAAATTGTATACACATGATTTAAATTTTTTTTAAATTTTAACAGTTTTTGGCAATCTTAATAAAGTACAATATATTACAACCAAACCAAAAAATAGTTGTTTAAGTAACAGCCGTTAAGAGTGATGTGATCCCTGATGCCCAGCCTCCCTCCCCATCCCACCCTACTCCTAAAGACAGAGAGAAAAGAAAAATCCTCCCATCTTGATAACTCGGTTCCCTCCCCCCTTAGGAAGCTAGCCAATAGGAAGCAACACAACAAGCAAGGAGTGTCATGGGAAGCCACAGGTCGGCTCTGCATTAGCAGGAGCAGCCGCCCTCGCTGGCCGGGGGCTCCTGGGGTTTGTCCAGCTTGATGTCGATCACTGCAGGGGGACGGGCTAAGGAAGATGACTCTCCTGGACAAGCTGCCACCCCACTTAGCCCTGTGCACTGTACCCTTTGGCTACTGCTCTGTTTCTCTGCAAACACCTAGGGACTTGGCTCTTGGTTTGGCTGGGCTAGGAAGGATGCAATACCAACTCCACCTTGCCTCCTCTTCCCTTCACCCGTCCACTTCCCCCAGCGCCTGTCCACCCAAGCAAAGCCTGTCTTGCCTGGGCCGTGGGATCACCATCTATACCAAGGCCAGGGAGTCCCTTTCCCAGAAGCCTTCCCTCGACCAGTGCTCAAATGCCAGCTCCCAGCCCTGGCCTCAGCCCAGTTACCTGTCAGCCCCACTCAAAGTGCAATGGAGATGAAGAGCCTGCTGGGTTCACATCTCAAAGCACAGGGGTATGTGGGCCTTGCCTAATTGGCAGCAGGAGCAAACCCTTCAAGCTTTAGTCAGAACACATCACTTAGATCCTGAGGATGGTTACTGTAAGAAGCCACATCCATGGGGCCTAAGCACAGCCCCCTCGCCAGCCCTTTCCACTGGTGCCCCCGGGGGCTGTGGGCTAAAGAAGCACTTATCAGAACCACCACAGGGACTGGTTCCAAATGCACAGCCAGGCTGGCCCTCTGCCTTCCTCATCGGGCTCAAAACCAACACTGTGAGATTTTAGCCTTGCATCAAACCAGACCTAATTATAGCTGAGGATCAGGCCCTTTGATACCTCACAGAATTGCTCTTCCTGGACAGGGATTGCCTTAAGACAGGGGTGTGTGGGGTGTGGTGGTATAAGAAACACTGTTTTGGAACTTCTTGCTGGCATCCTAAGGATGCTTTTGTGGCTCCTATTTGAGGACAACAGGAGAGGTTCTTTTGTTTTAAGTACTATGAAAAGCCATGCTTCTCCTGAAGTTCACATTCTCTTTCCTTGCCTTGGCTGTGAGGATGCTCAGAGCCAACTTTTTGGCCACCTCTAACAACCATGCGGCCATGGCATACATTTTGAGTATGACTTTATCTCTGACTTTTCTTTGCTTTTCCTACCTTTATTTTCCCCATGTGTGTGTGTACACACATACACATACAACTTTATCTTGTGTGTATGTATATGTATCTTATACCATGGCAGCCTATAAATGAGTAAATAGATACTAAGCCAGTGCCTTCCTTCCCACTGCCCACTGCAGCCCACCTTTTGTTCTCTCTACCCTAGTCAAGCAGCCTGCTTCTCTACTGCCCATCATTTTTGGTAAACCCACTGCCAGGAATGCCCTGCTGTTTCTCTCTGCCAGCTGCAGTTCTATGGCCCATGCCGGCAGTGCAGTCCTGTTCTGTATTGCTGGCCTGGGCACAGGCCTCCTTGAGGTCTCCTGGTCTTCTCTGAGTGCCCCTCTGAGCCCAGCCAGCTCTCTCTCAGCATGGTGGCTTCCCAAAGCCAGCTCTGGTGACAATCATGTCACACTCTGCTACAGAAACAAAGTGTCCACGGATTTCTCACTCTGGCATTTAAGGCCTCCCCATTTAGGGTCACCCCAAGCACCTGTTGACGCTAGCTTATCCCCTTCCCTCAATCACACACCAAGGCTCCACCAACCAGATTTTCCCTGCTTTAAACACGTCCTATGCTTTCCTTCTTTCCTTTGTTCATGCTGTTCTTTCCTTCTAGAAGTGATGCTCCCTCCCCCACACCCAGCCTTCCTCCCCATCTCCACCTGTAAAAATGTCCTCATTCCTTGGGCCAGGGTGCACGCATTAGTGGCCTCTCCTGCTGAGAGCTACCTCACTTCCACATTAGACCTCGTGCAGTGGGGAGTAAAAGAGCCACCTTCCAGCTGGGAAGCTGAGGTGCCCAGGTACAAACCCAAGGCTATCTTGACCCCAGCCTTCTACTTTCACTGACCTGGCTGTGCTAAGCCCCTTGTGGATGGGCTTCTCAAACTCAACACTACTGACATTTTGGGCCAGACAATTCCTTGTTATGAGGGCGTCCTGTGCACGGAGGATGTTCAGAAGCATCCCTGACCACTATCTATGAGATGCCAGTTAAACCCCATTCCCCCTCCCCCAATTTATGGTGAGCCAAAACGTCTGAAGACATTGCCAAATGTCCCCTGTGGGGAGGGGAGGGAAGGGCTATCAGTCCTGGTTGAGAACTAGTGGTCTAGCTTGAAGGTTGGCCACTGTTACAGCATTACGTTCTGCCCAGTATTGAAGTCACCTACGACCACTAAAACAATCTCATGCGCAATTTGATCACAATACTTTTGTACACTGCACAGCAATAGTTCTCAAATGGATTGCATCAAAATTTTCTGGGATGTTTGTTAAAAATACGTCTCACTGGGTCCTACCTTGGTAGATGTGGGGATGGGCCCCAGATGTGTGTTTTTAACAAGTTCTTTGGAGAGTCCCAATGCACAGACATCCGGGAAACCAATTCTACTGATACTTCTAGAACAGCACTGTCCAAAGAACTTTCTCCAGTGATGGAAATATTCTATATCTGCACTGTCCAAGATGTCACCATTAGCAACATGGGCAACTGGGCACTTGCAAGGATGCTAGTGCAAGTGAGGAAATGAACTTTTAATTCAACTGAATTTTAACTAATTTAAGTCGGAACACCCACATGTGGCTGCAGAATTGGAGAGCACAGGCCCAGCTCTTCCGCTAGGAGCCTTCCCAAAGGCTCTCATTTAATGACACCTCCTTCCTTGTTACGCCACATGCTGCTGAAATGCAGTGCTCAGGGGCTGCCCGCTGATTGAGAGGACAGGGAAGAATGACTGGACCCATGTCTAAATAATGTCCCAGAAGGGGAAACTCACGGTTTCTCACAAGCCTCAAGAGGTTAGATATGTGCCTTTCCGGCAGGCATGGCCAGAGCACACCCGCCTCTTCCCTCTGGGTCAAGTGTGGCCCATCACGGGCCACATTCAGTGCCCAATGTCCCTTCTCCCTGGTTCCTGGAAGTGATGGGTGGGCCCAGACAGCCTGTTACAAACTTACCCCCTACTGCTGGATATGCTTCCCCAATCCCAGTGCCTCTGACTCTACTGCAGCACAATCCTGTCTGTATCTGGAATGTCAAAGCACACCACAGCCCCATCAGAGAGTGCAACAGGGCTGTGGAATCCAGTCATTTGGATGTGGTTCCAGCTCTGAATTAAGGAGCTGGGAGGCCTTGAGCATGCTCTATCTGGTTTGCGGCGTCACTGTCCTCACCTGCTTAGAGCCACTTCATGAAGTGCCCACACTACTGCTCTTTCTTTGCGTAAGCCAGCCTTGTTCAGAAACAGTCTGGGGCCCATGTGATGGGCGCATACTGTATTTGGGTAGAAAGTGGGGGTTGGGGGGTTGTGTATGTAGAACCAGTAAGGGGCTTATGGCTCTACCATTTGGTGGCCCCTTGGCTCCTACTTTGTTGAGAGCAGACCAGTGGAGGGTGCTGCTGGGCAGAAGTATTGGCCAGAGCGGCCCTGAGGGGTCCTCCTGTCTCGAACGTGAAGAAGAGGTGCAGCAGCCCCCCATCTAGACCTGCAAGCAGCAGACGGAAACCTCATGCCACACATTCACCAAGTCCTGAGCTGAGCAAGTGAGGCCAGGTGTGAACAGTTTATACAGCGCCACAAAGCAGTGCTTCTGTGTGGCTGCTCTCAATGTGGAACACAATTATGAACATGACCCCAAAGCACACACCTTCAAAACACCTGGATTTGGACTGTGAGTAAGCAGAAATGCCAACACCCCATCCCGAAAGAAGCAGAATGACGGCTGCCTCTGCCTGGTCCCTCTGGGACCTCTGGTGGCCGCTCTAGCACCTGCCTCGTGAGAGGCCCAGCAAGCTGGCTCCTGGGCAGAAGTGAAAGGATGGGGGTACATCTACCCAGATGAGGGGACCCCTTAGCTAGAAAAAGGGACACAGGTCACAACACCCTGTGCAGTCTGTTTGCAACCTGCCATGTATCCTTTCTCCCAAGGGGCCCAAAGGTCAGTGGTAGCTGGATGAAACGCTAGGCATACCAGGACGATGACGAGCTCACTGTCACCCTGCACTCAGCCCAGTCTGACCTGACTGTGGGCCCAGCCTGGAGCCCTCAACAGCGCGACTCTGGGAGAATGTGAATGAAACGATCACCACTCACCCCGGCCAGTGTGCCACACCTTGGGAGCTGGTGGGATGGAGAGCGGGCAGTGCAACCCTTCCCCTTGCTGGCAGGCACAGCGGAGATCGCCTGCACCTTGTCTGCCCCTCTCCCTTGTTCCTGCTCCTATGTTTGCCCTTCAGGTTGGCTTCTGTATGTTCCTGGAACCTCAAAGGAGTCCCATGTGACAGGTGATTCCACAGGGGCTCTCTCCTGAGCTCTGGAGCCTGTCTCTGCTACTGAGAGCCGTGGGGTGCCCTAGTTTAAGTTTCTGAGCCTCAGTTTCCTTATCTGTGATTGGAGTCTCATAACTGACCAACCAGGAGATACTCCTCAAACCCCCTCCTCTCGGCCACTGCTTGTCCTCTGGTGACACACAGACCGTGGGACTGCTGGGGCACCTGCTCCTTGGTGAGCCTTCCTGACCCCCCCGGGGGGTGGGTCTCGAGTCTGCTCTGAGAGCTCCTTGAGCAAGGCTGGAGAGGCCTAGCTTCCCTCCAGGCCTGTGTCAGGCTCCCCCTTGCTGCAGCCCTGGGACTCCTGGTGTCCTGCCCGCCCTGCCCCAGCAGCTCCATGAGGCCTCCAACATTAAGCTGTGTGCTTCTTTTGCTTTTGATTCTCATCAGCCCAAAGGTGCCCTTCCATCTTCCCAGGGCCCTTCTTTGATCTGTCAGGGATGTCTACCCTCAGAGGCCTATAGGATCAGTGGGGGATGTTGGAGAGCTGCTGTGTAGGGACAGGTCCACTGTAAAGGATGCCAGCCAGGGATCTGCATGCTTGTTTTCTGGTGGCTTACTCAGGCAGGGACATCTGACTAGATGCAGGGGAGGCCCAGGTGTGGGCAATGGCTTCCCCTGCTGAAACAGTTTTCATCTGATTCTCTCAAATGCCCTTAGAGGGACAGTGTCCCACATGGAATAGGGCTGGATATGGAGGAAGCAAGCCTGAGTGTGAATCCTAACTGTAACTTACATGCTGTGTGACACTGGGCAAACCAGACTACCTCTCTGAACCTCAGTTTCAGCATCTAGGTGTCTCTTCAGGTTGGGGCTGGTTTGTGGGTGATGCGCAATGGTCCCACAGATCAGTGGGGAGCCTCAGGAGCTGTTCAGGGCTGGGTAGAGAAGGTGGGCGGGACAAGGAGGGGGCATCTGTCTGAAGGGGGGAGCTGTCTTGAGTAGACTGAACCACGTTGAGATCATATCCCCAGTGACAGAGACTTCCCTGCAGTGGAGACTCTGCCTGTGTTCATGAAACCCATAAACATGCTCGCTGTAAAGAAGGGCAAAGTCGCTGTTTCTCACTCCCCACCCCACAGCATCACTCTGTGCACACCCCTTTGGTATCTTCCTGCTATTCTGGAAGAAGAAGTAGATGGTTAGAGCCAGACGGGGGCTCCAAACCATAGGGTTCAGCTGCATCCCGCCTAGAGGAGGCCCCGTGCCATTCGCGGCAGACCAGGGAAGGCTGGGCGGGGACTGGGCGAGTGTCTGTCCACTGCACTAACATATTCAGTGAATAAATGGCTTCTATACATCTTTTCACTCACTTGTCAAAGGAAAAGGATACTCCCTTCTTTGCTTTTCTCCTGGACATTCTCCATTCCGGGTAGAGCCGACGCCACACGTCGAAAAAGCTGGAAAGATGAAGAAATGCAGTGTGAACCCCAACCCTGGCCCTCCCCTCTGCTCCTCACTGCACCTGCACCCTCACCCCTCTTCCCCTCCCAACCTGCAGCTTTACTCTCCCATCTGCCCAGCGGACGGTGCCCTCAAAGGCAGGGGCTGTGCCTATGTTCTCTCTCCCCCACCTCTCACAGCATTGGGTCTGGGCAGGCCTCAGTAGCTTGTGGAAGGAAGGAACAAAGCTGTGGCCTCTCACCCAAGCAGACTGGCCATAGGGTCACTGGGATGAGCTTAGGTCATGGCAGTGACTGCAAGGGACTTCCTCTGGTGCAGAAAATGGTTTGGGCCTCTGGGTGACAGGCCTTAAGGTGGGCTTCTGCAAACAGCCCTCATGGGGACCAGGCATGGGGAAGTGACTTGCCCTTGAGATGAATGACTCTGCTTGGGGAGCCCTGCAGGTCCGGCGCCAAGGCAGCGAACAGCAGGGCCAGGGCTGCATGGGCACAGTGGTGAGGCTTCTCTGAGAGCGCGAGGGATGCAGGAGTGTGAACACAATTTTGTGGGCTTGTTTGGATGTGTAGGAGTGTGAGTTGTTTATTGTGTGTAGGAGTGTGTGTACAGTGTATGTGTTTTATCTGTAGGACTGCGTGGAAAATGTGTGTGTTGTGAGTGGTGCGTGTGGGTAGGTGCATGTATGTTTGTGTAAGCATATGGGGGAATGTTTGAGTGTGGTGTGTGTGAACGTGTGGCATCTTTATGTGTGTGTTTGTGTAAGTGTGGGGGGAATGTGTGCATAGTGTGTGTCCTTGGTAAGGTGTGTGTCTGCGTACATGTGGGTTTTCTGTGTGTGTGTGTGTGTGTGTGTGTGTGTGTTTGGGCAGGTGTGGGTGGCAGGGGACAGGTGGCAAGTGGCAGATGGGGTGCTGGCAGAGATGGAATCTTGGAGGTGACAGGTACGAGGCAGAAGTATGAGGCACAGAAGACTCTGAACTGCTAGGTTCTGAATGCCGGTCCCCCTGCAAATTCCTATGTTGAAACAGAATCTCCAATGTGACAGTATAAAGAGGTGGGGCTTTAGGAGGTGCTTAGTCAGGAGGGTAGAGTCCTCATGAACGGGATGAGTGCCCTTATGAATGAGGCCCGAGGGAGCCTGTCTGCCCCTTCCACCTTGTGAGGATGCAGCAGGAAGGTGCCATCTAGGAGGAAATGGGCCCTCACCAGACACTGAATATGCCTGCACCTTGACCATGGAGTTCCCAGCCTCCAGAGCTGTAAGCAATACATTTCTGCTGTTTATATGCTACCCTGCCTATAGTGATTTGTTACGGTAGCCTGAAAGGACTAACCCAGGAGCACTCCCGCTGTCCTCACAAATGTGAATTGCAGGAACTGGGTGGGCTCTGGGCTCATACCCTCCACTGCATGAGCTCTCTGAAGACAGGGTGAGTCTTATTCATGGCCTCACCCCAGAGCCCAGCCCCAGCTGAGCACCCGGGCTGGGTGACAGGGCTAAAGGCCATGAGGGCCCAAGGGGGGAAGCTGCTGGTGGGCCCAGCATGGTGTGAGACCCTTGTGGGCGGGCTGCAGAGGAGGCTCTGCAGTGGGGTAGCCATTAGTAGGCAAGGGTAAAAGGGCCCAGGCCATCCTTCCTGAGCTTTCCTTCATGGCATTGGCCCTGGGCGGCTCTGATCTGCCTGTCTGGCTCTCAAAACAGTCACAGCCTCTACTAGTGGCCAAAATGCCACTAGGGATTTTGAAGGGTGCTCTAGGATCAGGTATGGGTTTCTAGGGTCAGGTATGGGTTTCTGTGAGTGGATATGCTCACATTTAGATCCAGGAGTCTGCACTGCATGGACACTCCTCTGAGCCACACAGGGTTCGAAACTGACCACATTTAACTCCTGCTAAACCACTGCATGGGTTCCAGAGCACTCTGGGGGTAGGGGCATCAGTGCCTCCCTGACCCTGACGGCTGAGGCAGATGCTACCTGCCCTATGGACCTCCTGGTGCTGCCCTGCCCTCCCTCTGCTTCCCTGCTTCCCATGACTTTAGGGCTCCCAAAGAGTAGCAGCCCAGTCTCTCCTGCATGCCCCCAGGGAGCAGGAAGGACCATGACAGCTTCAGCCCCACACCAAGGGAGGCTGGGAACAGATGGGAGTGAGTGAAGCCCTGATGAGGACACTCTAGTTAGGGTGGGGCACTGAGTCCTGGAGCTTTGGGGCCCCCAGTGTCACATAGTGTCCCTTCCACCCTTCTTGTCTCTTCTTGTCGTTCTGCCAGCCCACCTTCCCCACTGCCACCAGCACTGTCCACACAGGGCAAACCATCACTGCATCCAGAAGGCCAGTGCTGTATACACAGCTTGCCAAGGGTTCCCAGCAATGCTGGGGTGGCAGGGCAGAAGCGACCGCCAGGCCAACCACACTCCTCACCCAGAGTCCCCTCCCCATACCTCGGGCACCCTGCAGCCACACCTTTGCTGCTCCCCTGCTTGGCATGCCCTCCCTCCTCACCACCTCTCCAAGTCCTTCTCATCCCCAACGGCAGGAGTTCTTAACCCTTCCGTGAGCCAAGGACCCCTCTGGCAATCTGGTTAATCCTATGGACTCCTTTGAAGTATGTGAAATCAATTACATAGGATGATAAAGGGGACTACTGAGTACTGAAATAAAACTTCATCGACATTTGTGCTTCCTTATGAAACACATTGAACAGCGAGAACTAGCAAGAGATCTAATAAGTAGTGTGATGCTGAAACACTGATAGATGTGAAGTTCAAGATACCTGCAACACTATGAGGTGATGGGAAGGCATCTGTGATTTCTATTGGTGGTAAAGCCATAGGCACTGCTAATGTGACTGAGTGTCATTGCCTACATTCATCATTGAAGGACAAATCAGACGTCCTTCAGTGCTACGGACGGGTCAGTGGTTAGTGAAGATAAAGGTGCAATGTTTTCCAGCCCTGTCTGCTGACCTGCTAAATTCCACCCATGGACTACTCAGGGGCCCTCATGCTGCAAGGCTCAGCCCTAACTCCACTGCCTCGCCCTCCTGTGAGTTCCAACCACATCATGGTAGGCTCTTTCCCCCAGGCCTGAGTTGCCCTCCACAGCCCTGAGCACTTGCTAAGCGCAAGGCATGAACCCCAAATGCTGATCAGATTGAATTTTCCTGCACCTGTCATCCAAAGTGGGGTGAGGGGCTAGGGAACCACTGCTTCCCTCAGCCTCCTGGAAGCTGGTGGCTGGACACTCTTAGGGCCTGCTACGTGGGCCGTGACTGGCAACTACTACGGTGGCTGGTGACTTATGTTCTCCAGATGCCATGCCCGGAGTGGTCCCTCCCTCTTTTGGGCTTTACCAGCTCCGGAAATTAGCTCTCCCCTCCCTGGGCGCATCTATGGGTGTTCTGGTTGGCTGCCCCAATCCCATCACCAGCCCTTCAGGGCAAGGCAGCTCTGAGCCTGCAGCTGACCACAGGGCTACACCGTGCCGGGCCCCGTGCCGGGCCCCGTGCCAGGTGTGTCCTCACCTGCTTCACGTTGTAGCCAGTCTTCGCACTGGTCTCAATGAACATGACGCTCAGTTCTTTGGCGCGCTGCTCCCCCTCCTCGATGGTTATCTGCCTAGAGATGAGGGGAAGGGGGGAAATCAGCTCAGCAGAGAAGCAGACCCTGGCAGATATGAGGAGGGACCCACCCAGCAGGGCAGAGGGAGCCCACTGGGCCCTTGGTCAGTCCTGAAGACAGGCTCTGATCCCAAGGGTCCCTCCCGGGCACCAACCACAGTCTCGCTAGCACAAAGCAGGCACCAGGGAACAGTAGGACACTATCCGCTTCCCCCACTCCTTCCTTTGTGTCTTCTCAGCTTCAAAGCAGGCCCTGGGGTAGGGCTGCCCCATACCTGCCTTTCCCAGTAGTCACTACTGCAGAGCCTGTGCTTATGAAGAGATTCAAGCCAGGCAGTGCCACTCTGGGTGGTATTATCAGTCGCATTTTCCCTGTGAGAACACTAATGCTAAAAGTGTCTCCCCCAGGGCCACAAAGCTACTTAGCAGAGAGGGCTCCATGATGGGGCAGGCAGAAGTGGGTGAGGGTATGAAGGGCCTGGGTACCCTTTGTACTGGGATTTGAGCCCAGTTTTCCTTACTTTAAGGACAGAACTCTAGTAAAGCAGGCTCTAATTCAGATGATTCCTCAGGTGGTCAAGGGACGCTGCAGGAAGCCCACACTGCTTGCTGGAGTCCATGGCCTGTCACTTTATCTGCCCAAGTCAGGGTCATGTAAAATGAGTGGACAATGTACACACATGGCACCTCAGTTCTCCCTGTGCATGGAGGGCAGCATGGAGGAGCCTCTTCAGAGAAAGCTTCATGCCAGACGCAGCCACAAACCAGGCTAAGCAGGCTACGGCCATAGGTTTGTGGTCTGAATGCTCTGCATGCTCACACCTAGGGCCCAGGGCATTCACAGCCCCACGCACATTGGTGCAGACACTTCACAGGCACAGACAGTTCACAGTGCACACGCTGGGGCCTAGAGGACTGCTGTGTCTGGGGCAGGGCTGTGGCCATGGCAGGGCCTTAGACCATGCACTGCTGGGTCAAGCCAGGTGCACAGTGCTCTGTGTAGACAGCAAACGGAGAAGTGCCCCGCCCCTGCCTGGTGGTGGAAGACAGGGCTTCACAGATGAGATACCCATGGATGAGAGTCTACCAGGTGTCCTCAAAGCTCCTAGTGTCTCAAGGGACCTTTTCCGGATGCATGGTCAGAAGCACAGACACACCACCCATGCATCCCAGAGCTCCCTGTCCAGGAGCAGTTACAGAGGAGTGGAGGGTGGCACCCTGCACCTGTGTGCCCTTGCACCTACCTCTTATCAGCCAGGTCCGTCTTGTTGCCCACCAGCATGATGATAACATCACTGCCCCTCTCTGTCCTGACGTCGTCGATCCACTTAGAGGTCTGTTGGAAGGAGTTGAGATCTGGAGGCAGAAAGTGAGGATAAACTGAAAGCCAGGGCCAGCCACCAGTGGGAGATGGGAAGGGGAGGTGTGAGCCAGGAGCAGGAGGGAGGGTGAGCATGTGCCCTCAGATACCCAGGGAGGGGTGTGAGCTCAGTCAACACAGATCAGCTGGGTAGGGCCTTTCAGAGGGAACCGGGCCCTGCCCTGCGGCCCTGGGGAGCCACTTGCACTGTTCAGCCACCCTTTGTGGGAGAGGAATCACCCCATCTGGAAGATCACAGTGTCATGATTTGCCACATGGAATAGTGGCTTTAGGGGCCCACCTGAGAGACCTGACTCTGGGGATTCAGAGTGGAGAGTGAGAACTGGGTCACACGTGTGTGTGCATACACACACACACACACACATGCGCGCGCGACTTGGCAAGTTTGGGAACAGTGAGGGTGGGCAGAGGAGGACACAGCAGCCTCTAGGGAAGGAAGGGCCCTACTGAGTGGTGTCCCCACCATGGGAGCTCAGGAGAGTTTGGGGAAGGCCAGAGGGGTTTCTGAAGAGAACCCTCAGGCTCTGCAGATGAGAGGAGGGGAAAGGTGGCCCCGGGACTAGTCAGGGGAGCCAGGTGCACTCAAAAATCCAGGAGAGACAAGGCCACTTCTGGGCAGCCTGACCCCCCTCAGCTGCCATGATAGGCCTTGCAGGGCAGAGCAGCTATAAGGCAATACCCACCACTCGGCAGCCTGCACACCCAAGGGGAGGGGAGGTAGCTGTCCTCAGAAGCCTCAGTTTCACACAGCCTGGTATCCCTTCTGATGTGCCTCAGGCCATGTGAACCCAGGCCCTTGCGGGCCCAGCTCCCACCTGCACTCAGGTGTGGAGGGGGCCTGTGGTCAGAAGAGAGGTGGACAGAAGGGGTGGGCAGAGCCAGGGCAGCAGGCTGGGTGGCGGGGGCATGCACCAGCGCGGGGACATGCATGCTTCCTTGTGTGATTTTTAAGGCTGTGGACAGCACCTAGGGCATTCGCCCACTTCAGGGTAACCACAGCCCTGAGGGCTTATCAGGTGTGTTCCATTACAAGAGCCTTGCAGGTCTGGCCTCTGCCTCGGCCCCCCACCCCCACCTCTGGCCCTGTGCGCCCTTGAGGCTGTGCAGTCCTGTTAAGAACACCTGCCCTGGCCTGAAGAGCCACAGTACTGGAGAAGGGTTACCAGCCTACTGCGCTTCCAGACCCCCTTGCCTACCTTCCCAGGGAGTCCTGCACCCACAGCTGCTGGGCCGGGGTTGGCCTAGGGACCAGCGTCTTCTCCCATGGTGACACACATATAGAAGTAGCTCCTTAGGGAGCTTTCTGACAGCCAGGGAGAGGGAGGGTGCAGAGAGGCTGGAGCAGGGCCAACCTTGTGAGCATCTGCTCACACCACAAGCTGGCCTCCACTCCGAGCAGGACCAACCTGGCCCTATAAACCCCTGTCGGTTGCAGGAGGGTGGGGAGCAGTGGAAACCATGTTGGTGTTCAAAGGCAACTCACCACTGCTCCCTGCCTTTCTGCATTCAGGGAGCAATCGCACACACATGCGTGTGCACACACATGCGTGTGCACACACATGCACACAGGCCTGGCCAGGGTCACACCTGGGCCCTGGACCCCCTATGAGCCACCCTCCCTTAGGAGCAGAGCCTCACTCACTTGTGATGTCGTACACCACCACAGCCACCGTGGAGTCCCGGATGTAGCTGGGGATCAGGCTGCGGAACCTCTCCTGACCAGCTGTGTCCCAGAGCTGCAGTCGCACCTGTCTCAGGGAGGGCAGGACCATGGGCAGAGGGGTCAGTGGGGCAGTGAGGTCCTCCTGGTCCGGGGGACTGGGAGAGCCGGGCTCTGCAATGCTGGCATCACCAGCTCCAGCCCCTAGTGTCGGCAGGTGCTCTCAGTGGTGCCCAGCTAAGGGTCCTAGGGGATAAGCCCAAAGGAACCCTCCCTGCCCCTCCCAGTCCTGATATTAGGTGCTCACCGTGCGGTCCTCCAAGTACATGGTTTTTGACAAGAAGTCAATCCCAATGGTTGCCTGTTAGAGAAAAGCACAGAACGGTCAAAATCAAAAGGTCTCATGCAAAGGGGCAAAAGCCTAGCGACCACAGGTGGTGGCATAACCAGCAAGAGGGGACGCTCATGTCAGGTCTAATGTGGCCATGCTCTGTCCTCCCTGCCCCTCCCTGCTACCACTCAGCGGCTCTCTCACTGAGGGATCAAGCTGAGGAAAGATGAGGGTGGCCTTTATAGGGTGAGATCTTCTCTGGAGAGGGCAAGTGCTTCAGAAGCAGTGAGAGCGCAGTGGTGAGGAGGCCTCCCCAGGAGCAAGGCCACTCAGGCCACTCAACGCACATATCCTGCCCTCCCCACCTGGACTCCCTGCCTTGTTCCCTTCATGGCCTAACCTGCAGCTTCCAAAGCCTCTTCCCTCTGCCCTAAAGCATGGGCCTGGGCTCAACACTGACCTCGGGAGGGTGGGAGGCAGGGGGCAGGAGCAGGCAGCTTGCTGCTGTGTGGGTGCAAACAGCAGCATGGCTTTTCTCAGGTGCGGGCACTGCAGACCACCCAGAGTGGCCTCTCGCTGGGAGGCCCCACTGGCTCTTTTCTCCCCAAGCCAAAACATTGGAAGCTGTCACCAGCTCCCCTGTGCCACACCTATGCCTCTTCTGCCCTGGCACCTGTGAGAGGCAGCCAGCCTTGTGGCCAGATGGCCAGGACCCACCACTCACTTGCTGTGTGGCCTTGGGCAGGCAACCAACCTCTCTGGGCCTCACAGGCACCCGGTACCTGTCAGTAGGACTGAGATGCTGTCAATGTAAAATGGAGATATCACTGCTATGTAATCAATAATAACAAAGACTTGGACACAGCCTGAATGTCCACGGCACTAAATAAGCATAGTGTGGTATATCCATGTGATTAGAACCCTTGGCAGCTGTTAACAATCACATTCTTGAAAAAATATTTAAGGATTTGGGGAAACGGTTATCCAGTTAAAAAAACAAATAAACAAAAAACAGGTTATAAAACATCATGTGGCGAGTGATCCCAATTAGATTAACTCAAATAGATCTATGAGTATTTTTCATGTTTTCTTAGACACTGAAGTGAAGGGAATCTGCTAACATGTTAATAGCATCACGGTCTGAATAGTGACAGAGCATTTTCTTTCCTTCATTACACTCCTTCATTACACTTTTCTCTACTTTCCACAATGAACATATAACAGTACTAAAATTAGAAAAAGTCCTTTGAAATAAAGTTTAATAAATAAGTTTAATTGTGTGGAATGCCATGATTTTTGACTGCAAAAAACACAACCAAAGGAAGCCCAAGAAAATAGAAAAGGTCATATCTCCAGTCCCCCCAGGCTGAATGCAAAGGTATGCACCAATGTGTGTGCACAAGTGTGCATGTTTACACAGTCACACTCCCAACTCGTTCCACAAAGGACTGAGACTGGCTTGCACCCTCCTGGAAGCTTGCCTCATAACACAAAGATATGGGGGGTCATTCTACGCTCTGGAGCATACGATGCTAGAATGTGGGCACTAGACAAAACACCTTAGATACAATCCAATCAATCCCTTACTTTGGAGATGAAAGAACAGACCAGAGGGTTAAAGGACATGCCTAGTGTGACTTCACTCATCAGTAGCAGGGCTGGGAAGATCAGAGCTGCAAACTTGGCAGCACCTGGGCTCTTTCTACCACAGCTTCGCATAGTGTAGCCACCGAGGCACAAATCTGCAATGACCAGTGCTTGTGGATGCAGACTTTTTCCTTCACAGGTGTATGTTAGATTGACAATCCTTGTCTTCTGATTCCCTTATGGAGAAATGTGCATAGCAGGTAGAAGTCTCTCAACTCCTCAATGCTCAACAGGCTCCCCAGGAGTGACATGCTCCTTTTGTAGAGTCACCTTTGAACTAAAACCAGGTGCATGAGCTTAGGACTGGTGGCAGGGACTGCTGGTTGTCCCCAGTATGTAGTTTCCCTTTCTATAGTAACAGAATTCTGGGTGTGCAGATGGACTCAGGGCTGCCCCAAATAAAGAACATATTTCCCAGCCTTCTTTGCAGCTGGGCGGCTACATTCTGGTTAATGGGATGTGAACGTGATGTAGGCATCTTTGGGGTCAGGTCCTCTGTGGGTAGGGAGTACCCACAGCTGCTCCCTTTCCCACTGTCCGGTGGGGATGAGTCATAGTGGCCCATCCAGATGAGGATGACAGAGGAGCGATGACATCAACGAAGGCTGACTCCCTGACCCTGAGGAGCTACTTCAGCAGCGCTGGACTGCTCAGATTGTTCTATTTTGTTTAAGTCACTGTTATTTTGGGTTTCTGTTAACATAGCCTAATTAACAAGCAAAGAACCATGGAGAAACGTATCTCTCAAAGGTAGGCACCTGATGGTAATGCTACTGATAACTGTAATGATGACAACCCCATCACACCTCACATGTCACAAGGCACTTCTGCTTCCACAAAGGGCAGAGAAGTCACCAAATGAAACAAGAAATTGTGCCACTTGGATGAAGTCCCAGCAAAGCTCAACCCAGTGGCCTCCATAATCATAAACACCATTACTGAACATCCACATACTTTCTCTCACATCCCATAACAGACTAACCAGAGGCAGCAACGAGGAACCTGAACAAGGCCAACATCCCATCTTCTCCAGCTCTCTCTTAATTCCTGCTTCCAGCTTCCCCAACAGAGAAACCTCTGGTCCCTTAACTGTCCACTCTCTCAGACCTGTTCTAGCCACACTCTCCATCTGACCAGGCCACTGAGCCACTGAAGAACTTCTATAGCTGTGGAGATGGCGCCAAAGCATAGGCATTGTCTCTGGGTGTAACTGAGCCCTCAGCTCTGCTCAAAAACATATTCCTAAGTTTTGCTTTCAATAATGGCTGAGTGGCTTGTATCAAACAAACCCTCCAACAGAAAACTATTTTAATATCTGGAAAAATACAAGAAATAACAATTTGCAAGCACTGAAGAATGATCAAAAGCAGGACGAGGCAGGGTGCAGTGGCTCATGCCTGTAATCCCAGCACTTTGAAAGACCAAGGCAGGAGGATCACTTGAGCCCAGGAGTTTGAAAGCAGCCTAGGTAACATAGTGAGACTTTGCCTCTACAAAAAATAAAAAATGAAAATTAATCAGGTGTGGTGGTGCCTGCCTGTAGTCCCAGCTACTTGTGAGGCTGAGGGGAAGAATCGCTTGAGGCTGGTGGGGCTGAGGATGCAGTGAGCCATGATGACACTACTGTACTCCAGGCTGGTCAACAGAGCAAGACCCTGGCTCAAAAGAAAAAAAAAAAAGTAGGTAGGAGTTACAACCGCTCAAGGAATGGAAGAAAACTAGGCAGATTCTACATTAAATCAATTTGCCTCCTGACGAAACTCCCCAGTCCCACCAAATTAAAAGAACTTCAAAAACACCTCAGACTCCACTGAAACACCAGAAAGGCTGGCTTTGGGAGGAACAAGATCATCTCAGGACTGAGGGTTACACCAGAGGACTCAGAGAAAACCAAAATAAATCTATCGCTGTGGTCTGAATGTGTCCCCTGTAACCTCAACTTCAAATGCTGAAACTTAATCCTCAATGTGATAGTATTAAAAGGCACATCCTTTGGGGAAAGGATTAAGTCATGAGGACTCTGACCTCTTGAATGGGATTAGTACCCTTATAAAAGAGGCTTAAGGGAGCACCCTGGCTCCCCTCTGCCATGTGAGGACGCAGTGTTCGTCCCTTCCACCACTGAGGACACAGCATAAAGGTGACATTTTTGAAGCAGAGAGCAAGTCCTCACCAGATGCGGAATCTGCTGGAGCCTTGATCTTGGAAGGAAATCCCAGACTCCTGAACTGTGAGCAATAAATGTCAATTGCTTATACGTTACCCAGTCTATTTTGTTATAGCAGCCTGAATGGATGAAGACATCTGTCTTAACAAGGTCCATACATGATAACTAACCATTCCCTAAAAAATATTAACTGCCCATCATTTAATTGCCTATTAAGATAAAACAACACTCTTCAGAGGAAGGTAACAAAATCCAAGACTATAACTTATTATTCATGAGGTCCACTGTACAATAAAAAAGGACTAGAAATGTGAAGAAACAGAAAATTCAAGCCATAATCAAGGGAAAAAACTCAACAGACCCCTACATGATCCAAATGTTGAATTAGTAGACAAAGACTTTAAAACTCTTATAAATAGGTAAAAAAAAAAATTAAAAATTAATACAATGGGTGACTGTCAAGAGATTTATGAAAATTCTAAAACAAAACAAAATGGTATTTTTAACACTAAAAACTATAATATCTGAAATAAAAATGCATTGGATTTAAATAACAGTAGCTAGGACACTGCAGAGGAAAGCTCAGTGAACCTGAAGACAGGCCAAAATAAATTGTTCAAACTGAAGCACAGAGAGAAAAATGATGGAATAAAAATAAAGAGAGCTTCAAGCACTCCTAGGACAATATCAAGTGAGCTGACATAAATGGCAATTGGAAGCTGGGCATGGTGGCTCATGCCTGTAATCCTAGCACTCTGGGAGGCCTAGGCAGGCAGATCACCTGAGGTCAGGAGTTTGAGACCAGCCTGGCCAACACAGTGAAACCCCATCTCTACTAAAAATACAAAAATTAGCCAGGTATCTTGGCGGACGCCTGTAATCCCAGTTACTTAGAAGGCTGAGGCAGGAGACTCGCTTGAATCTGGGAGGCAGAGGTTGCAGTGAGCTGAGATCGCACCACTGCACTCCAGCCTGGGCAACAGAGTGAGACTCTGTCTCCCAAAAAATAATAAAACAAAAAATGCAATTAGAGTCTCAGGACAGTAGAAACAGATGCAAGCAAAAAACATCTTGAGAATAGCCCCCAACTTCACCCAATTTAATTAGAAACATCAACCCACAGTTCCAAGAAGTTCAGTGAACCTAAAACAGGATAAATCTGTAAAAAACCAAACCAAGGTATGTCATAGTCAAATTGCTGAAAATAAAAAAGTAGAGAGAAAACCGTAATAGCAGCCAGAAAACAGAACAACACATTACATACAAGGAAACAATGGTAAGAATTATAGTTGATTTATCATCAGAAACAATGGAAGACAGAAGACAAGGGAACAACGTCTCTAAACTGCTTAAAAAATAAAACAAGACACACACACAAAAACCCTGTCAGCCTAGAATTCTATAGCTGGTGAAAATTTTCTTCAAAAATGAAGACAAAACATAAACATTTTCACATAAGGGAAAGTCACATAATTTGTCACCAGCATGCACTCATTATAAGAGATGCTTTAGGCTAAAGAGAAATTTTGTAGATGGAAATTAGAATCTTCAAGGCTGGAATACAAGTGCACCAGAAATGGCAAATCTATGGGCAAATATAAAAACACGCTACTTGTCCTTGATTGCGTCCTATCACAGTAACAATGACATCCACAGTAACAACATCTCAGCACTTTATCATTTCCCAGCTCTTGTACTAACTGCTTTAAATACATTACTTAATTTAATCTGGACAATAAATCTATGTGATGAGTTAGGCTCTTCTGTATTCTGTGTCACTGCTAAGAAAATGGAAGACAAGAGATGCTAAGCGACTTGTCAAATGTCCACAGCTGAGACTGCAGTCAAGATTCAAAAGGTATTTGCAAAGTTGTCTACATATGTCCAGCCTTATCCCCACACGCCTCCAGGCTCTAAGTATTCGTTATTTCTCCTGTTTAAAGAAAGCCTCTTCCTAGGCCCTCTTGGCACTGGCCTTCTCTGGATGATGCTTTCTCAGCCATCTCCTTTCTCTTCTATATCTCAGTCTCTCATTCTCTACTCACTCTTTCCTTTCATCCAAGAAACATTCTCAAGATTCTCACATCTTTTGAGTGGAAAAATCCCTCATTTTCACTAAGTTGCTCTCTAGCCATCTGCCAATCTCTCACCTCTTCTCAATGGGCTTGCTTCTTGGAAAAGGACTTCAAACCCACTGTATCCATTTCCTCTATGCCCACCCATTTCTCAACTAGGTCAGTCTGGTTTCTGTCCCTCTGCCCATAGCTCTTGCTATGGTCACCAATAGCCATTTGATTATCAAGTCATGAGGACACTGTATAGTCCAGACTCAACACACTTGACCCTGCTGACCATTCCTCTTCTATGGCATTTGTTTCTTCTTTGCTTTCCACGACTTTACTTGTTTCTGGCTTTCCCTGCCTCTCTAATTGCGGTTCCTTATTGTTCTCTTCTAGGATCTTCTTCCTTTCTTTCCCTAAAATGTTGGCATTTCCACTGTTTTGTTTCAGAGGGGATCTCATTTACTCTCGATGCTTCAAATATGATATACTGATCAGTTCCCAATCTATAACCCAGGACTTACCCCTGTTCTGAGCCCCAAATCTATGCATCCAGCTACTTACTACAAATCCCACTTAATTATCCACTAGACAGCTGACTAAATATAGTATATTCCAAAAAGAGCCTATCATCTTCCTCCAAACCTGCTTCTGCTATTTTTCCTATTTCAATAAATGGCACCTTGACCATCCAGGCGCCCACGCCTCTGGAAGCCTGAAAGCCCTCCTGAGTTGCTCCTCTTCACTTGCTGTCTGTTCCCTCACATCAAATGAATACTGAACTGGTTGCTTGGCCTCCTAAGGGCTCTCACCCAGCCCCCTTTTTCTCCATCCCCAACACCACTGCCCTAGTTTAGACACTGAACTTCTTTTACCTAAATAACACCAACAGCTTTCTGACTATCCCTCATGCTTTCCACTGTAATTAATCTTTCATGTAGCAGGCAGGATGTCTTAGTCCATTTTCTGCTGCTGTAACAGAATCACAGACTGGATAATTTACTTTAAAAAGAAATTTACTTATCACAATTCTGGAAGCTGCGAAGTCTAAGAACATGGCACTGGTGTCTGGGGAGGGCCTTTGTGCTGTGTCATCCCATGTCAGAAGGTGGAAGGGAAAGTGAACACACAACAGAGAGAAAAAGGGGCCCAAACTCCGATGGTACCACCCACTCCTGCAATAACTGCATTAATCCATTCATGAGGGTGAAGCCCTCATTACCTAATCACCTCTTAAAGGCTCCACTTTTTTTTTTTTTTAAAGCAGCTGCACCTTCTAGGATCACCTCTTAATACCGTCACAATGGGAATTCAATTTCAATATGAGTTTTGGTGGTGACACTGAAACCATTGCACAGGGTTATTTTTCTGAAATATTAATATGATCATATTAATATGATCTACTGCCTCTAAGAGATAGCTCAAACACTTCAAGCTGGCCTATAATGCTGTTCAGGGCCTGCCCCTGGCATTCTATGGACTCATTCCCTCCTTGACCAGCCTCCACTTTATATTTTAGAAATAATATTCTGTACAGAACTCCTCATAAACAAGTTGCTTTGTATGTCTGGGCCTTTTCTAATAATGTCCCCTTTTCTGGAATGCTCTTCCACATGGTTTATACTTATTCAGAATTCAAGATTCACCTCCTCTACAAATCATTTTCTGAGCCCTCAGGTTGGTCCAGGGCCCCTCATTTAACACTTTCTCTGTTAAACTGGAAAGATCTCATACTAATCAATCTCTCCCACTGGCCAGTGATTCAATGATTCTCAATATGTAGCCCACGAGTCATGTGCATCAGAATCACATCAGGAGTTTGTTAAACATGTTGATTCCTGAGCTCCACTCAGACAGACAGAATCACAATCTCTGGGAATCAGAATTCCAGACAAGCCCTCAGATAACTCATTTGTGCAGTAAAGTTTGCAAACTGCCTTCTGTTGTAATCAGAGTCTGGGGAGGTTGTGCTGTCCAGGAGTGGCAGATGCCCTGTACAGGGTGAGAGACAAGAGGGAGATGCTTATGCATGAGAAGGTGCTATTCACAGAAGAAAGCAAGGCTTACTCAGAACTAAGGTCACACAGTCAGTAGTGTCAGAATCAGTTTCCCTGAATGCAAAGTCCCTGCTCTTGACTATTCAGTTGTACTCCCTCTCCTTCCTGAAATCCCTTCATTTCTGAACCTGTCATGCACCCTGAAGCTGTCACTGAATATTTCTGGGGGTCACAAACTATCTGGCTACCTACTGTCATAATCTTATGGTCATCAGCCATAATAGTTCAGCAGAGCCCACTTAAGGTGAAGTTCATTTCCCAGAAGAGAAAAGTCAGCTCTCTAAGGACAGAATAGAAACAAGAACTTTTAAGAGGGCCTTGGCTGGGCCTCAGTTACCAGAAAATTTCTAGCTCTTTGACATCATCTATTTGCCTCAAATAAGGCACAAACAGTCTTACTGGTTGAGAAATTAGAGAACAATCTGCAAAGTTACTACAGCAGCCAGAAAGTGTGGAAAACCCTGGAAGTGACATAGATACAGAGAGGTGACCCCAAATTCTCCATATAAATGTTACCCAAATCTCTGACTGACCCAAGCAGACCCTAAGCAGCCTACCTAAGACTGAAAACAAAATAAAACAGGCAAACAAAAAAATCTGAACATAACTTTCAGTTGCTGCCTACCACGGGGGGGAGAATTGAGAATTTGGGTCCAGACAATTTAGCTGCCCACTAAAACCAAGAGTACTCTTCACAGGAACAAACAGAATCCACAGTTTTAACATAATGTATAACCCAAAATTACTAGTCATATGAATAAGAAAATGTCAGCCATATTCAAGAAAAAAGAGATTAAATGGAGACTAACTCTGAGGTACCCAGATGTTGAAAATAGCCAAGCATTTAAAAATAGTTCATATAACTATGCTCAAATATAAAAATAAGCTCATAATAAAGGCGCAGATTTAAAAATCTCAACAGAGAAACTAAAACTCTAAGTAAAGAACCAAATACAAACTTAGAACTGAAAAATACATCTGAAACAACAGATTCAAAAAGAGAAATGAAATAGTCAGTGAACTTGAAAATAGATCATATAAATTATCCAAAAGGAAGCATAAAGAGAAAAAAAATTGAGAAAAATTTCATAAACAGAGCCTCATACAGCTTAACATATGTTTAACTGGAGTCCCAGAAGTAGAGGAGATGGAGAATTGGACAAAAAAACTAAAGAAATAATGGTGAAAAGTCTTCTGAGTGCAAAATGAGACACATTTACAGATTCAAAAACTCATCCAACTCCAAGCATTACATTAAAAAAATAAAGAAACAAAATCACATGTCTATTCATAACAGAGTCTAACTGCTAAAAATCAAAGATAAAGAAAAATCTTGACAGTAGCCAGAGGAAAATGACACACCTCACGCAAGGAAATAACAGGGATGACGGCTGCCATACTGGAAAAAAATGGAAGCTAGAAAACACTGGAATGACACAATAAAAGTGTTCAAGAAAAAAAAAAAAAACCGTGGAAACAGAATTCTAAATCCAGCAAAAATACTCTTCAAAAGTATGAAGAAATAAAAATATTTTTAGATAAACAAAAACAAAGAGAATTTGTGGCAAGCAGAACTTCACTACAAGAAATGTTAAAGGAAGCTGTTCAGGCTGACAGGAAAATATACTAATGGAAACTAGAATTCTCTGGAAGAAATTGTGAGCATCAGAAATGGTAAATACATGCATGGGTCAATGCAGGACATTGTTTGTTTTAGATAAAAGTGATGGCTTCAGTACACCCTGAGGTGTGAAGCCACACAGTTTCTTCAGAAAAACAAAAATGATTCAGGACCAATGGACTGTGAATTGCCTGTAGAGAACAGGATGGAGCCAAAGAACTGATAAACGACCAAAGAAGAGGGACTTCCATGTAGCTGGGGCTTTAGAAAGATAACCCTGGTTGAAGGATAGTGAATGGGATAAAGGCAAGGGAGACAAAACGGAACCTGCTGCAAAGGCCTAGACAGGCAAAGAGGTGTGGGCAGAGAAGAGCAGAGTGAGAAGGAAGGAGGACACATGAGTGATATCAAGAAGCAGAGGCAGGACTCCATGGGTGTGAAAGATGTAGAGAGGCTGGGTGACTAAGATAAGGTACTGTTAACAAGAAAAGGGGGGAGTGGCTTGCACGACTGGGAACACTAACTACACTTTGCAGATAAGCCAGAGCCACACAGAAGTGAAGTGACTTGCCTGAGGTCCCATAGCAAGTCAGCGAGGTCACAGGAACTAATTTGCATCTTCTCTGATGATAAATCATGGGCTTTGGGTGATGAAATAAAAGACGACCTTCATGGGCTGACTCCTTTGGAGCACATCCCAGCTAGGGTAGCCACTAAAGGATGGCCCAAGGTGCTGCTTCTCTGGAAGCAACTGCAACCACACCACTAGAACTAATGAGAAACGACCACACTTGGGTGTCATTCATGCCACCTCCATGGAGAGCCACAAAGTTAGATCTACACTGATGGGCATTCTCCTCGTCACAGGGAATGAGCGTGGTCCAGGCGTGGTTTTGCGAGGCAGCTGGGCTTACCAGCCAATACAAGATTGCCAAGCATCAAAGCCAATGGTGCTCCTGGGATTCCCGGGGCTGCGGGGCTCTGTCTAAGAGCTGTGTCTACCACTGTTCTGCTGGGTACTCTAGTCTCAGACTTGTGCCAAATCAGATCCTCAGAGACCACGGGCCTAGGCTGCTTTGTCCACACTCTCCAGGATGGTTTTAGCAGCAAGTAAGCCAGATTATGCTGGCATTGCACTTTGGAGGTCTGTGAGGGTCTGTATCACAAATCATCATGTGAGGAAAGTCTCTATCTTGCTGGTAACACTGTCACTAGATGCCCTACCTGCCAAGCCATTACATATACCTCTTTGTAAGCTGGGGCAGAGAAACCCTGATTTTTTTCTTTTTCTTTTTTTTTTTTTGAGACAGGGTCTCACTCTGTTGCCCAGGCTGGAGTGCAGTGGCATGAACACAGATCCCTGTAGCCTCGACCTCCTTGGCACAAGCAATTCTCCTGCCTCAGCCTCCCAAGTAGTTGGAACTACAGGAGTGTGCCACCACGCCCAGCTAATTAAAAAAACAATTTTCTTTTGTAGAGATGGGGATCTCACCATGTTGCCCAGGCTGGTCTCGAACTCCAGGGCACAAGTGATCCTTCCGCTTCAGCCTCCCAAAGAGCTGGGATTACAGGCGTGAGTCACCATGCCTGGCAAATCCTTGATTCTAAACCTGACCACTCTCCCTGCCTTACTGCGTGACCTTGTTCAAGTGTTAGCAATATCTGGCTCAAAATGCAAGCCTGGGAGCATTTTGCCACTAGTATGTGGGAGCCATGCATGGTATTTCCTTTCCCTCCAGCCACCAGGAAACTCAAAGGTAAATGCTGAGCTCCATGCAGTATTTCTGCTATAGCTATCTCCCCTACCCTCTTTTCCTTTCCGATGCTAGTTTTTCCTCCTCTGCATCTGTAGTACAGTCATATCTGTGGCTCCTACTTTGGAGGGATATGGGGACATCAGACAAAAAGAACAACTAGCCACCCAGGTAGGCCATATCCTCCTGAAAAAGGCCCCAGCAACCTTGGTGATTTCCTGTGACCTGCCACAGGGTACATTTCATCTCAAAGGTCACCACAGGCCACAGTGTGTACTGATGGGAAGGTGGGTATGAGTGTGTGTGAGCAGACACGTGGATGAGTGGGGATACACATGTGTATGTAATTATGTATTTATTTGCATGTAGAAGTATGTGTATGTGGGTATGAGAGTGTGGGGGTAGGGAGGGAGTCATTTCTTCTTTGAAGATAAAGCCCAGATCCATGATATGCACATAGCCCAGCAATGCCAGGCAGCTGAGGTGAAGAGGACGCTCCACAGGCCCTTGGGATGGGGAGCATATGTCTGCCGGCAAATCTAGAATGCCTGTCAATGCTCCCCAGGACAGACCATAGCCAGCCCCACAGGAGCTACCATGCACCCTGCCCCAGGGGAATGGCCATGCAGCTGGCAGAGTGCCCCACTCAAACATACTTGGATGGGGTAATATGCCAAGGGAGCCCCAGTCTGTTTTTGGTGACCTCTGTCAGTGTTGGCAAGGTCTGAGTGCTCTGCCAACACCAACACTGGATTGGGAGTGTCCTGGAAAAATGGCTTAGCTTCCCTGGCCCTTGGCTTCCTCATCTCTAATACATGAAAAGTCACAGCTTCCTTTAAGGACTGTTGGATCAAATGAGTTAGAGAAAGTGAAGATAATGCATACTCTGTGATATGCTGCGTAAACAAAGATTATGAATTGTTATTAGTGACCGACTGACCTAGAGGTTTAAGAGAAGCTGTAGAACCCACCCCATGGAGACTCTCCAGCAATGTTTCTCAGTGTGGTTATGTGAAACACAGCCCCATGAGACCATCTTTGGAACAAAAGTAAATGGTGATCAAGTATTTCTGGGAAAGGCTACATATTCTAGCCCTGAGTAGATAGCCTCTTTAGTAAAGCCTCTCATAAGGCACACTGGCAAATAAAAGGCTCTGATGAGTTCTGCACTGAAGAAACACGAACCCAATGTTTCCCCAGCTTCTTTGCCCTAGGAACCTTTGTGGTTGCAATCCCTACAAACATCTCAATAACCGAGTATTCCCAGAGCCTCATGAAAGGCTGACCTTCAGAGAGACGGGTTCTAAAGGAGACTACTTCCCTCTTCTAGCTTGCCATGGAGTCTTGGTCAAAGCATTCTTTCTCTGAACTTCATTTTCTCTTGTGAGGTACAAAGCAAATTATTTTTGCTGGTAACTATTTTACAGGGATGTAAACGCAGGATATCAACACAGCATGAGCAGCAGGTCTGACCTTGGGGAGTTTCCTGCCAGCCAGTCCACGATCCCTATGACCCTCCTCTCCCTCCTCGGCTGTGCTGGGCACACCTCCTGCACTGCACCATGTCCTCTCAGAAGGCTGAGCTGCACTCTGCTGGGATGAGATTGCTCCAAACCTGGCAATGCTTATTTATTCCTTTAATATCTTTGTGCTTACAAACAGCACTGTATATGAGAAATGGCAGGCCCTTCATTTTATACAAAATGTGAGGAATCTTATGAGCATGGATTTCATAGCTGAATCCACATTTATCTTCTTCTGAACATGGTATTAAACAGTATCTACAGGGGTTCAGACATACAGTGCAGAATGACAGTACATTACATGCTTCCTTCTGCACAGAAGCTTCCATTGGCCCAGCTGATCCCGGAGGAAAGAGACGTTTCCTGAGGCACTTGTTGAAGTCTTCTTTGCTATGTGCATTTATTATGAAATACAATTTTGTTTCCACATTCTGACAAGACACAGTAATAAAGTCTGCAATGGAAATCTGCATGGTAATTTGCATAAATTGACTCAAGATTCTCTTCTCAGGAAAAGAAATAATGAAAAGGCATGTTACGTGCGTCTTCTTTTAGCCTTGGCCAGGCCTGGGCCCAGGGCTGGGGAAGCATCCATAAGTGGCAGAAAGCAGCTGGGCATGACAAGCCTTTGACAATGAAGTTGCTGTTTGTGCTCTGCACCACTAACCATTAAATGAAAGTATCAGGGTAAAGTCATGTAAATTAGCTTGCAAATGAGCCTGCTGAAACTTCAGGTTCCAGACTGGCAAGTGGGTGCTTTGGAGAGATGAGACAGCAGTCTCTGGCAAATAGGCTGGGCATATCCTTGCCAGAAGCGCAGTAATGCGCCCTGGGGGAGGGGATGTTGGCTCAGAAGGCCACAGTACGGGTACTTGCATTCTTCCAGATACCTCAGTTTCAAAGTCTGTATGGTCCTGGAGGCCACTTTTCTCCCAATGGAGAGTGGCTTGTACTTTAGTCACCACCCAATTTAAATATGTGATTGCTCTTTTATTTCCTGACTGTGGTCTGAAAACAACATACACCTTCAAATTTTAAATAAGGTTAAATTTCATCAATATCAGTGGGTCCCTTCAAAAGCTACCCATAATGTGCAAGGTCGTGTGGCCTGAAGCTCCCTGAGAGGCCTCCCAAAGGGTGACAAATGGATTCATGTGTGCCAGCCCTCCCCTCAACTCTTATAGCAAAAGATACTCCAGGTGTCGGACTTTTGAGGGCATCTAAGAACTTACTTATGGTAACCTACAAAATGAATTAGGAGAGATTACTAAAGCCTGGAGCAGAGAACTGCATCCTGAGTCCATTCCACTTATTAAATGTATCAGGAGCTACTGGTGGGCCCACCCAGCACCCATTGGCAACCTCCTACTCCCTTGCTTGACTACTTTAGACTGTAAAAGCTAAATTTGGCTTTCCCAGCCTCTCTAGAGGCTAACGGTAATGGTGTGACTCAATTCTGGCCAATAAGACACAGGAAGCAGTCTGCTGGAGCGGGGAGGAACTCCAGGGAAGCTCTTGCTTTTTCTGCCTTGAATGTGGATGTGATGTCTGGAGCAGCAACAGCCAGCACGCACGAAGATGAGAACCCACAGGCCACGACGGCAGAATGGAAAAAGCAATAGTCCAGGGGCCTGATGGTAGCACCACTCAGTGTGCCAACCACATGACTTCTTGCACCTACAAAATTAAAACTCTCCTTCATTTATGCCACTGTTCATCAGCTTTCTGTACTAGGAGGGGACTACATTTCTAATTTGCATGTGCTGACAAAGAAGTGGACGGGAGGACATAGGAGAGGAGGGAGAGAAAGAAAGGATGTTAGAGCCTGGGCAGTGTGGTTGGCACACTGAGTGGTGGTACACCAGGCCCCTGGACTATTGCTTATTCTGTTCTGCTGTCGTGGCCCATGGGTTCTCATCTTTGTACAGACTGTCTGTTGCTGCTCCAGACATCACATCCACATTCAAGGCAGAAAAAGCAAGCAAGAGCTTCCCTGGAATCCTTCCCCCCAAGCAGACTGCTGCTTGTGTCTTATTGGCCAGAATTGAGTCATATCATTACTCTTAGCCTCTAGAGAGGCTGGGAAAGCCAAATTTAGCTTTTACAGTCTCTAATCAAGCGAGGGAGTAGGAGGTTGCCAATGGGTACTGGGTGAGCCCACCAGTAGCTCCTGATACATTTAATGAGTGGAATGGACTCAGGATGCAGTTCTCTGCTCCAGGCTTTAGTAATCTTTCCTAATTCATTTTGTAGTTACCATAAGTAAGTTCTTAGATGCCCTCAAAAGTCCAACGCCTGGAGTATCTTCTGCCGGGTCAATGTTCAGAGGGAACACCTGGATGACTTGCAGTGCCCCAGTGGGTCTCTGAGGCAGGGTCATCTTGCCAGAGTGATTGGCATTCAGATTTCACGACATAAGAGTGTCACCTCATATTGTGACCCCAGAACATAATGTCTGCAAAAAATGAAACTCTACTCTATTAATATAAAAAATATCCTCATGTTGCTAGAGTTAACCGAGGACTGCAGTCCAGTGCTCTGCCCGAAGTCTATGGGGTTGAGCATCATTTGGCAGAGCTGCAAAGCACAGCACAAGTGCACATGCAGGGATGGTCGGGACACTGTGGAAAGTTGTCATTTGTTTCACTTTATCACTATTATCTTGGTTTGTTGCAGGGTTTCTGTACAGTAATGCACATTTCTATCAACAGTGGTTTTGGCCCATAATTTTCCATCACCTCGACTTTAATACCTATATGAGCCATAGTTCAAATACAAATTAATTACATTCCTACTTCCAAAGTTTAAGGCCACTGGTTTAGGTGATAGACGGGCTAAATTCCATCTGAATAATTTCCAGCTTAAAAAAAAGAGTAATACTAAGAAACTAAAAAGCTCGGCCAGGGTCTCCCAGCGAAGTGGGACTTGAACCTGGGGCTTAAACCTAGGCCTCTTTTTGAAGGGAAAAAAAAAAAAAAAAAAAAAAGGACTGAGGCATAGGGGACATTCTGAATCCTCCTTGGCGTGTGCCCTCACTCTGACCACCTCTACCAGGGCAGAAGATCCTGTCCCATCTCCCCCAGGTGCTGGGGACGTGCGGCATTTTAGATTCTGTGGGTAAAAGATCCCTTCTGGCACTCTGCCTCCGTTCTACATTCCATTAGAGAAAACGCACCCATTTTTAGGGCTTTAGGAATCTAGATTTGCCCAGTCTCTCACAGGCTGGCCTGATAGAACAGCCATTTGCAAGCATTTTGGCTGTTTGATCATTACCTCCCACTGGACTCTTCCTTTTTCTTTGTATTGATGGCACTGATATTCTTCCAGCATTTCTAGACAGAAACCTGGGGCGCATTCAGGCCTCTTCCTCTTCTCTATGTAACCCACAGACACACTGTTCGTTGGCCCCTTCCACTTCCTGTGCCATCTCTCCTAGGGCCCTCGCTCACCTCCCACACAGCCCTGCATGGTTCCTCCCTTGCCCCTGCCCTCCTTGCCCTTCCACACACAGCTGTATCTGAGTCTGTGTGCCCCGCCTCAGCTGCCACCCCTGGTCCCGGCCCAGCCCCTCCAGGCCTGCCTCCCACAAACTCCTTATCTTTGATCCCATCAGTGTCTGGGTCAGGAACCCTCCATGGCGCACCCTTCCTACCCAGGGATCCCAACCCGCCCTCGGGCCTTCCACAGTCCCAGTCACTGGGGCCAACTCACCCACCAGGCACGAGGGGCACAGAGCCCAGTGCCCGTAAGACACTTAAGGGCCAAGGAAAATGTTTCCATTTTAATTTCTCTTAAAATCAGGAGAAGAAATGACTATAATTATAATGAATCCAGCCTGAATTACATTCATCTCTATACCAATGTAGCTGTAAAAATATAATTCTTAACATGTTTTTAAAGGAAGAGACCTGTATTTGTTTCCTAGGCCTGCCATAACAAAGTACCACAGACTGGATGGCTTCAACTACAGTCATCTCCTCACAGCTCTGGAGGCTGGAGTCTGAGACTGAGGTGTAGGCACAATTGGCTTCTTGAGAGGCCCTCCCTGGCTTACAGATGGCTGTCCCTTCCTGTGTCCTCACATTGTCTTTCTCTGTGAATGTCAATGTCCTCATCTCCTCTTCTTATAAGGACACCAGTCATATTGAACTAGGGCCACCCTAATAATCTCATTTTACTTCTGTAGAGACCCTATCTTTATCTACAGTCCCATGCTGCGATACTTGGGACCAGAACTTCGATGCAGGAATTTTGAGGAGACACAATTCAGCCCATGTTAGGGCCCATGAAGCGAAATGCCTGAGGCCCATGAAAGTCAAAATGCAGCCCTGCCAACAGCCCACTCACAGGCCCCACTACTGCCCTCCACTCCAACATGCCGAGCTTTTCAGCGTCTTAGTACTGCATTTTTTTAACCTGGAAATTAATCAGATGGAATTTAACCCCTGTATCATCTAGACCAGTGGCCTACTTTAGAGGTAGGAATGTAGCAAATATGTATGTATGTATGTATTTATTAATTGACTGACTGATTGAAATAGGGTCTTGCTCTGTGACCCAGGCTGGAGTGCAGTGGCATGATCATGGCTCACTGCAGCCTTGACCTCACAGGCTCAAGCAATCCTCCCATCTCAGCCTCCTGAGTAGCTGGGACCACAGGCTCATGCCACTATATACAACTAATTTTTAAAAAATTTATAATAACAGGGTTTCGTTATCTTGACCAGACTGGTCTTGAATTCCTGGCCTCAAGCAATCCTCTGGCCTTGGCCTCCCGAAGTGCTGGGATTACAGGTGTGAACCCCCACCCTCAGCTGTAAATTTATATTTAAACCGTAGCTCATGTAGGTCTTAAAGTCTAGATGATGGAAAATTACACCAAGAAAAAAGTGCTCAGTAACCTCAGAATCTTGCCGGAAGTCCTACAGGTGTCTCTTTTCACGCCCCTTTTCTATTCCTGGGTTGGGGGTGGGTGTCAGGGTCCAGTGTCCATGAGTGTGTGAGTGTGTCCACGGGGAACCTTCTGGCTTGATCCCCACTCAGGTCTGTTTTCATCATTGGGTCCTACCTCACCTACACCAGCAAAGGCAGTGCGAGGGCTTTTTAGGCCCGAGTCTCTGTTTGTTAAGGTCATGCTGCCAAGGCTGGCAACCCCCTGGGCCACCTGAGAATGTGCTGACCTGGAAAGAGATAGCAGAGAACCAAATACCATGTTGAATAAAGCATAGCCTTCCATGCACAGTGACCTCTCCTGTTTGTCCCCTCCCTAAGCAGCTGGGATGTGCTGTGTGTGGAGCTCAGCTCCTCTCAGAAGGGCAAGATCACTGGGGAGGGGCAGGTGCTGATTTATGGGCTGAGCAGCCAGATAAGTGGCCTGCAGACACAATGGCCAGGCCCCAGGAAACACTCATATTTATTTCATTAAATCAACGTACAAAATGTTACACAAAGAAATGATCTGGAGACACCTTGTGAGAATAAAAAGACATGTGGCCAAGAAAGGATCCCGGGGGAAATGGCCTCACCAGGTCGAGATGCTGGGCAGGAGGCACGTGAAGGGCCGGAGGGGCTCGGAGCCTGCAGGGGCTATGCTGGGGGGTGCGGAGGTGCCCAAGCTGAGGAATAGGCCAGAAGGTCCAGTCCCCATTGGGATCAGACTGGGAGGTACTAGGATTTTGGAGAGAGTTGAAGGGTATCCATCCCCAAATTCATGCCCACTTGGAACTTCAGAATATGAGCTTATTTGAAAATTGCAGTTTTGGACATACGATTAATTAAGGATCTTGAGAGAAAAAATCATCCAGAATTTAGGGTGGGTCCTTAAATCCAGTGACTGGTGTCCTCTTAAGAAGAGGTGAGGACACAGAGAGACAGGAGGCCTGCTGAAGACAGAGGCGGAGAGTGGAGTGATACAGCCACTAGCCGAGGAAGGCCCGGAGGCACTGGAAGCTGGGGGGATTCTCTCCCAGAGCCTTCTGAGAACAAGGCCCTCCATGCCTTGATTTTGGACTTCAACCTCCAGAACAGTAAGAAAATAAACTTCTGTTGTTTTAAGGCACTCTGCGGCAATTTGTTAAGGCAGCCCCAGGAGAAGAGAGAGGAAAGCCTCAGGGCGGAGCGGCAGGAATGCAGTGAGGATCACCTGCAAGGCCAGAGCATCTCAGGCAACCCCTTGGCCTGGGAGGGCAAGGAGGCAGCCACTCTGTTCCCAGGCTCTGTGGGACCCAGGAAAGGATCCAGCGCAGGCAGAGCTTCACAGGCCTCCAGAAATGCTCCTCCACTCTGAGAGTGTGTCCTCCTGAGAGCAGCTGGATGAGCTCTGGCAGGCCAGGGACCTGCTCCCAGGGACAGCCCGTTAAGTCAGTGGTTTCCTAATTTGTGCCATGGTGTGAGGCCCAGGGACAAGCCAGTGGCTCTAAGTGCATCACAATCACTGCTGAGGCTTTAAGCATGCTAATACCCGAGCCCGTGAATCTCGCAAAAGGTGATGCTAACAGGCAGCCAGGAGTGATAGAGGGCCCATGAGAGACCGGAGAAGAGTGCTGCTACCACCAAATCCTCCCCCTCCATCCCCAGCAGCACCTGCAGAGGCTGAACCCTTCCATGGTGGCATGAGTACAGGTTTCACACAGGCGGCTCACAGACCAGGCCTGCAGAAGGGGAAGGGGGCTGGCCCCAAAGACAGCCAAGTCTCATCACAATGCACATACTGGAAGGTTTTTTTCTATCATAAATTTTGAAAATTACTTAGTTGGGGTTTTATATGAGAGAACCACTGCAGACATGAATCTCATCTGGCTGTGACTCTTGTTTTTTTACTTCTTCAAGTGAGTGGATTTAGATGAGGTGATGGGCAGGGTGTTGAGAGGCCAGAGAGTACATGTGTCATGAGAACACATGTGTGTATGTGTGTTTGGGGGTGAGGAGGTAAGTGTGAGGCAAGAGGAGGTAGAAGACCTGCTCCCCTGAGGCATCTCACGGGGCCTACCAGGTGGACAAAAAGTCTTGAGAGGTCTGTAGAACCCAGCTCCACACACCCAGGTCCTCATGCCAGCCCCTCAGGGTCTCCTGCATGTTCAGTTTTAGACCGAGAAAGAACTCACCAGCTGTCACTGAGGATAGGGTTAAACGCCCCCTCCCTGTCCTTCATGCCCTGGCTGAAGGCAGGGCCAGATTCTGTGGCCAGGCCACTTTCTTCTGCCTCTCCAAACATAGAGTAGGCATTTGACAAACATCTTTTGTCAGAATGAGTGAACGAGAGGGGAGTAGTGGGGCCAGAGACAGAAAGTGTGGGATGGAAAGAGGGAAGGAGGGGTAGATTCCATTCTAGGAACTGTCTGGGCACCTCAGCCAATCAAGGCAAGACAGCTCTGCCAGGTTGTACTGCTGGAAGGATGTCTGAAGGGGTGGTGGGGAGTGATTGCTGTGCAGGGGCACAACTTGGGGTGAGGTAAGCTGAATCCCCAAAGACCCTGGGGATCTTGTCTACTTCTCGAATGCCTCTGCCACCATGTTAGGAAAAACAAACAAAATAACATTTCCCCTTCTCCATCTCCAGAGAATTCATTAAAATGAGCCTCTGTATACACAGAATTGGAGCCCTGGTCTCCCAGCCTAATTACCATTTTTAAGAGCACTGGGAAAGGAATTCCACCTGCTGCAATATTGAAAAAAAAAAAAAGAGAAAGCCTGCGATGGGGAGGGCAGTCCTCTCTGAGGTTTCTCTCCTCTTGTCACCACACTGGGTCCTTGAGGCCTCTTGATCTGATGGGTCTAAAACCCGAGGCCAACTCTCCATGCTGTTTTTTTTGTGTGTGTGCCAGCAGGCACTGGTGATACCAACTATGGTCAGGCCCTGTGCTAGACTCATGAATGCAGTGGTGGGTCCCAGAGGGTCCTGGCCTCAGCCAAGCACAGAGCCCAGCTCAGAGCCAGATGCACACAGGAGCTACTGCACAGTTGAGAGGCTAAACCAGCCCTGAGGATGATGCTATAGGAAAGATGGTCACGGAGGGGACAGAGGATGAAAGGGCCTCGCTGCTCAGACCAAACATGTGCTCTGGGCCTTGATGCATCCAGAGAATTCTCGCAGCAGAGAAGAGAGGAAAGGGCATTCCGGCAGAGGCAATGACATGAGTCAAAGTGTGGAGGCATAACAGTGTCACTCCAAGGGCAGTAGGAGCAGGGAAGTCGGCTGGACCACAGGATGGGGGACAAGCAGTAGGCAATGGGAGACGACGCTGAACATGGAGGTAGGGCGAGATTTTGAGGAACTTGAATGACATGGGGAGGAGATGAGGCTTTGATCCATACTAATGGGACCCACTGCACAGGCCTGGGGGCCCCCTTTGTCACCCCCTTGCCACTGCCAAGAACACCAACCAACCAAGAGTCTCACTGTTTTCAATGGGACACTAACAAGAAGCATTATATGTAACTTAATAGTAAGAAATCAAAATAATATATGAGATCATTCATACACACACATGCATGCACAAAAATAAATGAATACCAAGTCAGACTTCAGAACTAAGTCTGTTGCAGCTGTCATCTTGAATTCAAACCGATCCAGTAGAACTCCCCTCATTAGGAGGACAGGCTTGGTGCTACAAAGCCCTGGCCCAGAGAGGATACAACAAAGACAAAGTGTGACCAAGGTGAACATCCCACAGTCCACACCTGAGGCTGTGCACATCAGCCAGGGCCCCTCTCCCAGAGCCTCTGTCAATTCCTATGGTCAGTTTCACCAAGTCCACTGGCTAGCCAGTATTTCAGACCATAGCAGAGTAGAAGCAGAGGTAAAGTAAAAATTGAGACCACAGCAAAGAAAGAGTAAAAATGAGAGAGAGGCAGACAGAGGGGCTGTATTTAAGGCAAGGAGGATAATTGGTCCAGAGGGAGACAGACAGACTAAAAAGTAGATACAGAGCTGCAGTCTGCAGTGAGCTGTGCTCCACATACTCTGTAAATCCAGAAAGGAGGAGGGACGTCTTAGAACAGCAGTCCCCGCTGTGTTCTATAAATATTTGTCCTTTGAGAACTCGATAACCAAGGGATTCCATGATCAAATACATCTGAGAGATCCTACACACTATATCCCTCTTTCAGTAAATCAAAACTATACACTGATATAGTCAGGCTCCGAGAAGCCCTGCAGCACAGCAGTAGATTTACTTTTGTTCACCCAGTGTTCCCTAAATCTGTACAAGCTCTGAACCCACCACCCCCTACCTCAACTTTTTTTCAAGTAACACCTACCAACACCTCTTGGAATTAGTATCTCACAGAATCCACTAGTGTAGAAAAATGCATTATCATTTGTCTCTATCTAAGGAATAAAACAGCACCTTTTTTCTTTAAAAGAGTTGAAATGATTAAGTTTGGTGCCTTTTGCAAAAAGCTATAATTGCATGGAAAATTCACTTTACTTGCACAAACCTCCCTACTCACCAGTGGTGCCAGGAAAGTGACATGTTATTAACCCCCAAGAACTTGGCCTTCAGGGCACCTGGAACCACCTCTGGGCCTCTGGTTGACCCCAGACTACGCCTCCAGGGCCAGGAGCTGCAGAGGTCACCGCATCCAGCCTCCTGCCCATGTAGGGCAGGGCAAGCTCATCGCACCAGCCTCTCCAGGGAAGGAAGTGCCTCAGCAACCGTGTGTGTGTGTGTGCGCGCGTGTGTGTGTTTGTGTGCGTGTGTGGGGGGGGGCGGGGGTGAGAGAGAGAGAAGGTCCCAGCAAACATAACCATTACAACCATGCATGAGGCGCAAGTTCGCCTAACACTCTCATTTTCATCTTGTTCCTCTTCCACATGATGACTCCCCTGAACAACCAAACACTATCATGGTTTGGATCTGCCTGTGAGGAACAAGAGAACACAGACTCTCTCTATTTTTAGAATTTTCCTCTGAAAAATGTTCCCTTTACCGAGGGGTGGATTTTCAGAAGGGCTCAAGCTCTTTACAGGGATGGGGCCAGTATAGAGGTGGGAAGCTCCTCCATAGCAAAATGACAGCCTGGGAACCCAGGGCCATTCCACTCCCACCCCAGCTCAGCAAGTTTCAAAGAGAGGTCAGCCACTGCCAGATGATATGGAGGGTGAGCACCCAGGACCTCACCTGGTATGTGTTGTCGAAGCTGTCGTACATGAACCTCGTAATCAGAGACGTCTTCCCGACTGCAAAACAACAAGGAGAGAGGTGTTCAGTCATGGCATCTGAGCTAGGCTCTTCTAAACACACTGCATTTGAAGAAAAGATAACAAAACCAAAAAGCACAGGGGAAAGGCCGAGTTGCAGAAATACAGAAGTGGGAGACAGGCCCCTGCTAGGGACCCCGTGGTGAGGCCACCGAGTCTCTATACCAGGTGGGCTGAGGGCTGTTCCTGCCAGGCACCAGGGTGCTGCCAAGGAGGAGGTATCCCACTGCCCCATGGATTTCCACTACCCAAATCCAGGTCTTCCTTGACCCAGGAGAACCCAGCTGATGCAAGAACCATCTATAAAGAATCAAGGTAAGTGGGTGCAAAACAGGAGGCTCCTCTCGTACTTGCCCATGTACACCTTGTTGTTGGTCATACACTGGAATGGAAGCCTGCCCTTTATTTCCTGTTAATTCAGCCTGAAGATTGGTGGGGACAGTGGCTTTCTAAGGAACCAGGGGCGGGGAGGCAAATGTCATTTCCCCATGTCTCTCATGGACAGGACTATTCTTTGTGTATCTGACCGTCCAGCTCATTGCAGGATGTTTAGCATACCTGGAACCCCGCTAGGTAAATGCCAGGAGGATCCCCAGTCACTGTGACAACTGTAGACTCACTCACACATCTGCAAATGCCCTGTAGGGGCAGTGACACCCCAACTGAGAACAACTGGAACAGCTGAGAGAAAACAGGACGTCTCTTGGGAATCCTACAAATGCTGCTAATTTCCCAAATTGTAGAATTTGGCTTCTGACCTCACCCTGTGCAGCTCCCCTGGGGCCTGGCAGTGACAGAAATGCCAACTGCTGCATTTCTAACCATCTGGGGTGGGGGAAGAGGGCAGTCAAGGGACATTCATTAGGACGGGCCCTGCACGGATGCCTGTCTGTACTGTCCTATCATGTCTCTGCCATGACCCTGGGAGGCTCAGTGGGGAATCTGCCCAGCTGTGCTGGCTCAGAGCCCTTTCTGCACTAGGCTTCAGGAGGACAGGTAATGCTGGCAGGCAAAACAAAAGTACCCTCACCCTCCCATTTCCCAGGCTGGCAGTACATCCACAAGCTGTGCCTGGTGGGGTGGCTGGTCACTCCCTGGAGGGAGCAGGACAAGCCAACAGGACCCCTTGGCAAAGGCCCTTTACCAGCTTTGAGGCCTCAAGAGTGCACCACATAACAGACAAGTGCACTCAGCTCCCAGCAGCCAGCATTTGCTATGGGAAAGATGATCTTCTACCCAGAAGGAGCATCTGACTGACTGTGTTTGGGCTAAATTCAGAAGACCCCATCTTTAACCCAGATTTGGTTAGCTGGATTGAAATCCTATTGGGGTACTTTTCAGCTGTGTCACCTTGAGGTTATCACCATCCCAGGACCTCAGTTCCTCATTTGAAAATGAGTATATTAACATCAAAGACTTCAGGGGGCTGTAGTAAGAATTAAATCAGGTAAAAAGTACAAGGCACATGGGAAATGCTTAAAAGTGGAAGGAGGCAGCAGGTAACTGAGCAAGGTAAGGCAGTTTCCAGAATATCAGATGGAAAAAATATATGTATCACCACCACCCCCAGCCCTCAACTCTGGGCGGCACTCAAGTCATCCCCATTTCACACAATGGGCAATTAGGTGGCAGCTCCTGGCCCAGGGTCAGAGCTGAGTGGGGCTGGGATGTGGCTGCCTGACCAGGTGCTCAGTTCCTATCCAGGTCCTCCTTGATAGGTCATGCTGGGTTCAGGATTCTGCCAGGTCAGGATTCTGCCCTTGTTGGAGAACGCTGACCACCACGCCAACTCTGGGTGGTCAGTGCCAGAAGTGAATTGTAGGGTACCAGCTGGTGTCAGAACAGCCCCATTTTTAAAACAACATTTCTGGGGTGAGCAGAAATGTGCCCAAGATCTCTTCTAATTTTACCTGGAAGCAGCCTTTTCTAAACTTCTGATAGAAACGAGGCTATAAAGAGCATTCTGACTGCTTTAAATCTCCCCTTAAATTTCACATGAAGGTGAGAAGTAGGGGGCCTCCCATACCTGGAGGATCAGCTCTGAGGCCATGAGGCCCCAGGCACCTGGCTGAGGACCACAGAGGGGAAAGTGGGGCAACCCTGAACTAGCAAGAGGCAGATGCATTGGGGAAAACACAGCATCCTCCTTTTTGAAAGGGAGTGGAAAGTTACTGCCTCCTTGGGAAGAGAGGCATCCCAGGGCACGCTGGTCACTTCCCTAGGCAGCGACGCTCTGCGTCTTGCACCTTAGGGAAAGGTGCATGCATCAGGGATCAGGGTGGGGAGATGGATGGGAAGACACTGAGTCTCTTCTCCCCAGGGCCTCCAAGCACAGAGAGGAGAGAAAGCAGGGTCCCAAAAAGCCACTAAGGGCACAGAAATTTCATGGAGTAGCTGAAAACTTGGAAATCCCTGCAACACCTTCTAATGCCAAGGTGCCTCTCCATGAGACACCAGCCACTGGCAGTGGATTAGCACTTGCTCACAGGTCTAGGGGGCAGGAAAACATCCCCTGAAAGTTTTTTACTGGGAATTGTGCAGGAGGAGCTTTTAGGTGTGGGGTCCTGGCCAGAGCTGATATTTTCTATGCATTCCCGCAGTCACCATAATAGGCAACACATGACCCCAGCATTTACAGAGCATGTTCCAGGCACATAGTAGGGGCTGAGTCAGGCACAGAATTGACATGAGAACAGTAAACAGAGGAGACGTGGCACCTGCCCACTGAAGCTTGCAGCAACACTGGGTACCATACCTCCCAGCCCTCAACTCTGGGTGGCACTAATGTCATCCACATTTCACACAACGGGCATTAAGGTGACAGCTCCTGCACCAGGGTCAGAGCTGAGTGGGGCTGGGATGTGGCTGCATGACCAGGTGCTCAGTTCTTATCCGGGTACTCCTTGATAGATCATGCTGGGTTCAGAATTCTGCCAGGTCATTATTGCCACTGCTGTGGCGCTCCAGGGAACAGCCCGTCCCAGGCCAAGTCTGGAATTGGGGGCCTTTCCCCACTTGGTAGGGGCTTGATCCAATCTGAAAGGTCAGAAACTGGTCACTGAGGTGCCCTGGAAGTGCTTTGTGGGGTACAAGGAGGGCTCAGAAAGTGAGGGTTTTAACATCTGGGGCCCAGCACCCCAACTCAGGCTTGAAATGGATGAGGGACTCATTCTTACTTTGCTGCAAAAGGCAATGACTTTACACTATTCCTCTAGGCTCATTTTTCTCATTTCTCGGAGCTGAAGCCTTCTTCCCCACCTCAGAGCCCGCTAAGACTACCCATGCCCTCGTCACTTCTGCCAGGGTAATGTGTGTTACACCCCTGCAGTGGTATCCGAGACCCTTGTCCTCCATGCTTTGTCTCTGGGGAAGTGTCTGCAGACCTGAGGCAGAGCTTATTAAAAGGAGCTCCTCTTGTCCATTTCTGCCCAGCCTCTGCCCATGGTATCACATAAAGGAGCTAGGTGGGTAAGGGGTTGTGCTGTGCTAAGCTCCTCTCCCCTCTAAATGGCAAAGACCCCTTCCTCAGCCCACACCTGCCCTCAACAACTGCCCGGGGTGGAAGGTGCTAGAACCTGCAAATGGAGAACTTGCACACTGCATCTACCTGGCTACTTTCTCAGTCCCCCAACCATAAGGGGTGGGCAGAACCCATCCCGAGCCACCTGACCAGGCACTCCCACTCAGCCTCAGAGGAGCAGTAGCATGGGGCATCCCAGCAGGCCTGCAGCCTGGCAGGTGGAAGAGCCAGGAGCTCCTCCTGTGTCCCCCTGCCTCGCAACAGCTGCCGGAGTTTCTGCGGGAGCTGTCCTCCTGCCAGCTCTGTTCTCAAGGTCACACCGCTGTGCTTCTACCGCAGCTCTCGGACACCACTGCAGCAAAGAGGAGCTTTTTCTGAGGACAAAGATTCAGCTCCACTGGCAGGTTTTATTAAAAATAAGCAGGCAAATCATTATTGAGCTTTTTTATTTTCTCTCTGCTCATGGCTCAGCAATGTTCTTGTAATCTTCTGGTAGTTTAGTCCCACATGATTAAGCAAGGAGATGCATTTCTCCTTTTTCAACCAAATGAGGGTGAGAAAATTCATTACTGAGCATTTACCAGGAGATGCTAGAAAGAAGGAGAGGAAACTCAAACTCTTACTGGGCCTCTATTCAGCAGCAGATGAGAATTTGGCACTTTATTTAGGTTCTCTCATTTAATCCTCATCACGATCCAATGAGTTAGTTATTATTCCAAGGTCACAGAGCTGGGAAGTGGTGGAGCTGGGATAGGAGCACAGATTTGAGCCAGAGTCGATGCCTCATCACTCTGCTGTGCTGGTTTATGTAAAGGTCTGACAGTAGCAAAGCGGCAGATCCCAAAGGCAGGGGTGCAGGTGGCCGGGCAGTCAGGACACCTGCAAGGAGGAGGCAGGGCAGCCACGGGACTGGGAAAGGCTGTGGGTGGGGGTGAAGGGGAATTCCAGACAGAGGGAACAATGTGTGCAAAGGCACAGAGACAGGGAGAGAAAACACTCGTGAGAAGAAACAGAAGGCAACAGGCTAGGTTGCTATGGGGGACACACTTGGAGGCCCCTCAGACTGAGGTTCATCTCAGGGCAAGTGAAGCCAGACAGTGTGTGAGGAAGAGTGAGTAGCAAACATTGTTCATGGAAGCTCCATGTGGCTGTCAGGTTGATTTAAGCCAAACCCATCTCTGGGGCCAGTTGTGGAGGGAGGGAGGGGCAGACAGAGAGAAGTACAAAGGCAGGGGCAGGGGCCACATGGCACAGGCCATGTCAGCCACATGGAGGAGCATGGATTCTCGCCCAAGGGCAGTGGGAGCTTCAGAAAGGATCTTCAGCAGGATGGTGTGAACAGGTGTGGCAGTTCATAATTTCCATAGTGGGCTCATAAAATATTTCCCATCCCATGTGCTCTTCTTACAATCTAACCCTGACATTCCATCAGGGGGTGAATCTGGGCAGGCCTGTGACTATGGCAGAAATGGCCCTGTGGGAATCCCAAGGCTAGCTTAGAAAAAATAGCACAGCTTCTGCCTGGAGTGTGCTCACACTGACACACTCTGGAAGCCAGCCCTGCAACCCAGCAACCATGCTGTGAGGAAGCCCAAGAAGGCCTACAGGAGGGAGACACGCATGCAGCAACCAGCAGACCTGTGAGTGAGCGAGCCTTCAGGTGACTCCAGCCGGCAGACTTCAAGCCGCCTTCAGTGCTGCATGGAACAAAGCCACACCTTCCCTGCCAGGTCCTACTCAAACTACAAATTCGTGAGCGATGTAAATATTTTTATTGTCTTGAGCCACTAAGTTTTGGGGTGGTTTGTTACACAGCATTAGGTAATCAGAGCAATAGACCTGTGCTTTAGAAAAAAGAAAACATGTTAGTCCATTCTCACACTGCTATGAAGAAATACGTGAGACTGGGTCATTTATAAAGGAAACAGGTTTAACTGACTCACAGTCTGCCATTGCTGGGAAAGCCTCAGGAAACTTACAATCATGGCAGAAGGCAAAGGAGAAACAGGCACCTTCTTCACAAGGCAGCGGGACAGAGTGAGGGCAAGCAGGGGAAATGTCAGATGCTTATAAAACCATCAGATCTCATGAGACCTCACTATCACGAGAAGAGCATGGGGGAAACCGCCCCCATGATCCAATCACCTCCACCTGGTCCTGTCCTTGACACGTGGGGATCATGGGGATTACAATTCGAGGTAAGATTTGGGTGGGGACACTCTGCTACAGAATGGCCTACAGAAGCCAGACTAGGGGCAGAAATCTTGCCAGAGATGGAGGATCTCAGTGAACAATGCAGAGGTGGTGGGGCTGGAGAGAATGGGGAGGAGAGCAGGGTACAGGACCAGTGACTGGTCAGATTCAGAGAGGAGCCCAGAACTCCTCCCTGTGACCTGGGTTCATGACCATTAGATGCTAGAGCTATCCCCTGAGCCCAAGACAACTGGACAAGGAACAGACACCAAGCAATCACCTTGGATTCAGTCACTCATAAAAGCCTTCTTCATAATTGTCAGAGCAAAAGCACAAATGCCAGCACTGCATTCAGAAAAAACAATTAACAATAATCATTCAATCCCTTGTCCTAAAGATGTAAGCTTATTTTTCACTATTGGCATCAGCATGAAACAGTTATTTTTCTTACCCTAGTGAGAACTACTGGCCCAGGGGTCTTGCACATCCATGGGGATGTCCAGAGGAGCTTGGTCCCATGTACCCTGGAAATCCCACCAATGCAGGGTGCACTGGATGCTGGCCCTTCACAATCAGCTACCACTGCCTACCTGGACCTCACCAACAGGGGCCATTCACTCCACCAGTGCCCCATGGGCCCCAGGCCCCCATCTCACTGGCAGGTCCCAGGTAAACAGATTCTTGTACATTCTGGTGGTTTCTAGGTAGCTGCAGAGGCCAGTGAGGCTTCTCCAGCCACTCAGCAAACACCCACTGGGGCTCACTGTGTGCCAGTCCTGTTGTGCAGGGCACAGAATTTGTAGTGACAAAGCAGATGCACCTCTGGCCTCAAGCAGTCCATATCCAGTGGTGAAGTGAGACCCAGATCCAAATACTAAAATGCCAGGCAATACGGGAAGGGTCTCCTGAGAGGCCCATGCAAGGAAAGGCCGCTCTGCTGGGGAAATCACAGTAACCTCCTGAAAAAGGCACCATTTGGGCTGAGCCTTGATTGATGGAGATGAGGGGGTCACAGGGAACAACATTCCCGGGGAAGGGACTGGATGAAACGACAGTCATGTGAGGCTGAGATTCCTCTGCTTAAAATCATTTGCCCACATTTCTCCACAGCTGCCACGTGACGCCAAATCCACCCACAGCTTTGGGGCCAGTGGCTATGAGGACTTCTGGTCTTGTCTTGTGCCCACATCACAGTCTGAAAGCTGAGTGGGCAGTAAGTCCCCAGACTCCTCCACTGACACTGCCTCCCTCCACGAAGGACAGCTCTTCTCCCTGTCGCCTCCACAGCGGGTGTGGGTGTGGGTGGAGAGGCTGCTGTAAGGGCCAGAAACTGGGGAGAGCAGGGGGCAGAGCACAGACATTAGCCAGAGACTGCACGGAGGGTTTGCCAGGACCTGGCAGAAGGTGTACCACCCACTAGCTAGCCCCTCACAGAGCCAAGCCAGAACCCTGGCCCACAGTCTGCTCTCGGCTGTGCATCCACACTTACCACACACACCAGCTCTTCAGAGCTCCTGGCCAAACAGTGGGATCCTGATCCTCCTGGGGTCCACAGAGCTGGGCTCAGGGCCTAGGGCCCCAGGAGTTCCGGGAGGAGAGGGCAGGCAGGACAGATGTGGCATAACTCACTGCCATTTCTAAGCCATCTTGGTGGGCTGCCCACCTCTCAGATGCCTGTGTTTTCAGGAAATCAGTCCCTGAGCCAGGAAAAGAATCTCTGCATCCCCGGCCCACAGCCCCCAGCAGCCAGGCCCATTTCAGATAATGTCTGCAGCTTTCAGAAGGTGGTGCTCAGGGCTGAAAAGGCAAGTCTGCTTCCTCATTGTGCAGACCAGTAACCCAGTCCTAGCAGAGACCCGCTGACTCAGCCATCCCATCAGCTCAGTTTCTAGAACAGAAGTGGGAATTGCTGGTATAAATGCTAGGAAGGACCTGCAGAGGGACTCGGCCCTTGCCATGCAGCTGGGAAGGAGGCCAGGCTACCCGCATCCCTGCTGCACAGGGCCCTTGGGGTGAGGCCTGCACCATCCCTGTAACCTCTGCTCATAGTCTACCATTCCTGGCCTGACTGTGAGGTACGGCCCCCAGGCCCTGTGGTGACAAGTGAAACAGTTAGAGACACCAGCTATATCCATCTGAACCTTGTTTCCTTTGGCTCTGTTTTCACCAAACAGAAAGTCCAGCCCTATTCTTCCTCAAAGGTGGGTAAGCTTGGTAGCTGGGCTATCTGCTCCACACCCTACCCTGCCACCCTGGACTCCAAAAGGCAGCCCCAAACTGGGCATGCATCTTTGGCAGCTCCCACTAGAGCCCTGAGGGGCTGGCTGGCTCACCGTAGGCTAAATGAGGAAACACGTGAAAAACCCCATTTCAAACCATCCCCCAAAAGACTCAGATGGTAATTAAGAAATATGCAAAGCTCTTCATTGGACATTTTAATTAAGTGTGTTAATTCCCTCTGCTAGAGGACGCTCAGCCGCCTGGGCCTCACCCAGGGATCCAGAGAAGATGGAAAGGGGAGGGTAGAGGGGAGGGAGGAGTCAAAAGAAGGTGAGGGAGGGAGGGGTTAGCCAGACAGTGGCACAGGCTGGTCTGGCCCAGGCCCTTCTCCTGCACCAGCTAGGAGGCGGACCGATGCCTGACCCTCTCACTTCTCCACTGAGTGCCCCGTCTCACTATCCTGCACCCACCCCATCTCCTCTATCCAAACAGGGGGCCCAGTAAGCCTGCCCACTACAGCAAGAAGGAACAGGGCGAGTGCATCCTAAAGGATCCCATCCACGTAACAGTACATGGACAAGAGCAGAAAAAGGAAAGGCAAAATAAAGGTCCCTTGTCATCACGAAAACTAAGATTCTAGACAGGAGTGTTCCCAGGATGGCTGGTCCTCCAGCTCCTCCTGAACACTTTCAGCAGCTCTGTGGTTGCTGGGGACATGACGGTCTGCTGGGGCTCCACAGGGTGACTGGCTGGAGACTGGAAGATTTAGTCTCAGTTTTCCTTCCTATACCAACACCCTGGACCTCCTCCTGCTTTTTTTCCCCCAGAGGCTCCACCTTTAACACAAAGAGGCAAATTCCAGAGAAACATGCTGCCAGCACAGCTGGGCTGGGAGAGGCCCCATCCTCAGGTACCTGACCAAAGCCCCAGCCGCCACAGAGGAGGGCTCGGCCCCCTCTCCTGCCCTGCAAAAGGTGCTATCATCTTTGGTTTTCTTCTTTTCCTCTCTAGCTTCCTCTCTTCCTGCCTCTACCCCAAGGTTTACTGAGGTACAATCAATAAACAAAAAAATTTATATATTCAAGGTGTAAAATGTGACGTTTTAATATATAGAGAGTTGACCCTTGAAGAAGGCAAGAGTTGGGGCACTGATACCCTGCATAGTCAAAAATCCTCATACGACTTTTTAGTCCCACAAAACTTAACTATTATAATAGCCTACTGTTGACCAAAGCCTTCCTGATAACATAAACAGTTGATTAACAGGTATTTTGTGTTATATGTATTATATACTCTATTCTTAAGATAAGCTAGAGAAAAGAAAATGTTATTACAATCATAGGGAAGAGAAAATAGATTTACTGTTCATTAAGTGAAAGTGGATCATCATAAAGGTCTTCATCTTCATTGTCTTTACGTTGAATAGGCTGAAGAGGAGGAGGAAGGGAAAGGGTTGGTCTTGCTGTCTCAAAAATGGCAGAGAAGAGGTGAAAGAGGTGGACAGGGAGGCAGGACAGGCAGGCACACTGGTGTGAATTTTACTGAAAAATATCTACCTTTAAGTGGATATGCATAGTTCAAACCCATCTTGTTCAAGGGTCATCCATCTATCTATCTATAGTCATGCTTTGCTTAATGAGAGGGATAAGTTCTGAGCAACGCATCATTAGGTGACTCTGTCGTAGTGCAAACATCATAAAGTATGCTTCCCAAACCTAGATGGTACAGCTTACTACACACCTAGGCTATAATGGTACCCTATTGCTTCTAGGCTACAAACCTGCACAGCACATTATTGCAGTGAATACTGTAGGCAATTGTAACTCAGTGGTATTTGTGTATCCAAACATATCTAAACAGCAAAGGTACAGTAAAAGTATGGTAAAAAACATAAAACATGAACAGAGCCATAGGACTGGAAGTCGTTCTGGGTGAGTCAGTCAGTGAGTGGTGAGTAAATGTGAAAGCCTATGACATTACACTACAATAGACTGTACATTTAGGCTACACTAAATCTATTTAAAAATATTTTTCTTTAATAATAAATTAACCTTAGCTCACTACAACATTTTTTACTTTATAAACTTTTTAACTTGTTTTAACATTTTGACTCTTTTGTAATAACACTTAGCTTAAAATACATACACTGTACAGCTATGCAAAAATTATTTCTTTATATCTTTATTCTATATGTTGTCTATTAATTTTTTTTTTTTTACCTTTTAAACTTTTTTTGTTAAAAACTAAGACACAAGCATACACATTAGCCTAGGCCTACATGGGGTCAGGATCACCAATATCGCTGTCTTCCACCTCTCCGTCTCCCACTAGAAGGTCTTCAAGGGCAGTAACACACACGGCGCTGTCATTTCCTGTGATAACAATACTGCTTTCTGGAGGTCCTCCTGAAGGACCTGCCTGAGGCTGTTTTACAGTTCCCTTTTTAAAAAAAGTGAGTAGAAGGTGTACACTCTAAACATAACAACATAAAGTATAGCATAGGCAATACTAGACAACAGGAATTTTTGAGCTCCATTATAATCTTATGGGACAACCTTCATACATGCGGTCTGTCGTTAACCAAAACATTGCTATGCAGCACATGACTATATATACATTGTGAAATGATTACCACAATCAAGCTAATTAACATATTCATTACTTCACAGTTACACGTGTGTGTGTGTGTGCATGTGTTAAGAATACTTAAGATCTACTCGACAAGACACAGACAAATATTGCATGATCTCACTTATATGTGGAAACTAAAAAAGTAGAACACATACAAGCACAGGGTAGAAGGGTGGTTACCAGGGGTCAGAGGTGGGGAAATGGAGGAAATGCTGATTAGAGGGTACAAATTTGCAGTTATAAGAGAAGTTCTGGAGACGCACTATACAGCATGGTGACTCCAGTTAATAATAATATATACTTGATATTTCCAGCTTTTCTTCTTCACTTTCCAAAGCCCCCAGGCCCAGCCTGCACATCAGTCTTGGCCTCAGCCCTTCCATACTCCCATAGAGCCTTATGAGCTCTCAGGACACTGCAAATCATCCCTGCCCTGGGGCTTCTAAACTGAGAGTCCACACCTGACTTGAGATTTCTTCTTGTCCCCCAGCCTGAAGCAGACACTCAGGGCACTAGGGACAATCCATTTCCCTACCTGCTACAGCCAAGTCTGCTGTGAGGACTAATGACTTGGGGTACATTGCCCACAGAATGCATCCCATTACCTTACCCTAAGAAACGCTGGTGCCAAGAGTCAACCCCAGCTTCAAAATCAGGCAGAGGAGAACCGAACGCACTCGTGTGGAGGGAGAGGCAGTACTATCCGGCATGCGACTACTGTGCACAAGGAGTACTTGTACTTATGACTCATGAAAATAAGATTTGAAAACGTAATTATTTAAAATAGTATCAGAATAAAGTAGCTATGTATCAATAACAATGAAAAGCCTCCCAATCCCTCTGAATACCCCTACTGTGTTTGGGGAGGTCCAAAACCATTCTCCCCAGTGTAGGAGCCTCCTCTGCAGCTATTTTGTAGGCAAATAACTGAGGCTTCTCCCAACAGATGTTCACGTAAGACTCTACCAGATTCAACTGACATGAATCTGGTGAGACTGAGAATTCCCTCTGTATTCTAAATTCAGGGGCAGCCATGACATGCATTTCAACATTGGCACCTGCCAGAACACAGCATAGGAGCTGTGTCTCCCCCGGACCAGTTCTATATGACTCGGGCTGCTGCTCCAAGCCCAGATCTCTGACCCTCCCAAGGATTCTATGAACTTCCCAATCATTCCTCTAATACATTCACTGCTTGCTCAAATCTGCTGTATAGAGAGAGTTTCTCTCTCTTATTCACAACTACAAATGCTGAGAGAGATAAAATATAAGGCAAAAGTTATGTAAGCTAAAAAGAGAAAGCTGGACCACAAATTTGCTTACAAAAAAAATCTTGAAAAATCTTCCCTAATTATTGAAGGTAGACTAAGAAACTGTCTAAGCTCCCTGGCAGTCAAAGGGGAAAAAAAGAAGCACAACCAAGGGTAAGATTCACAGTGTTCAGGAGATAAAACTATATCAATTGCCAATATTGAGCTTTTTATAAGAGCTGGGCAGCAGAAAGTTCTCAAAAAGAGTCTGGAGTGCAGAAATTTTGTTGCCACTTGGAGGGCAAGTCTACATATTTATACAATCAACTGGATGAACATCCCAGATGAAAATCAAGGCTGATAACCAGACCACGCAACACTGCCTGCCCAGACTGATGTTCCCTATAAACAAATGAATACACACACAAAAAAAAAAGGTCCCAAGACTTTAGCTCTGGTCAAAATGGAGTAACAGGGACCAGATTTAGCCTCTAACCTGAAACAACCAAAAGACAGACAAGATATATGAAACAACAATTTTCAAGCCACAGGATATTAGGTAATGATGACCCCTGAGATACATGAAACAGAGGAGGGGAGCCCCACAGATTACTGCCCTCAGAAAATTCCAGGCCACAGCACAGGGAGTGGGGACCCAGGTGAAACCCACTGGAAACCCTAGGTTGAAAGGATAGGGCTGAGGCTCAGAGAAAACACAGCAGCTAGAGTTCAGAAGATGGAATACCAGAGAGAGGGAGATGCAGAAAGGGAATGGCAGAGACCTGCAAAGGGTTTCCCTCAAGCCTTCGGCTGAGCACTGATCAGCAAATGTATATGAGGAAACTACTTGAGACTGGGGAAAGACTGCCCAAATGGACTAGAGGAAACAGTGCTTGGCATCCACACCAGGCTGGAGACTGTGCTCTTGCCCAGCAGCCAGAGTGGAAAGTCTCATCATTTACGGGATGCTGGGGAGAGTCCTCAGAAGGGCTGGGCCTCACAGTGGGTAATAATTAGCCATACACTGAGCCCTACTCTGGCCACAGCTAGCAAATCTTAAGAATATTTATAGGAACAGAAAAACTATCCACACACAACAAGGCAAAAATCACAATGTCTGGTATCCAATAAAAAATTATCAGGCATGTAAAAAAGCAAGAAAATAGACTCATAAAGAGCAGAAAAAACAATCAACTGAAACCAACCCCAAACTGACAGAGATGTTATAATTAGCAGATAAAGATATTAAGAAATAGTTATTATATATTATAACTGTTATATAATATATATTATATATAACTTAGTTATTATATATAGAATATATGCTATATACTATATGTTAGTATAATAACATATAGTATAATATGTTTAAGAAGTTACACGGGGTAAAAAATAGATTTTCAAAGACACAAATCAAACTTCCAGAGGTAACAACTACACTGGCTGACATGATTAAACAGATTAGATGTTGCAGAAGAAAAGATCAATGAACCTGAAGACAGTAATAAAAATTACCTAAAGTGAAACACAGTGAAAAAAGAATGACAATAAATGATAAGAACACCAGTAAGCTCTATGATAATGTCAAGTGGTCTAACATCCATGTAACTGGAGTCTTCAAAGGATGAAGGGAGAGGCAGTGACAGAAAAAATATTTGAAGAAATGACTGAAAATACTCCAAAATTAAAGAAAACTATACATCCACAGATTCAAAAATCCCAAGCACAGGAAACATAAAGGAAATTACAGCAAGGCACATCTTAGTCAAATTGCATAGTCAGTGACAAAAAAAATCATAAAAGTAGTCAGAGAAAAAAAGACACATTATGTACAGAGAAACAAACATAAAAAGGACAGTATATTTCTCCTCAGAAACAATGCAAGCAAGAAGGCAATGGTGCAATATCTATAAAGTACTGAAAGAAAAAAACCTGTTAACCTAGAATTCTATGTCCAGGGACAACATCTTTCAAAAACAAAGGTGAGATAAAGACTTTTTCAAACATACAAAAGCTGACAGAATTCATCACCAGCACACTCTCACATCAAGAAATGTTAAAGAAAGTCCTTCAGGAAGAAGTGAAATGAAACCAGATGGAAATGCGGATTTATACAATGGAATGATGAACACAGGAAATGGTCACTACATGTGTATGTAAGATCTTTCTATTATTTGAGTCTCTTTAAAAGATAATTGACTATTTAAACAAAATTAGCAACAATATATTAGATCACAGACCTAAGAAAACATAGAGAAATATCTGCTACCCTGTCAGACGCTATGCAAACCGGAAGAAAATGAAGTGCCACCTTTGCAATACTATAAGAAAAATATTGTCAACACAGAATTCTATACCTAGCAAAAATCTTTCAAAAATGAAGGTGAAATAAAGGCATATGTTGAGACAATTCACTGCTAGCAGATCAACAATACAAGAAAGAAAGCTCTGTGGGCAGAAGGAGCAGGATACCCACACATTCACACTTACATCACATGGGGTCAGCATGTGCACTAAAGTCTGACCGACCTGGGTTTTAATCCTGGCTCTGCCACTCATTTCTTGTGTGATCTTGGGTTAGTTCCTATTCTCTCTGAGGCTCAGCTTTCTTCATACATCCAATAAGGACAAAAATGCCTATCTCACAGAATTGTTATGAATTCTATGAAAGCAGTAACAAGTTAAAATTCAGGGAATCTGGGTGAAAGGCATATGTAAAGTCTTTGTATAATCCTAAAACTGTGTCAAAATAAAAAGTTACAGAAAAAATTATTTTAATTACACGCACACATCCATGTTTCTTAGATTCCTAGCACATTCAGAAAATGGCTTGTTCTGACTAATTAAACATTCTGGTCAGCATGAAATTTTCCTAAGGAACTAGAGTATAACTGTACTTGGCATCAACTCAGGCTTCATGAAGGACCAAGACTTAGCTGGGCACTGGAGAACTGCTCTGCGCCCTTCTAACCACAGGCCAGGAGACAGAAAGCCTGGATCAATCAATTCAGTGGCCAGGGTCCATGTGTAACCACCATGTCTGCACATGCACAGAGATGCATGCAAGTACACATACACACACATGCTCAACTCAGCAGGCATCACAGGCCCTGGTATGGTAGGAACTCTTTAGTTCCCCAGTGTCTTAGCTATGAGGACCGACAGTCAAGGGCAATACCTTCAGGGTTACTTGAAAATCACCTGAGATCTGACCAAACAGCTTGTGTAGACTGCATACCTCCATGGTCAGCTCACTTATGTTCTGAATCCTCTCTGCCTTGCTAAGCCTTCTCACATACACTTGGCAGCTTCAAAAAGGAGCAGGATCTTTCCTCTTGGACCTAAGAGCAGCAGCAGCACCAGCTAGCTTTGAATGCTAGCCACCCTATTCTCATAGCTCAGAGAACAAGAGTCTACATCCTTAGCACACACAGTTACCCTCTGCCATAGCTTCCCTGGAGAGCTAGACTGAAGCAGGCAGAATACAGTCTATTTCAATTGGTTTGAGGCTCAACCCAACTCTGGCCAGACCCTACACAGGCCAATCCTGCCTGTGCATTTGAGCAGTTGCATGGGTGCTGTGAAGAATTAATTCACAGTGAGTATGCATAGTTGTAGAGAAGGAGGAAGTTAAATTCCCACCACCATCTGATCTTTGACAAGGCTAGTATTAATGTAACTTGGTAGCTTATTTAACTGACAGAAGTCTTGGCCCATCCAACCAGCATGGAGTTTGGCAAAGTAATGTATATGCTTTAATACCCAAGGCTTATATACCCAAGGCTTAACTGCTAGTAGTGTTGATGTTAAAAGACTCAGTAATAGGAAAAGAAGGCTGAGGCAGGGAGAATGAGTAAACAGAGTATTGAGAGCGAAACTTGTGTTTCCCAGGTTGTCAGCTGAGACCCAGTCAGAAGGTCTGTGACAAGGCCAATGGGCCCGTAACACCCAACAGTGATGACACAGCTGTGGCCTCGCCATGAGACAAAGCTTGCTCAGGCAAGTGGAAGGAGGCCTCTAGACTGCAGGCTGATGCAGGCAAGGCATCATCCCGGATGCCTGCCCCCTTCTCAGAGGAACCCTTGGCCTTGGCAGCCATAGTGCTGACCTGCTAACCCAGGAAGCCCTGCGGTCTCCATCAACACAGGAAGCTGTCCCTGCACTTCTGCAGCCCCAGCTTCTCTTCCTGTCCTTCCATACACCCTCACACAGCCTGCTCGCTGCTGCTCAACTTTTCTACTTTGCCAAGGAGGAGGGCACAGGCCCTGCCCCTGCCCCTGCAGAGCCAGGTGGTGAGGGGAGCACAAGGGGCAGAGTGAACTTCTAGACCTCTCATTCAGTCAACAGAAAGAACTCTCCTCCTGCCCCCAGAAGGACTCAATGTCACCTGCTCAGGATTGATTCAAGAGTAGTGATGGCCTTTCCAGTGAAATTTAAGAGATGAAGACCACTGACTCTGGGGTGGAAAATGCACTTAGATCCCAAGGACCCTGGACCCGGGAGTAGGCACAGGACCACCAAGCAGGCCAGGAGGCCCACTGTGTCTCTAGCCCTTATGGACTGAGACTGCTGGTCAGGCATTAGGGTCAACAAAGGGCCAGGCTGGGGGGTGGATCAAGGGGAGCTGCGTCAATGTCCACATATCCCCCACTGGACTTGGATGCTTGGGCACCAGGGCAAGGAGATGGTGGCCAGGCTCACCTGTCCCCATGCTGCGAGCTCTGGGTCCCTAAGGTTAGCCCTTCTCAAAAGCAGCACTATAGATGAGCCACAGAGGAGACTGGAGCTGATCTTATCAGAGGAGATGTGAAGAGGGGCCACAGAAGAGGGACCACTTGCCCAGGATCACACAGCACCAGGGTCATGGCCAGACACTATCTCTTTCGGTGCACAGCCAAGGGCTTGACCTCAGAGACTGCTCTTCTTACTCCTGCTTTTGCCACTAATCTGAGCCCAGAAGGCTTACCAATGTGTCCCTGTGTCATGAGGCCCAAATGGAAACACACAACATGGGAAGTGCCAAGGAGCAGCAGAGAGTGAACCACACTAATGCCTGGAGGCCCAGCTTCTAGAAGGATCACAGATGATCAGAGTGACCTCAGAAAATCACGTCATGGCAAGAAGGGCCTAGAGAATATGTGGTCTAGCCCTGCATGCCACAGAGGAAAAATCTGAGGCCTAGAAAGAAGGAGGGTTTACTCAGAACACAAAGACAGAACAGGAAGAAAGAACAATAGCAGATCAAGAACCAGGGCCTGACCCCAATGAGTGCTTCACAGGTTGGACCAGGCTGGCTACTTAACCTGACAGGTCTCAGCTCCTCCTGGACACTCCAATGTCTTCTGTGTAAAATGAGGCCATCTCAGGTGTCACCTTCCTCTAAAATCTTCACCCTATCTGTATTAGTTATCTGTTGCTTTTACAAATACCAGGAATTCAGTGGCTTAAAACAATATATTAATACATTTATTATGTCATATTTCCATGGGTCAGGAGTCTGGACATGACTTCACTGGATCCTCTGCTCAGCATGTCACAAGGATGTAATCAAGGTGTCAGCTGGGCTACATTTCTTTCTGGATCAGGGAGTCATTTTCCAAGCTTGTGTGCTTGTTGACAGAATTTGGTTCCTTGTGGTTGTAGGACTTCCCCCCACGGGCTGCTCTTATTTCCTGAAGGCCACCCACATCCCTTGCCACGTGACCCCCTCACAGGCCCTCTCTCAGCACAGCAGCTTACTTCTTCAAGGCCAGCAAGAGGAGTCTCATAAAGAAACATAATCATGGGAGGGACTATCCCATCACCTTTGAACCTTTGCCGTACAACATAACCTGATTGAAGGAATGCCACCTATCACCTTTGCCACACTATATTTGCTACAAGCAAGTCACAAGTTCCATCTGCACTCTGGGGAGGAGGCTATGCAAGGGTATGACTCACCTGGGGTCACCTTAGGTTGTGTCTACCACACCATCTCACAGTCAGGTTCCTAAGAGATGCAGCCTTTACTCTTTACTCCACCTCTGCCTTTTCTCCCACTGTGGTGAACCGGGCTGATCACCTGGAACAAAACCTCACAGGTCTCTGCCTTGAGACTAAAGCGCTCCTAGCTGGCCTGGGCAGAGGCTGAGTCCTGCCTGTGTGCTTCACTGGGCATCTGCATGCTGCTCTATCCAGTTCTCCCACATCACACCCAGCCCTCCCCCAGGCAGAGGTGGAAGGACCAGCAGACACAGCTGCCCAGGCCACAACTCCAGCTGAGTGTGGTCTTCTTGCTACATGATAGAGGCAGGAGAGGAGCTGAGTTCTTCTGGCCCAACATCTGGGGTGCTATCCTCTTCTGATGAAGATGGGTGAGAGTCAGGGTCAGGTGGCTAGCTAGGTACCTCTTCAGGTCTCCAGTTCACTTCTAATCTGGGCAGCAGCCTGCAGTGTTTGGGTTGAATGTAGGGGAGGGAGGGGAATTTAATGAATCAGAATCAGGGGATAATTTCCAGATCTTGGTGCCACAAGTAGGATTTGCTAATATCCTTAAAATAATTTGGGAGTGGTTTCTCCCCCAAAAGAAACCCTTTGGAGGTTTGCTCTGTTCACAGAAGTGCAGAACCAAACAAAGATCACTAGTGCCAAGACCTGACTCTACTCACAGCAGCCCAGAGACAGTCTGGGAACTGCAGGGTCACAGTGAGGCAGAGCCAGACAGCCTTGGGGAGGAAGAGACAAAGCTCAGTCTGCTCCTCAAAGCCAGTGCTGGCAGCACAGAGGCAGTGTGCTGGAAAACACCCTCCCTCAACCTCCAAGGCAAGGTAACAGCCTTTCTCTCTTCTCATTTCCCCTGCTTTGCTGGGCTGGAGCTCCTCATCTTGTCCTCCACACAAACACAGAACTGGTCCATCGTCCTGTGCCCCCATACTCATCAGTGGCTCCATGGGAACCTCCAGCCTTTCATTAAATTTGGTTAGGACCCTGGGATGGACAGCACCCTGCCCGGACCTTGACCCACCCTGGCTCCCAAGGGCCCTGTGCATGGCCAACAAGCCCCCATCTGTGTCTGGTAGGAAGCAGTGTCTGTGAGCCTCTCCCTTCGGTCTCAGCACTTCTATGGATCTCTCTTCCCCAGTGCCCCTTGCTTCCCCTGTTTGCCCTCTTAGCCCTCCTCTTTTACTGAACAGGGGAAAGAAACAAGAAATGTGTTCTAAGTGCCTCACTTACTGTTTAGTCTATGCAGTGTTTATTCCCCCCACTCACAGACAGGGTCAGAAAAGAACATTTTCTCTTCCTTTCTCAGAATTAGCACAGCCACTCCCAGAGAGAAAGGTTTTCCTTATCTCTAGGGACTTGTCCCTGGTGCACAGGCCAAAGTTGCAGCTCTCCAATCCTGAGCCAAAATGGTCCTCCTCCTGCCTGCCCCAGGGTTGGGGGAAACAGAGGGACCAGAGGAGGCTGGAAGAGGTCAAAGCTGGGCTGTGTTGTTTGTGGCCCAGCCTTCCAAACCAGTTTTTCTCTGGGCCAGCTGCTTCAGGCAGAAGAGCCACCTCTGCTGAGCACCAAGATGAGGGGGCAGCTCTCCTTACCCACCCTGAACTCACAACCTGGCACTGCTCAAAGAGGCCAAGGGTGGTGACTGAAAAATGCTGTAATCATTGATGCTGCAAAATTAGGATTACTCCATGCACCAGCTACACTGGCAAAGGAATACCAAGGTGGTGCTCAGTAACGTCCAGTGGGCACTGCCTATGCAGAAGAACAGGAAGGGCAGGGAGCAAAAGTCATCAGGCCTTTAGAGGGTGGGGTTTCAAAACTTAAAGCAGATCATGAGCTGACCCGTGAGCAGGGGGGTGCACCAATTGACCTGAACAGGCTGCCTTCTCTGGGTTAGGGGAGGGTTCAAAACGGCAGTGTCTGCCTCTACTCTGGCCCCTTGGCTTTCAGCCTTAGCTTTTTGTGCAGCCAGCTTAAGATGGGTCTCTGTTCTCCAAGGCATGGAAAGGGGCACTCCCTTCTACAATGCTGCTCTCTCTCAAGTCCTTGGGGACTCCGGAGCTTGCTGGGGTGATGGAACCCAGCAGACAGGCATAGGGGAAAATATCCAAGAAAGCAAAGGAAGTGATCAAGTGTCCACTGGAAGAGAAGTCCAGTGAGACAGGGAGGGACAGGAAGCTGCATAACAGGGCTAGGGGGCCTCATATAACTAATGACCAGAGGACGGGGGTGCTCACACACCCAGTGCCCAGAGGACAGGACACAAACACACCTAATGACAGAGAATGGAGGACTCACATACCCAGTGCCCAAAGGACAGGGGGCCCCACATATCCCAGTAACCAGAGGATGAGGGGCTCACACACCAATGATCAGAGGATGGGGGGCTCACACACCAATGATCAAAGGACGGGGGATTCACACACCAAATAATCAGAGGACGGGGGGGCTTATATATCCCAATAACCAGAGGATGGGGGGCTCACACACCAATGATGAGAGGACGGGGGACTCACACACCAAATAACCAGAGGACGGCGGGGCTCATATATCCCAATAACCAGAGGATGGGGGGCTCACACACCAATGATCAGAGAATGGGGAACTCACACACCAAATGACCAGAGGATGGGGGACTCACACACCCAATGACCAGAGGATGGGGAACTCACACATCCAATGGCTAGAGGATGGGCTGCTCACACACCAATGATCAGAGGACAAGGGGCTCACACATCCAACAGCCAGAGGATGGGCTGCTCGCACACTAATGATTAGAGGACGGGAACTCACACACCCAATGACCAGAGGAGGGAGGGCTCACATACCCAATGACCAGAGTATAGGGGACTCACACACCTAATGACCAGAGGACGGGGGACTCACACACCCAATGACCAGAGGACGGGGGACTCACACATCCAATGGCCAGAGGATGGGCTGCTCACACACTAATGATCAGAGGACGGGAACTCACATACCCAGTGACCAGAGGACAGAGGACTTACACACCCAATGACCAGAGGATGGGGGACTCACACATCCAATGACCAGAGGATAGGGGAGCTCACACACCCAATGGCCAGTTTCTGGTCATATGCCACATCCAACCTGAGCAGGTAGCAGAGAGGGAGGAGTCCGGAAGGGCTGCCAGCAGTCCCGCAGAACACCCATGGAAGGCCAGAGCAGTCAGGGAACCCAGGGCACTGTGGAGATAGGATGGACAGGGGAGCTTAAAGGGGCTAGCTTTGGTCCATCTGCGTACAGTGTGGCCTTGCAGAGAGAGACAATAGTCCCTCCCCTACAATCCTTCATTGTTCCTGAGGCCTCATTCTAAGAGAAAGAATCAAGAAAATATACATCTGCAGTGGAGCTGAGCTTCAGAACTGGAAGGAAGCTTAAGTTTACAAGCCCTCTCTATAAATTCCATCCTCGGAACGTTTCTGTTCTGACCTAGTTCAGCCACCTGGATCTCCTGCCTCCAATCAGAACACATTCTGCCTTCACCTTCTAATCCATGAGCATGTCCCTCTGGGTCAAAACTCCCCAGTGGATCCCCACTGCCTGCAGGGAGGTCCTCCAGGGCCTGACCCTACTGACTCCCCCAGGCTCAACCCCTTCTCCCCCACTATTTCTCCACCCGCACCAGAATCCCACCACCCTGAACCACACCCGATTCCCCAGAAACCCCAAGCCTTTCACTGCCTGGGCATGGTCAGGCCCTCTGCCCTCAGTGCCTCCCCTTCTTTGCTGGTGAGTTCCTGCTCACTATGCAAAACCTCCTCCAGAAAGCCTTCCCTGACTCCTCCAAGCACATCACGCCCATAGCCTTGCTTGTGTATGTAATACTAATCTTAATACTGGCTGAGATTTGTTGCCTGCTTATTGTGGGCCAAGTACTACCGACCTCACACATCTGAAGGCATATAACCCCAATGCTGCAAAGCCTCTGCCCTTATACTCCACCCTGGCTGAGCTCCTTACAGGAAGTAACGGAGCTGTGAAGATGAGGTACTCTTCCCCTGAGCAGGTTTGGTGGCCCCAGAGGAGCAGGCATGGTGAGTCTGTCCCACTTTTTGCCAGCCTGTCTCTGAGCAGGGATGGGGAGCTGGGGAAAACACTGGCCAGGGAGTCAAAGGGTCCTTCCATCTGTGTAAAAGCCTTCACCTGGCAGACCTTCGCTTTCTTTATAAAATGGGATGAGCAGCTCTTCCTGCCAGATCACGAGGATGTAGACCCCACAGTTCACAATACAGAAATGATCAATGATTCTCAAAATCTCGCACCCTACTTCTGCAATGAGGGAGGAGATGGAGATTGCTGTTACTATTTCATTAACAAAATTACCTATCACCTGAGCTTTTATCATGTGAGCCTTAATCACATGCCATGTATAGATGTACTTGATCTTCCTGGAACCCCAACAAGGTAATGATCAACTTCCTGCACAGGTGAGGAAAATGAGCACAGGTGGTGCCATTGCACACCAACACCATCCATTCAGCAGAGGGGTGGGCTGAGGTGGAAGCCCAGGATGCAGGAGGACCAATATGGTGATGGGGTGGGGGTGGGAGCTGGGGCTGGGGCCGGGTCTCTAAGCCCTCCTAGGTCTGCTGGGGACACCATATACCCCTCTTGGCTCTGTCCTTTCCCTGCCCTCCCAGCTTACCCCTCCCACCAGGCTGTGGAAAGGGGTGCCCCTGGGCTAGGAGCACCTGGGAGGTGTCACCTGCCCTGTCGTCCTAATCATGGTTCCTCTCTGTGTGGAAGACACACCTCCTGGAAGCAGAAGTGCAGGATAGCCCCATCCTTGTTGCTTGGCAACCAGAGCCAAGCACATCTTCAGAAGAAGGGAGCCAGCATGCCCCTCCCCCACATTGTGCCCCCAGGGAGGGTTGCACTCAGGTGTAGGGGGCCAGGAATGCCTCCCAGGAGAGGAGGTGGTAGGCTGGAGAAGATCCTGCATGTGGGACCCAGGACAGTTCTGGGGGCAACAGTCGCAGAGCCCCTGATCCCCCATCTCACTCCTGCAGCCCCTCTCACCAGCAGCATGCTTGTCTCCAGGCTGGGAGTGTTATTGGCTTGGCCTCATACTCAGAGCTGGCACTGAATTGCAGAACCAGAGTTAGAGCTCCACTGGCCCAAGGGGTCACCCAGCCCAGTAGCCTTGAGGGGATACACGGAGAAAGCCAGAGATGGGCTGGGGCTTATCCAACATACAGCCAGCCAGTGACAGACCGGGAATAGAATCAGGGTCTTCAGGGCCCTGGTATCTCCAAGCCAGAAGGGAGGATGTGGCCAGGAAAGGGTTACCCCAGAGTAGGTGGGAACCAGCCATTTAGTTTAATTGGTTCTTCCCTGGTTAGTAATTAGTTCTCAGCTAGAACCATGGCAGTGGGCTGAGGGCTGACTTGGGAGGGATTTAGCTGCCCCCATAGGCTCTATCAACTCCCTTCAAAGCACCACAAATGGAAGAACAGGGTGCCTGCTGTGCAAGACCAGCTCCAGCAGCTCCCACACGGAGACCCTGCTTCCCTCCTCCCTGCTCAGGGCCCCGCAGGTTCCTCTTTAGCAAAGAGCTTGGCACAAACACTCCCCACGAGTCATGCACAGCAGACCTCGTGTCCAGAAGACCTCAGTGTTCTTCTGTCTCCTCCGCTCCAGTCCTAGGCCAGAAGCTGCCTTTGAGGCAAGAGGTCTGATAGTCCACTGTGTTTCTCACAGTGACCTGGGTCTGAATTCTAATTCTGCCACACTCACAGTGAGTCCTTGGGCAGGGCCAGCTCTCTCTGAGCCTCTGCCTCCTGACCCACAAAACAGGGATGATCCCACATCCGTCACAGGGTGGCTGGGAAGATAAAAAGTGCCCTGTGTGGAGCCTCCGGCATAGTGGATGTTCAATAAATGCCACGTGAGTGAACTCATGTGAGGAAGGACACAGGCTGCCATTCTTTTTATGCATTTCCTGGAAGTAACCTTTGCTTTGAAAGCTCTATTCTGCCCTCAGGGGTGAGGTAACATCTGCCTCCTCAGGACTTGGGCCTGTCCCTTAGGTATGTCAGCCCCTTGGGACAGGTGATGGCTGGCCCAGAGCATGTGATCTGGTCACCTGGGCTCCCTCTGGCCTTGTTACCAAGAGATCAGAATAAATAAGTTTTTCTACAAAAAATAAATCACTTTATTAAAATGCTAAATTATGTATATCAGTCAATATTTTTTAAAAAGATCTTACTTTGTTTAGGGCAAAAGTTATGAAAATAATGAAAACAATTTTGAAATCTCAAGCCCCAAGATATGGTAAAGAACATCCTAGGAGTCCTTAAGAGTTGTGAGTCTTCATCTTTTCCTTCCCTTGTTCTAGGAAACAAAGACTGGACTGGCATTCCAAGTTCCCAGGGGCTTCCAGTCCCCAGGCCCTGCTTGGAGCCCCATTTCCTGGCAGCCTGTCTTTCCACCCTAACAAAAGCTGTCCATTTCAGGGCGTGTCTGGTACTTCTCCCTGGCAACCTCCACCAGAGCTCCCTCGGCTTCTCTTCCCTGTGGTGAGAAATGGAAAAGAATGGCAGACGCAGAGAAAATGCCCATCAGCTTTCCCGGTAGTCCACCCTGAATGTTTATGAATTCTGCTGTTCTACCTAGCCTTCTGTCACCTTCCCCAGTGGTTCTGTCCAATAATTTCCCAAAGTTAACCACACTGAAACCAGACAGCCCTACACATTCAATGGCCGATGCATTCGGCAACAATGGACGACTTGGGTGGGGAGGACAGGGGAAATCTGCAGCCTGGATGGGATACAAATGTTACCACCCTTGGGCCTGGCCCCGGCCAGTCTGCAAAGTTTGCAATGTCGGGGCAACATCTATAAAGATAGTCATAGACTGATTTTAGGGATAGAATAAGGAACAAAAGGACAATAAGGTTATTTTGTTATATATATATATATATATATATATATATATATATATATATATATATATATATATATTTATTTTGGGATGGAGTTTTGCTCTGTTGCCCAGGGTGGAGTGCAGTGGTGCCATCTCGGCTCACTGAAACCTCCGCCTCCCGGGTTCAAGCGATTCTCCTGCCTCAGGTTCCCAAGTAGCTGGGATTATAGGCATGCGCCACCATGCCTGGCTAATGTTTGTACTTCTTAGTAGAGACAGGATTTTGCCACGTTGGCCAGGCTGGTCTCGAACTCCTGACCTCAAGTGATCTACCCACCTTGCCACCTTGGTCTCCCAAAGTGCTGGGATTACAGGCGTAAGCCACCACGCCCAGCCTTATTTTGTTATAATTTAATGTGATTCATTATAATCTGGGGGCTGCAAATGATAATGATCATCAGATCATGCAAAAGACAGTAATTATTATTACATCTACGCAGCCAGAACATATTCTAAGTTTCTTTTTTCTTTGCTGGCAAGTTCTCTTGCTATGCATCATCAGATTAAAGGTGCCACCTTCCTCTTATACCAAGTACAGGTTAATTCTCATCCTGGTGTCTGTCTGACTCTCTCACTCACACACATCTGTTTAAACAAATAAAAAAGCAAAGGTTCTGGGCCTGTACCCAACCTCCACAAAGGTGCCCCTTCTTATGCCAGCCACTGAGGAAAGGAGAAAAATTGGGAGGAGAGAAATCAAGAGAAGGAAGCTAAGGCTCAGGGCAACAGGGTGATTTCTTCCAGATGTCAAAGTGAGCTCTGGCAAGCTGAGGTCTGGTGTGTCCCTTTCCACCTCTGGTGGCCTGGTTGTTCTCATGTATTTCTTCAGAGACTAGGAATGAGGAAGTGCCCCCCAAGAACTTCAGGTTTTTTGAGATGAATTGTGAGTTGCGCATGACCAAGGTTACATGATCCAGCTGGGCACCATGGCTCACACCCATAATCCCAGCACTCTGGGAGGCTGAGGTGGGCAGATCACTTGAGGTCAGAAGTTCGAGACCAGCCTGGCCAACATAGTGAAACCCCATCTCTACTAAAAATACAAAAATTAGCCGGGCGTATTGGTGTGGGCCTGTAGTCCCAGCTACTCGGGAGGCTGAGGCACAAGAATTGCTTGAACCCGGGAGGCGGAGGTTGCAGTAAGCCAAGATTCTTAAGATATTGCTGGTAAAAAATCTGGCTTAAAAAAGCAGCAGGTGTCAGGAATTTGAAATAGGAATCCTATTTCAAGCCACCTCAACTTCCTTCACTTTTAATCTACTGATGGGCCATCAGCAAATCTCACACAGCAAGGATAATCTCATCATTTTCAAATCAAGATACTTAATAAGCACAAACTACCTGCAGGTGGGGAGGGGTGAAATGATGACTAAGACATAGACCTCAGAAGATGCTTAAAATTCAATTACGGTTTTTGTACCTGAAAAAGTTAACATTTTAAAATCCTTAGCTAACAGAGACAACAGAAGACAGGTCATGGGGAAGCATATGATTGTATTGTATTTAAGAAATGTTCAGAGAAAACCAAAGCTATGCCATGGTGTGTGGCCAGGTGGGCTGGTAGCCCAGGGGAGCAGGAGTGGAAGTGAGCACCTAAGAGCAGGTAAGTCTGGAAATTGGTGGGAGGAGGAAACTTGCTAGGAGGGGCTGCTGGCACATCTACCAGGCTGATGAAGGGCTCCCTGCAGGAGGGCAGGTGTTCCATGGTGTGGCTAGTGGGAGGGCAGGGGTCAGGATGGGTCAGGCTGCGGGCAGAGGAGTGAGCCTTCCAGGCAGTGGGGGCCACTGAATGATCATTAACCCTTAACCACAGAGGAATGGGCTGAAAGTACAGGGACAGCCCCAACTCAGTACCACCAAGCCAGATACCTGAGAGTCACCCTTGTCCTCTGAACCTCCACCTCATACACTTTCTACAGGGCAGAGCAGAAGAACAGGCAAGGCCCTCTGGGTAGGGTGGGCTTGTTCCAAGACCTACTTTCTACACACAGCCCAAAGATGAAGTAGCAGTAGCCTACTGCCTATAGAAGCATCCCTTGCTAGCCTACGGAAGCTGCCTCTGACACCAGCCCCCAGAGGCGGGTCAGGCGCCCCTGCTCTAGGCCCCAGTAGCAGCTGTTCTTCTCTCATCATGGCTCTCATAGACCTTTACTGTAATTATATCCACAAATGTCTGTGCTCCCAGTGGACTATAAGTTCCAGGAGGGCAGGAATACGCTCAAAGAATAAATAAATAAACAGATAATGGAGGGAGGACAGGAGAGAGAAGGAGTGGGACGGAAGGATACATGAACAAATGACTAAACAACTGAGCAACAAAAAGGCAGCTGCCTGCATAGTCGCTTCATTGCACAGCTCCAAGGAATGCTATTCACAGTATGCTCAACATGGACAGCACCTCCAGCAGCACAATACCAGGGGCAGGGCAGGCAGGTGGCTGGTCAGAGCGAGAAACTGGCCTGCCGTCCTCAGCTAGGAAAGCAGACAGAGCTTTTGCGTCTCCATCCAGTCTTCCTGCTTTTGCTGGAAGAGTCTTGGGGAAGGGGAGGTCAGAAGAAGACAGTGCACAGCAGACGCATCCCTGACCCTTCCCACCACACACACTGAGATGTGCCAAGTGAGGCCTAAAAGCCGACAGAATGCCATTAGAGCTTAGGAGGAAGACGTGGGTCCCACAGGCCCACTCTCCCCTCCTCAAACACCTGCTCCTGCTTGTCTTCTCGGACGCCATCAAATGCCCCAGTCGGGACTGACATATGTCACCCTCCCATGTCTCCTACCACTGCCATCAGCACAGGGGCATACCCAATAGGCCCAGAGAGCCATCTGGCACCAGGGGGACTCCACAGCCTCCCTGCCACAAGGAAATCTCTCATCCTGGGTCCACAGCACCCTCCCCACAATCCCAGCCTGTGCCAAGCTGACACTGTCAGCCAGCCTATATTCCACAGGCCAGGGGGACAGCTGCCAGGAGGGGGGCTCTTTCACTGGCTTGAGGTATTTCCTCCAGAGTGGCTTCTCAAGGGCCTCCCATTCAAACCAGTTCCCTGGTATCTTCAAAGACCTGATGTCCACCTGCGATTATCTGGCCCAGGGTGTGCTCCACACCCTGGTCCATGCACGCCACTCTTCTTGGGAATCCATTGCCCTTGCCCACCAGGCTAGAGAAATGCCACCATTATGCTAGGCACAGGAAATAAGATAAAGCCACATCCCTCCAGCTCCTTCCCCTGGCCCATCTCCAGGGCACTCGGCTCATATCGGCAAGCCCATGCTGCTCTGAAAGACTCCGCTGAGCTCAGCTGGCCCAAGTCCCCCATGCACAGAAGATAAGGGACCTCTGAGGTCATATAAAAAGAGCGAGCCAGGGCCAGCGTGAGGGCCAGCCCTCAGGTGGCTCTCTCCACTGCACAGGCTGCAGAGAATGCTGGCACAAATGACCAACAGATGCAAAACTGTGCAGGCAAGGTAGAAGAAGCGGCTGTGGAGGTGACTCCCCATCCCATAAGGCTTAGAGATGCACATACATGTCCCCTACCTAACTCAAAAGCTGTGTAAAACCTAAAAGAACCCACTAACAATGCAACAAATTGGAAACAGGCTTTTCAGGGCCTTGGGACTCCCTGACAGAAGGCACCAGGGTGGCCAGCAGCCCATCTCACTGATAGCAGTGACTCTCTAATGACCATGTTCCAAGGGCTCACAACCCTGCTCCTTACCAACTACTCAGCATTCCTACCAGTCACAAGCCCCAACTATAAGCCTGGCTGGACAGAAGCAACCCTTACTCCCTCTTGGGGAGGCTCCCCAGTTGTTGGCTTCCCCAATTCAAGGTCATCTTACTTCACAATGACACGCTAGTGAAAAATATTGGACTGGAAATGAGAGGTGGGGCTCCAGCCCAGAAGCATTAGCAACTCACAATGGGACTCTGGGACTCCAGGCAAGGCCTCCCTGTTCCCTGGGGCTCAGACTTCCCATTTGAACATATGGGAGAGGTGGTGGGTTCATTTCTTAGGCTTCAGCTCTCATTTCTGTGATTTTGGGAGCAAAGGGGGTCTGTGGAGCCCAGCAGGGGCCTCCGTTCATCAGGGATTCTGAAGGAGCCCAGATGTTCCCTCAAACTCACCAGAGACACTTTCTTCACCAAACTCCTAGTCCTTTCTGAAGCTTGTGCAGACTTAGAACAAATGTTTGCTGAGAACCTACCAGGGGCCAGGCACTTTGAGAGGCACTAAAGAAACATGAAGAAGTAAGAGAATTGTCTTCAAGCAACCATTTTTCAGAGACAGAAAGTGAGTCACAGAGAGGCCTCAAATTTTACTAAAGACAACACAGCTAAGAATTCAACCCCCAGGCTGCCTGATCCCTGCAGGTTATCTCCCAGGGCTCCAGGCCGGGTGAGACTAGCACTGGGATGTGAATACCACCAAAATCCCTTCCAGACACAGGGTATGGTCAGCTCTATGAAACTGGGATCTATTAAAAACAGGCAATCAGAATCCAGGGCAAACGCTGGCTGGCTGAGTGGATCTTCTTCTGAAATGCCCAGCCTGTCCCCCAAACCCATCTCCATACTGGGCCTGGACACTACCTTCTAACGTCCTTCTCTGAACCATCCATCTTAGGCAATGAGTATCAGCAGACAAGAGCCAGCCACGTGACCTCCATAACCCTCATGTACACACAGCACAGTAGCACTGTTCCTGGGCCCACCCAGTCCTCCCACAGCTGCCTTTCTTTTGGGCCCCCTTGTCAGAGAGGCACCAACCCAGGTGAACAGGACTGGTCTGCAGAGGCAGAGCTGGGGTCCTGTCCCGCAAGGACAGCCTTCTCCCAGAGCAGAGCTGACCAGAGCTCAGTTTGTCTCCCTGCAGCCCCATGCGAGAGGCCTCTGGAGGGATGCTCTGAAAGCCACTCCTTCCTACAGGTGGCAGAGGGGTCCCTGCCCTTCAATCTGGGCTTCCCGCCTCTAGGGACTAACCTGGTTTTCAGAGATGTTTTCCTGGGGAGGGAGCCGGGCAGCGGAGAAGCAGTCTCCCCCTCCCCCAGCTCTGGCCGACTGCCAGGGTGACCTCCCCTCCCCCAAGAAGGGCGGTGAGCTGGGAGGTGGGGGTGGGAAGAATCCACCGATGCTCTCTGGAGGAGTGCTGGGAAGCTAGGCAGGGCGTGTCGCCTGGGCCTTTCTCTGCCCAGAGCCAGACTTCACAGCCTCTCGGTGTGAGGTGCCCCTGTATCATTCCCCAAATCGCCTCGAGTTGGGGTAGCCCTCACTGCAATTGCCCAGATCCCTGGGCAGCAAGGAGACTAACAAGCGCCGGCGAAGGGCAGCGGGTCTAGAACCTTCTGTGCCCAGTCGGACGTGAGCCAGGGGAGGTAGGCTCCCCGTTCCCCCATGGCCTGCACTCGCTCTTTCGAGCAGAGACAGGTGTCGCTCTTTTCTCCCCGGTGGCTGTTTGTCCCACGCCCTGGACGTGCCCTTTCGCATGGTTCCCAGCAGGGTCCGCAGGGAACACCCCTCCAGTGCAGCGGAGTGAGGCCCGGCCAGACCCCAGCTTCGCTTCGTTCTCCAAGGGGGGCGCCCGTCGCTCTCCCCACCCCCGCCAGCACCCAGCCACCTGCGCGGTCGCCCGCAGCCGGTGCCGCAGTGTGAGCTAGCCAGCGAGCCCGGTTCCTTCACGCCCTGGCCAGCGCCGCGGAGCCAGCCGCCGCCCTCCGGGCCCCCTGCAGCGCCGCACCTGCACCCACACCCCGGGCCCCCCACCCAGAGCCCACCCTCACCTCCACCCCAGGCTCCAGCGCCTCCTCCGTCCTCACCCTTGGCCCCTCCCCAGCCCGACCCCGCCCCGACCTCCCCATCCCTGTCCCTCTCCTCTACCCTGGCAAGGAGGGGCCTTTCCGAGCCTGGGCCGGGGGTCCCAATGGGGTGGGCGATTGGGCGGCGGGGGTCGACTCGGCGACAAGCCAAGAGATTAAGCCGGGTACTTACCGCTCTGCTCCCCCAAGAACACCAACTTGAATTTTCTCAGTGGATTCCCAAAATCTCCCCCTGCGGACATGGTGCTGGCAGCCGGGGCCGGGAGAGGAGGAGGAGGAAAAAGCGAAGGAGCAGGGAGGGGAGAGTAGGAGGGCGAGGGGAGGCGGCCGGCGGTGCGGGAGCCGGAGGGGGAAGGGCTGGCTGCGCGCGTCCCTGACTCCCCAGCTGCGTCCCGGTCCCGGCCTGCGGCTGCGTGTCCGGCGGCGGAGGAGGAGGAGGAGAGAGAGGCGGAGGCGGAGGAAGGCTGGGGCTGGGCTGCTGCGGTCGGCACTGGCTGCGGTGCGAGGGGCGCGCTCTTTACGCCCGAGGCGCGGCGCTGGGAGAGAGGCGCGGGCGGAGCGGGGCGCAGGGACGGCGCGCGGGGCGGAGGAGCGCTCTCCAGAGCCGCGCCAGTCGGCCCCCTCCCGCCTGCCTCCTCCGCCGGCGCCTGCGCTCTGTGCGCTCCCCAGCCTCTGATGTCATGCGGGGCCCGCGGGGCTGCGGGGCTGGGGGGCGTGCGCCCGCCCACCCGAGCCCGCACCCGGGCAGGAGAGAACCTCCTCGCCGTACCCCTGAGAGCCCCCCGGGGGGGACCGTGTCTCGCTGCCCCGCTGCGTCTGTCTTCCCCACTCTACCCCTCTTTTGAATCCAGAAAATGACAGAAATTGTCAGGGGACATTTGTTTCTGGTCTTTTAAACCTAGATGCCAGTCCCTTCCTCCACCTCGCGAGACACCGATGCACAGCGCAGTCGTCCGACCGACAGGGCGGAAAGGAACGAAGGTGGGGGAGAGCCAGGGTGTGGCGAGGCCCGTCAGGGCGGTCAGACCTAGGGAAACCTGGCGTACTTGGCGCAGATGGGGCTCGACTCTTGCCCCCCGTGGCTTCTAGCCCGCCCTTCCCTCTCGAGGCCTAGACCCTTTATTTGGGCGGCCTCTTGTGGAGTCTGTGGGTGCCCCCGCAGACCTGGCCAGCGAGAGAGGAGCTGCCAATATCAGGCGCGCCTACCTCAAACCAGCTGCTCATTTGGATCATTTTATGCCAAATCCTAACCTGCCCCATGGGAGAGAAGGAACGGTGACGCTCTGAATGCCAGTGCCACTATCTCCAGGACAGTGCCCTGCGTTTCTTGATCCCGGGGTCGCCAGGCTGACAATGCCACTCCCCACCCTGGCAATTAGGTGTATCTGGACAATGAGCTATCTGAGGACATGTGGGCGACCTCTCCTTGGCCTCTACTTGCCTGGTCCATCGAGGCACACAGACCAAGTTGTGAGTGAGTGAGAGCAAAGAGCAGACGCCAAGTGCTAGAAACACTCCCAAGACAGCCCGAGCCTAAGGCATGCTGGTTAATTGAGGTTTTACAAAGCTGTCCCTTACTGTTCTGCCACAGCGTGGTCTTGTTCATTTATGGCTGTTCAGTGAGCATTTATTTGAGATAATAATCTGCATGTCGGTGAACACGATGGTGTGTGCACGCATGTGTTATAGAAAGAGAAAGAGGAGTGAGACACAACCTTCACCTCCAGATTTCTCGTGGACACTTGTTACCCCCTTTTTGACTTATGGGGCTTGCTTGGGCAAGCCTATCTGTCTCCCTGGTGTGCTCACCTCGAATCTCTTTCCTATTTCTTGTTAGAAACCTGACCACAAGTTCCATAAAAGCAGTAGTTGAAGCTCCACCACTGCATCCCAAGGACATAGCTCAGAGTTTAAGAAATAGTTGTTGAATGTTTGAATGAACATCTAGAACTCAAATCAAAATAACTGTCCTATTCTCATAATTACCTTTAGTTTGGAACCCCAGGGATTGTAAGTCATCACCTAGAATATCTGCCCCGTTGTGGCTGGCACCAGGCTCAGGGTAACCCTCCAGACACCCACCCACTTCTCTGGGGCTCCTGCTCTCTTAGGAGACCATATCCAGCTTGGGGTTGAAGAAAGCTCTGAAAGGAGAGGAGACTCCCAAGTCACAGCCCTTCCCGTCTCTATAAGTGATCCCTCCAAAGAAGGGCCAGTGAGCTACTGGCCAAGGTACCCAGCCATGCAACACTCCTCCAACCTGCACCTTCTCCTAACATCTAGTGCTGTCTCCCTGTACCCTCTCATCCTGACCTGATGAGATCATCGGTGGCAAGACAAAACAGCTGAGGTGTGCCAGAAAAGGCACCATCTTTTGGGTAAGCCTAGGCAGGTCCTGTACCTCCTCTGATCATCTGGTCCCGCACATGTAAGGTGGTATGGCAGTAGGGGAGGGAGGGCTGGGGCAGGGCCCCTCTGGGCACCTCTAAGCCTCCAAGTCATCCCATATGCTTACCAGGTCCAGCTGGGCTGACTATGGTCCAGCTTACTTTGGGGGACTCTGTCATAATTCTTCCAGTTCAAATGACAAAAACCCGGCTCCGACTACCGGGCTCACGTCGCTGGAGCAGATACTGGCATTGCTCTCAGAATGCAGTCATCATGCTGTGGAAATGAGAGCCTTAGAGACTCCAAGTTTGCTCTGCTCCAAGTCTCTCTCCTCCAACTATCATTGCTTATCTCCCCTGATTTTGAGTCTTGTCCTTAACCTGCCCTAAAGCAGACAGACTTTCTCCAGGTGGAAAATGGGGCCACTGAACCTCAGCCTGGCAACCTCACTAGAAAGAGTTTCTTCCATATCATAGAATCTGTGCATTCCATTTAAAAAAATTCTTTAAATCTTCCTATTTAGTATGTGCTGTGTATATGTAAGTTACAAAGAAAACCTATCACTCTGAGTGCCCATTTACCCTCTACACAGCTGGAGGGCTCAAATATTATAGTACTTTTCAGGCCCCCAGGTGCTTTCTTCTCCTTCCTCCCTCCCCAACTTGGAAATCCAGAATCTTAGCTTTTCTTTGAGTTTTATCACATTGGATGTGTCCTTCACAATACTTTGTTTTGTTTTGCATCTTTTGAATCTTATATAAGGTATCAAACTGTGTTTTCTGTCCTGACTTGCATGTTTCTTAACATCATGTTTCTGAGATCCATTTGTTAATTCATGTAGCAGCAGTTCTTTCATTTTCACTGCTGGTTAGTATTCTAGTTATGCCCCAATTTTTAAATGATTTTCTGTAAAATGTGTCATTTAAAATTTTTATTTTATTTTATTTTATTATTGTTGTTATTATTTTTGAGATGGAGTCTTGGTCTGTCACCAGGCTGGAGTGTAGCGGCGCCATCTCGGCTCACTGTAACCTCCGCCTCCCAGGTTCAAGCAATTCACCTGCCTCAGCCTCCCGAGTAGCTGGTACTACAGCCACGCACCACCAGGTCTAGCTAATTTTTTTATTTTTAGTAGAGCCGAGGTTTCACCATGTTGACCAGAATGGTCTCAATCTCTTAACCTCGTGATCCGCCTGCATCAGCCTCCCAAAGTGCTGGGATTACAGGTGTGAGCCACCACGCCTGGCCTTTTTTAAAATTATTTTAAATAATTTTATACTCACATAGAGGTTATAAAAAACAGTGCAGGGAGTTACTATGTATCCTGCACCAAGCTACCCCAGTGATAACATCTTACATAACCACATTGCTTAGTAAAACCAGGAAATTAACATTGGAAAATGCACTCAGTTTTGTTTCTGCTATTAACAAACAATGCTGCCATCAACATTCTTTACATGTCTCTTGATGCCTCTGTGAAGTTTTTCTAAGATATGTGTCAGTAGGTAAATTGTGGTATAAAAACAAGTGTACGTTTAATTTTGTGCCAAACTATTTTTCAAAGATATTCGTTAGATCATATAGCACTACAGCATCATCTATATTTTTCATTTTCTTCAAGATCTTGGTTTTCCTGAGCCCTTTGCTGTGTTATATATATATATATATATATTTAAATTAAATTTTTGAGATCATTGTAGATTCACAAACAGGAAAAAAAAAAAAGACAGATCTGTATATCCTTTATCTAGTTTTCACCAAGAGTAAGATCTTGCAGAACTTTATACTACAGTATCATAATGTGGATACTGGAATTAAGACAGTCAAGGTACATTTCTGTTCTGTACCTTGACACACAAAGAGCCCTCATGTTCCCCTTTTATAGCCACACCCACTTTCCTCCCACCCTCAACCCCTTCCTAACCTCTGGCAACCACTAATCTGTTCTTCATTTCAATAAATGTGTTATTTCAAGAATCTTATATAAGTGGCATTACACAGTATATCACCCTTTGGGATTGTTTTTTTCACTTCACCTGGCTGGAGCACTCAAATATTACAGTACTTTTGAGGCCCTCAGGTGTTTCTGCCCCTCCCTCTCTCCCCAGCTTGAAAATCCAGAACTGTGGCTTTTCTTTGAGTTTTTATCACATTTGGATGTGTCCTCCAACAATACTTTTTTGTTTTGCATCTTTTGAATTTTATATAATGTCTCAAACTGTATATTCTGTCCTATGACTTGCATTTTTCTTAACATTATGTTCCTGAGATCCATCTGTTGATTCATGTAGCAGCAGTTCTTTCATTTTCCCTGCTGGTTACTATTCCACTGCATGTCCTATTTTTTTTTTCACATAATTCTATGGAGATTCACCCAGGTTATTGTTTGTAGCAATAGTTAGCTCCCTTTTACTGCTGAGTAGCATTCAATAGTATGGACGTACAGTTTGTTTAACCACTCACCTGTGGAAAGGCATCTGAAATTATTTCCAGTTTGGGGCCATTACAAATAAAGCTGTTATGAACTATCATGTAGAGATTTTTGTGTGAAAGGAAGTTTTTATTTCTCCAGGATAAATGCCCAGGAGTGCACTTGCTGGGTCATATGCATGTTTGTTTTTTAAAGGAACTGCCAGACTTTTCCAGAGTGGTTCTACCACTTTCCACTCCCCACCAGCAATGGATGAGCGATCCAGCCTCTTCTCACCCTCATCAGCATTTGCTGTTGTCAATATTTTAAGCCATTATGAGAGGAATGTAGTAATATCTCATTGTGGGTGGTTTTAATCTACATTTCCAATGACTAATGATGTTCAACATATTTTCATGTGATTAATTGCCATCTGTATATCCTCTTAATGAAATGTCTGTTCATGTCTTTTGTCCATTTTTAAATTAGATTCTTTTCTTTACTGTTAAGTTTTGAGAGTTCTTTATGTATTCTAGATACTAGTTCTTTGTCAGATATGTGATTTACAAATATTTTTTCCCACTCTGCTGGAGTGCAGTGGCACAATCATGGCCCACTGCAACCTCAAACTCCTGGGCTCAAGTGATCCTTCTGCCTCAGCCTCTTAAGTAGCTATGACCACAGAGGTGCGCCAGCACACCCAGCTAATTTTTAAATTTTGTTTTTATAAAGACAAGGTCTTGCTATGTTACCCAAGCTGGTCTTGAACTCCTGGCCTCAAGCAACCCTACCACCTCAGCCTCCCTAAGTGCTGGGATTACAGGCATGAGCCACCACTCCGAGCAATTTAACAAGGTCTCTTTCAAAGCAAAAGTTTTTGAGTTTGATGAAGTCTAATTTACTGATATTTTCTTTTATGAATTGTGCCTTTTGGTGCCATGTCTAAGAACTCTTTACTAAGCCCTAAGTCCCAAAGATACTTTCCCATGTTTTTTGAAAAAATTTTAAAAATAGTTTTATGTCTTCCATTTATGTTCATGGTCCATTTTGAGTTACATTTGTGTGAGGTGTAAGACTTAGGCTGGAGGGGTTTTTTTGTTGTTTGGTTTTGGTTTTTTGCCCATGGATGTCCAGTTGCTACAGCAGCATTTGTTGAAAAGATTATATTTTCTCTATTGAATTGCTCTTGCACCTTTGTCAAAAATTTGTTGGTCCTCATTACTGTGGGGTGGTGGTAGAAGTCCAGCCTCCCCATGTGGTCTACGCTGACATTGCAGGTGGGAGGCCTTGGTACTGCCCACTGGAGGCAAAAGTCCTGGCTCCCATCTTGACCTTCTGTGATACCCCCATCCCAGCCAAAGAGTTGGGGCACCTTGATATAGCCTGGCAATGCTAGAAGTCTATATTCATCACTTAGACTTTGCTGGCTAGGTAGGTGTGGGGTGGGAACAGCACAGTTTTTTCTGTAGTGTTTGGCTGGAGTAAAACAAACCCTTCCTGGTCCTTTGACTAGAGAGATCAAGCTTTTATTGGGGCTTGATTTGGGCCTGTGCTTGTTGATGTGTCTGGGTTGCCACCATCTTCAGCTCCAAGACCCAGATATATATGAAGTAAAAAGAAAAACCAAAAAGCTCATCACTGTTTCATTCCTTGGGTCCCAGGGTCTCTAACTGGTTCTGCCTTCTTTTCTGCACCTTTCAGAGTTTTCTTATGTTTGTTTTATTCACAATATCCGGAGTACTCAGTTATATTTAATAGGAGGAATAGGGAAAAGTATCCCTACTTCATCTTTCCACACACACATTTTAATACACACTTATATTTAAACATAACATACAGGCATAAAAGTCAACAAATCACAAGTGCGCAGCTTAATGAATTTCAATAGAATGAACGAACATATCCTGGTAACCACCGCTCAGGTCAAGAAAAAGAATGTTACCAATACCCCAGAAGTCTCCATCATACCCCTCCCAGTCATTACACTGCATTTTCCACAAAGGAAATAACTCTTCAGATACATCAGCATAGATTGGTTTTGCCCATATTTGAATTTTAGATGAGTTGAGTCAAACAATATGTGCTCTTTTGAATCTCTTTCGTTCAGTATTGGGTTTGTAAGATTCAGCCATAGTATTGCATGTAGCCAAAGTAAATTCATTTTCACTGCTGCATAGTGTTTTATTGTATGAATACATCACGGTTTATTTGTCCATTCTACTGTAGAAAAATATTTAGGTTGTTTCCAGTGTTTGGTTATTACAAATTTTGCTGTTATGAAAATCTTGTACATGTTTTTGGTGAGCATATGTACATGTTTCTTCTGGGTACACCTAAGTGTGGGGTTGCTGAAGCATGTATGTTTTCAGATTTAGTAGGTATTTCCAGCTTTCCAAAGTGGTCATATAAAGCATTAGTTGTATGTAAGAGTTCCAGTGTTTCATATCCTTGCCAACACTTGCTATTTTATCAGTCTTTTAATTTTAGATATTTTGGTAGATTTGTAGTGATATCTCACAGTAGTCTTAATCTGCATATCTCTGACAACTAGTAGTGTTGAGCACCTAATCTTATGTTTATTATCCATTTAGATATTCTCATAAGGAAGTGTTTGTTCAAGTATTTTCACATTTTTCTATTGGGTTTTCTGGTCTTTTCTTATTGCCATGCAGAGTACATTATGTTTTCTGGTATTTTTAATAATATGTATGACAAGAATCTTTTTAAAATCTGGATTGCCTTTTTACTTTCTTAATGATATCTTTTGATGAACAGATTCTTTTTTAAATGTAGTCAAATGTATTGTTTCCTTTATTGTTAGGACTTTTTGTGTCCTGTTTAAAAAACTTTTGCCCACTCCAAGATCATGCAAATATTTTACTTCATTTAATAGAAGTTACATTGTATTACCTTTCATATTCAGGTTACAGAACACCTGAAATTGATCCACTTTTTACCATAAGGATATCTACTTGATGCAGCAACATTTATCATCCTTTTCTGCAAAAGGTACTGCAGTTGTACCTTTTTCATAAACCAAGTGACTATAAGTGGTCTGTTTCCAGACTTCTTTTCCGTTAAGTCTGTTTCACTTTCATTGGGCCAACACCACACTCTCTAAATTACTATAGCTATGTTGTAAGTAGTGTAAATTAATCTTCAAAAATTGTCTTGTTTCTTTTTTATATTTTCCAAATACGTTTGTGAAGCAGAGTCTCAATTTCCAAAGACACACACACACACAGACACACACACACACACATACTACAAACTCCTCTGAAAGGGTTTTGATTGAAATTTCATGGACTCTATAGATCAGACTGGGGAAAGTTGACATCTTTATGACATTGAGTGTCTCAACCCATGAACACAGTATTTGCTTCCACTTATTTGTATCTTTAATTTGCCTCAGTGATGTTTTATAATTTTATGTAGAGGCCTTATCATGGATTGATCTTATTGATCTTATCCAGTATCATGTTAAATTCACTTATTTATTGTAGTAGGTTATCTATAGATTCCTTTTGGATTTTCTACATATACAATCATGTCATATGATCAGTTTTTAAAATTGTAGTCATTCTAATAGATGTATAGTGGTATCTCATTGTGATTTTAAATTACATTTTCCCAATGAGTAATGGTATTAAGCATCTTTTCATGTATTTATTAGCCATCTATATATCTTATTTGATTGTAGTTACAGTTTAAAAACTTTGCCAATTCAGTTTCAGTTATTTGTTTTCTTATTGTTTGGTTTTGAAAATTCTTTTTTTTTTTTTTTTTGAGACAGGGTCTCTCTTTGTCGCCCAGGCTGGAGCACAGTGGTGCAATCTGGGCTCACTGCAGCCTTTGCCTCCCAGGCTCAAGTGATCCCCCAACCTCAACCTCCCAACTAGCTGGGACTAGAGATGCATGCCACCACACCCAGGTAATTTTTATATTTTTTGTAGAGACGACATCTCGCTATGTTGCCCAGGCTGGTCTCAAACTCCTGGGCTCCAGCCATTCGCCCACCTCAGCCTCCCAAAGGGCTGGGATTACAGGCATGAGCCACTCACTGTGCCCAGCTGAGAATTCTTTAATATATTCTGCTCACAAATCCTTTTGGGAAAGTGTTATGGTTTCATCAGTTTTCTGGAACAGTGTGTAGAATTGGCATTACTGTTTTTAAAAATTTGGTAGGATTAACCAAGGAAGCCATTTCGTTCTTTTCTTTGTGGGAAGGTTTTTTAAATATGTTAAATTTCTTCAATAGATATTAGATCTTTAGGTTATCTAGTATTTTCTTAAGGTAGTCTTGGCAGTTTGTGTCTATCAAGGGATTTCTCTATTTAAGATGTATAATTTATTGATATATAGCTGTTCAAATATTACTGTTCAAATATTATTATCCTTTTAATATGTATAGAACCTGTAGTGATATCACTTCTCTTCTTCCAGATACTGGTAATTTGTGTATTTTTTCTTTTTTTCTCTCAACATTCTGTCTAGAAGTTTATTGATTTTACTGATTATCTCAAAGAATAAACTTTTGGTTTTATTGATTTTCTCTATTATTTTCTCTTTTATTGATTTCTGTTCTTGTTTTTATTATTTCCTTTATTCTGTTTACTCTGGGTCTAATTTGTTCTTATTTTTCTACTTTCTTATAGTGGAGGCTGATTTATTGATTTAAAATTTCCTTCTTTTCTAATATACAGATTTATTGCTCTAAATTACATTCCAAGTATTAGCTGCATCCCACCAGTTTTAATATGTTGTGTTTTCATTTTAATTCAGTTCACAATCTTTTATAATTTTAATTTTGATTTATTCTTCTATCTATGGTGGTTTTTTTTTTTAGAACAGTGTTATTTATTTTACAAATATTTGGAGATGTTTAAGAAATAGTTTGTTATTACTTCTGATTTTATTTCATTGTGATCAGACACCAAAGTTTGCGATTTATATCCCTTAAATTTATTCAGGCTTGCTTTATGTCCCTGAATATGGTACATCTTGGTAAATATTCTGTGTAAATTTGAATAGACTGTGTATTCTGTTGCTGTTAGGTGAAATGTTATACAAATATAAATTAGATCAAGTTGGCTGATTGTATTGTTTAAGTCTTATATGTTCTCACTGATTTTCTACTTCTATTACTTACTGAGAGAGGGATTTGAAAATCACCAGTTATCATTGTGGACTTGTCTATTTCTCCTTGCTGTTCTATCAATTTTGGCTTCATGTGCTTTGAAACTTTGGTATTAGCTGCATAAAGGTGTAGAACTTTTATGCTCTCTTGATAAATTTGATGCAGGGCAGGAGAGCCCGAAAGAGGAGCTTAGCCCGTGAGGGTTCTCGGCTTTGCCCAGGAAAGAATTCAAGGGCAAGCCAGAGGTAGAAGAAAACAGCTTTATTGAACAGGCAGTGATACAGCTCCAGTGTTGTTAGAGCTCCATGACTGGTCCTGCAGAACAGGGTTGTCCCAAAGGCAGAGTAGCAGCTCAGGGCAGTTTTGCAGTCATAGTTATACCCACTCCTAATTGCATGCAGATTAAGGGGTGGTTTATGCAGGGAAGGGGTAGTAACTTTTGAATCATTGGGTGCCATGGAAAGGGGTGGTAACGCCCGGGTGTTGCCATGGCAACAGTAAATTGACATGGCACACTGGTGGGTGGGTCTGATTGAAAGCTGCTTTCACCCGGGTTATGTTTTAGCTAGTCCTCAATCTGGTCCAATGTTGAACCCTCTGAAGTTGAGTCCCACTTCCTACCTAAAATTGACCCCTATATCCTTATAAAATGACCCTTCTTATCTCTGGTAATGTTATTTCCTTAAAATTTCATTTTGATATAAATATAGTCACTACAGTTAACTTTTTATAGTTTTAGTATAGTATATTTTCCAATCTTTCCCTTTTTAAGCTATTTATATAATTTTTCTGAAAGCGTGTTTCTTGCAGGCAGTATATATTAATATTTGGGTCTTGCTTTTTTGTCTAAACTGACAATATCACCTTCAATGAGAATGGTTAGAAAATTTACATTTAATGTGATTATTGATAGTATTGGCTTTAATTAAATTTATCAATTGCTATTTTTTTCCCATTTGTCTAATCTGTTCTTTGTTCCTTTCTTCCTCAATTTCTACCTTCTATTGGATTGAGCATTTTTTTATGATTCTGTTTTATCTCCTCTGTTGGCTTGTTAGCTATAACTTTGTGGTGTTATTTTGGGGGTTACAATAGGGTTTATAGTATGCATCTTTGATTTAGCATAGCCTACCTTCATATACTATCATACCACTTTACCTATAGTACAAGAACCTTACAACAGTATACGTTAGGTTCATGAGAGAAATGTAAACAAATGTAAAGGTATAATGTTAAATCATAACTGCATATAATTACTGTAGTACATACTGTACTACTGTAATAATTTCATAGCTACCTCTGTTGCCATTGCAGTGATTTCAAGTGTTGTATTTGCCTAAAATACCATGTGATGCTAATCATATAATCATATAAATATACTCATAATATTGTCAGTTTGTGGCCTAAAAGATTAAATTGAATTTGTGATCAGAATATTTTCAATATTTTACATTTATCAAAAAACAATTTCAGCTAGATATGCATAAAATTAGTTTTGGCCAGGTGTGGTGGCTGAAGCCTGTAATCCCAGCACTTTGGGAGGCTGAGGTGGGCGGATCACGAGGTCAGGAGATCGAGACCATCCTGGCTAACACAGTGAAACCCCTGTCTCTACTAAAAATACAAAAAATTAGCCAGGCGTGGTGGTGGGAGCCTGTAGTCCCAGCTACTTGGGAGGCTGAGGCAGGAGAATGGCGTGAATCTGGGAGGCGGAGCTTGCAGTGAGGCGAGATCATGCCACTGCACTCCAGCCTGGGTGACAGAGCGAGACTCTGTCTCAAAAAAAAAAAAAATTAGTTTCTAACAATGGAACATGCTGCAGCAATGTTAAGTAAATAATCTATACTTACTTAAAGTTTAAAACTAGAGACTGATATTTCAAGATTTTTTTAAACAAATGTTAGTCAGATATTCAATAATCAGAGATAAAAATGTCAGTGGGGTTTAAGTTTTCTTACTGGTATTACATTGCATGTGAATCATCTTAATTTGAAATGTCAAGGAAAGAATAAAGCTTACTTATGACCTACCTAGATAGGTTCAATAATTTATTTTTTCTTTTTCTTTTCTTTTTTTTTTTTTTTTGAGGCAGAGTCTCACTCTGTTGCCCAGGCTGGAATGCAGTGGTGCCATCTCAGCACACTGCAACCTCCACCTCCCAGGTTCAAGCGATTCTCCTGCCTCAGCCTCCCAAATAGCTGGGTTTACAGGCATGTGCCACCACGCCCTGCTAATTTTCAAGAGTTTATTTTGAAAGTGCAACCTTTCATAATATGTACAAAATAACAATAGCAATTTGACACATTTTTCTAAAATGAATCAATATGTACAAGATTTTAATTGTAATTGCTACCATTATATAAACTGGCTGCAAAGACTGTAAGAAAAGTTTGAAGAATACTTTTTAATGTTGATAAATTTGGAATTGCCTTTTAATTTATATAATACTCCTTTGATGTGATTTAATAATACTGAGTTGACATAGCTGATTGAATTTTCTTAATTTAGATCTAATTTTGAAACCAATATGCTTTTGCTTTAAAGTCAAATTAATTCTTCTGAAAAAGATGAACTGGTTTTGTCAGTATGAATGCAAATATTAAAGGAAAAGTATAATATTGAAGGAAAATATTTTAGTACTGAATTCACTTATTAAAACACTTTAATGTATATTTGAAACAATTTAAATATGTTAATCTATTCTTATCTATAAATTCTATGAAAATAGTGCATCCAAATTGAAATGTGCTATAAATGTAAAACTACACACTGGATTTCTAAGACTTCATATGAAAAAAACTGTAAAATACCTCTTTAGTAATTTCTTATATATTTGTTACATATTGAAAAAATAATAATTTAGTTTTATTGGGTTAAATGAAATATATTATTAAAATTAATTTCACCTGCTTCTTTTACTCCTTCTTTTTTTTTTTTTTTTGAGACAGAGTCTCGATCTGTCACCCAGGCTGGAGTGCAGTGGCGCGATCTTGGCTCACTGCAAGCTCTGCCTCCCCAGTTCACTCCATTCTCCTGCCTCAGCCTCCCAAGTAGCTGGGACTACGGGTGCCCGCCACCATGCCCAGCTAATTTTTTGTATTTTTAGTAGAGACAGGGTTTCACCGTGTTAGCCAGGATGGTCTCAATCTCCTAACCTTGTGATCCGCCTGCCTTGGCCTCCCAAAGTGCTGGGATTACAGGCGTGAGCCACCATGCCCAGCCCTTTTACTCTTTCTAATGTGACTATTAAAAAGTGTAAAATTGCATACATGGTTCACATTATGCCATTCTATAGAGTCAAGATTCATTTAGGTGTACTTATATAGTTACCAATTTGTTGTTCTACCTTCTTTCCTGCATCTCCATCTTTCTTCTGCGACCAATTTCATTTTGCCTAATAAGGTCTTTAAATGTTACTGTGGAGTTGTCAGTGGTGAATTTTCTCAGTTAAAAAAAATCTTTATTTTGCCTTTATTTTTGAAAGATATTGCTGGGCATAAAATTCAAAGTTGCAGATATTTTCTTTCAATGCTTTGTAAATATTTCATTGTTTTCTGACTTTCATTGTTTTTGTTGAGAAGTCAGTCTTTAGTCTAACTGTTGCTCCTTTAAGGGGGAATCTGTCTTTTATTCTCTGGCTGCTATAAGATTTTCTCTTTACCTTGGTTTTGGAAATTTGATGTGCCTGGGTATGTTTTTCTTTCAGTTTTCCTGGTTAGAGTTCTTAGAGCTTCTTGAATATATGGCTTGATATTTTTCATCAGTGTTGGAAAATTCTCAGATGTTATCTTTCTTTCTTTTTTTCTTTTTTTTTTTTTTTGGAGACAGAGTCTCACTCTGTTGCCCAGGCTGGAGTGCAGTGGTGCGATCTTGGCTCACTGCAACCTCTGCCTCCCAGGTTCAAGCGATTCTTCTGCCTCAGCCTCCCCATGAACTGGGATTACAGGCGCCTGCCACCATGCCCAACTAATTGTTTTATTTTTAGTAGAGATGGGGTTTCACCATGTTGGACAGGCTGGGCTTGAACTCCTAACCTCAGGTGATCCACCCGCCTTGGCTTCTGAAAGTGCTGGGATTACAGGTGTGAGTCACCACATCCAGCCATCAGACATTATCTTTTAAACTATTTCTTCCTCACCACTCTCCCTACTCTCTTTCTGGGACTACAATTACAGATATGTTAGACCTTACTGTATTCCATATATCTCTTATTTTCCATTCTTTTGTGATTTTATGCTCCGTTATGAATATTTTCTGATTAACCTTCCAATCTACTAATTTTTTTCTTTAGCTATGTTTAATCTTTTAAAAATTCATCCAATGAGCTCCTAATTATATTGTAAGGTCTAGTATGTCTGTATATTTGTTTTTAAGTCTACTGTATTCTTTTAAAAATATACCCTTTTAATTGTTTTCTTTTATCTCAAAAATTTTCTAACTTTTTTTTTAATCTCATTAAATTTAGCAAGCATTATTTTAAAGTGTGTATCCAGTACCTTGACTATCTTGAATCCTTATTGGTCTGTTTCCTTTGTGGGTTGGTTTGGGGTTTTTGTTTTGGGGGTGTTTTTTCTTCCTTTTCATTTATGTTTTCCTGTTTCCTCAAGTGTCTGATTATTTTTATTATCTGAGGAATATTGTATTTGAAAAATTGTTTGTATAGAAATAACTTGAGGCCTAGGAAGATGTTTTCCTTCTCTAGGGAGGATTTACGTTTGTTTAGGCCAGGCACCAGGGAATCCTAGCAAATTGGTATTGCTTTAATCCAATTCCAGAGACTGAGCTGATTTGAGGCTGAAATCTCTGTGAGAACTGGTCTGTTGCAGTCCAATCTTATTACTGTGCTGCAATTATTTAGGTTCTCATCCCAACGCTAGGCTATTTCCCTTGATGAGTCCTAGATTCTGACTTTTTACCCCACTCCTTTGAGACTGTCTAAAACACTGATCAGGCTCTCCACTAACTCCTCCAGAATTAATAAATGCTCCCAAGGTAGAAGGAGTCCAAATGTTGAGCTCACCTTTTTGGATTCCTTTTTTATTTTTTTGAAGCTACAGGCCCACTAGTTCTTTACTACCTTGTTATCTCTCTAGTATCTTCAAGCATATCTTTTTTAAAACTGTTCCTAGTTTTTCTTGATATCCTGAATGAATGACCTATTCTTCTTTCAAAAAAGGCACAGGGTTCTTTTTTATGCCTTCTTGTTCCTTCTTCATTTTACTAATATTCTCTTTTACATCCTTGAAGGTATTTCTAATATTTATTGTGCTTATTTTCCACTGTTGGCCTGTGATAAACATTTTATTCAGTTTGTTGTATAGCTTTTATAGTTCCTCAGGTGTCTACTGATTTTGGCTTATGAAATTGTGTTTCCCTGGTGATTATGAGATTCTCAGCCTGATCATGGATAAGGGATACGAATAAAGTCTGCCCCTGCTGGTGAATATGAAGAGAGGAGTGGGGATGAGCCTCAGGATGGAGAGCCTCAGGTATTGCAGAGCTGCTGCTCCACATTCCTTTTGTTTTCATTTCACAGGGAAATTTCTTTAGTCAGGGATTCCTCTTTAAATTTTTTGAAAAATGCAGCACCGAGAGGAGACAGAAATCTCTGGAATGGTCAGCCACCATACATGATGATATGGTTTGTCTCTGTGTCCCCACCCAAATCTCATCATGTAGCTCCCATAATTCCTACATGTTATGGGAGGGACCTGGTGGGAGATGATTGAATCATGGGGGCGGGTCTTTCCCCTGCTGTTCTCATGATAAGGAATGGGTCTCATGAGATCTGATGATTTTAAAAATGGGAGTTCCCCTGTGCAAGCCCTCTCTTTGCCTGCTGCCACCCACGTAGGATGTGACTTGCCTGCCTCCCCAGCCATGTGGAACTGTAAGTCCAATAGGCCTCTTTCTTTTGTAAATTGCCCATTCTCGGGTATGTCTTTATCAGCAGTGTGAAAACAGACTAATACACATGAGAAGGTCATCCACTGTCCTTGAGATGCTCATCCACCATCCTTGGAGGTTTAGAGGAGAATAGGATGGAAGAGTCAATGTCCTATGACACTTGGTCAGCTTGCATTTACTTTTCTCAGAATCTCAATCCAGCATGGCTCCAATATTACCGAGGAACTCCTGAGCGGCATGAAATCTTGGTTCTGATTTCTTTCTTACAGTAGCAGAGGCCACTAGTGACCTTCCCTGGAAAATATGGTAGAGAGGAATGAGCAGAATGTAAAATCTCTACACTATCCTTTCTTCCTACCTCTCAGACTGTTAAATTTTTCACATTAGTTCATCCCAGCTTTAGTCTCTCCAAGAGTTAGTCACAGTTTTAATATTAGTTCCTCCATCTTACTTCCATAATTTCTTTATCATTGAATTTTTGGGAGACAACCAGAAGACAAGGTTAGTTCACTATCTTGTGAGGCACTGGTATCCCTCTTTCTCCTACTTTCTTTTGGTTTTTCAACTCCTCATTCTTCTTATTCCTAGTCTCCTCTCTTCCTCTTTCTCCTTTCTATTTTTTCAACTCTAGGTTTGATTACAGGTTCCCTATCCCTACTTTGCAAATTAATCTGCAAGAGAGTTTTTAAAGTTTATGTTTATTTCTATATACTTTCCTCTTGATTTGTTTTGACTTGTATTTTTCATAAATAGCCTTGATTCAGTCACAGTGGCTCTGTGATTCCCTCATCTGAGTGAGAAACTGAGCTTTTCTCACCTCCAGTTGTTACCGAGGTCCACTTAAGTGGTGCTTCCAGGCTGCTTAACCTACAGAGAGGGTGGGGAGAGAAGATTTAAAACTACATGCAGGCTGGGCACAGTGGCTCATGCCTGTAATCCCAGCACTTTGAGAGGCTGAAGTGGGTGGATCTCTTGAGCCCAGGAGTTGGAGACCAGCCTGGGCAACATGGCAAAACCCCCTATCTACAAAAAATACAAAAATTACTCAGGCATGGCAGTGTGCGCCTGTAGTCCCAGCTATTTGGGAGGCTGAATCTGGAGGATCTCTTGAGCCCAGAAGGTCAAGGCTGCTGTCAGCAGTAATCGGGCCACTGCACTCCAGCCTAAGTGGCAAGTGAGACCCTGTCCCAAACAAACAAACAAACAAACAAACAAAACTATATGCCATCTGGCAAGTCACATTCAGTGCTGGCTGGATGGCCAGAGAGCTTCGTAGTGGGTGGATTGATGGAAGGTTGTGCCCCCAATAAAATCAAGAGACCAATGTGGAGGAGGTCTACATGAGTCCAAATATGGGCAATGTTTCTGCTTCATAGTGTGAGGTCATAATCTCTGCTGATTACTCTTCAATGAAGAGGGAACTGGTTACTGTAAGATTAGAAAATCCAGTTATTGGAGAGATTGTTACAGAGGGCCCACTGTTTAATAGGATACCATAAGTTCCATACTCTGTTGCAAGAAGTTTTATTTAGGTAAGAGACAATTAGGATGTGAGTTCACAAACCTGCTTATCATGCTAATGAGATGCTGTGGTTTTCCCTTGATAGCTGGAAAATGGAATGAGATCAGAAGAGACAGACGGAAACCATTCCCTATTCTATGAAAGATCTGGGTTTCAGAGTTATCAGATAATTTGATGAACTGGTTGGATGAGTATGATGAATTAATAGAAAGGATAGATGATGGATCAGAGATGGAATGGAGTGATCTGTGAATGGGTGAGTTGATGGGTGGGTAGATGAATAGATGAATGTCTGGATCAGTGGATGTATCTATGTATGAATGTATAAATGGTGGATGGAGTAAATTAATATAGATAAATGGATAGATAGGTGGATAGAAGGATGATCGATGGATTGATAGATGCCATACTGAAATGTCTGGATAGAGGAATGGCTACATGTAAATATATGTAAGTTTGCATCATATGTGTGAATGGAGTAATGAAGTAGGTCGCTGGATGTTTGATGGATAGATGGATATAACAGATGAATAGCTACAGAACTAGACAGATGGAAATGATGGATAATGAGCAATTGCATAACTGAGTGGTGGCAGTGGATAATGGGATAGATGATAACAGAATGAGCTCTGAAATTAGACCTGTATTTGCATCCTGACTTCGGATATCAGCTGTGTGACATTGGGTAAGATCTTTTAATTTCTCTAAGCCTAGGAAAAAATTTAAATATTCAAGAAAATAGCCATAACTCACAGTGAAAACTCTAAAGGGAAAATTTTGTTTAAAATAAGTACTTGTCAGAATAAAAACATCGAAGAATAAATATCATTAGCTGAGAGTGGTTCAGGGCTTATTTGAAATTAACTTTTTGTAAATAAAAATTTTAAAAGTGGAGAGCTGTGTTCTAATGTCTAGTGGTAAGACTTGGAAACATCTAACTATGAAGTAATATTAATACAGTCTGGGCACGGTGGCTTATGCCTGTAATCCCAGCACTCTGGGAGTCTGAGGCAGTCGGATCTCTTGAGGTCAGAAGTTTGAGACCAGCCTGGACAATATGGTGAAACCCCATCTCTACTAAAAATACAAAAATTAGCTGGGCTTGGTGGCTCATGCCTGTAATCCCAGCTACTTGGGAGGCTGAGGCAGGAGAATCACTCCAACCTAGGAGACAGAGGCAGAGGTTGCAGTGAGCCAAGATCACGCCATTGCACTCCAGCCTGGGCAACAGAGTGAGACTTCGTATGAATAAAAAAGAAGAAGAAAAGAAATAATATTAATGCAAAACATTTTACAAATTATAGTTACAAAATAAAATATAAATGCTGCTTATGTAAAATGTTAATATGACAATATGTGAAGATGGGGGGAAGAGAAGGAAGGATGCTTTGTATCTAATGTCCTTGTCTTTCATAGCAGGGAATCAAAAGCTAATACCTAAACTGAAGTATGGAATGTAAAAACGATCACTCTCAATGGTTTTTTTTCCCCAAATCTCTTTTTGTAAATATAGAAGATTATTTTGTAAAAACTCTCAAGGCGAATAAACATTTATTTGAAATTTTATAATTTTTTCAAATTCCTTTTGGTTTCTTTTTCAAGTTTTAAATACAAATAAAATTAAATCTGATAACTTATGATAAATAACATATAAAACAATCACATATTTATAAAATATTTTAATATATCTATTTAGAGTTTCTGGAACATATGAACTAAAAAGATGTCTAGAATGATACTCTGCTAATGTAAATGCTAATTATTTATGAGCAGTGGCATTTGAATTTTTTAACCTCTATGCAGTGCTTGAATAATTTATAATAAGCATGCATTCTTTTTACAAAGCCCGTCTTGATTTTTCTTTACATAAAAGGGAAAACTTAAAAAAATTAATGTTCTGCTTATTCTAGTCTTGTCATCATAACCTTAAGTAGTTTATTTGCAAGAATGCTCTGGTAACCTTGTACAGTTTAACTCTAGGCTTTATTGTTAATTCCCTATGGAATGTAACCCTTAATCTCAAGGCCATGGAGACTACAATGCTTGTTTTATTTTTTATATTTGTTGGAGAAAAGTGGAGTTGTTAAGATGCTTGTTATAAAAAATTGTGACTGTTCACTTAGAGTGGCAAACTATATTTGTGGTAGGAAATTGAATGTGTTCATCCTTCACTTGACAAGTAATCCCTGGCTATGTCTCCTCTGGTCTTGCTATAATTAATCTGACAGTTTATAAACTAAGTAGAGTCTTTGGGAATAAGAAATTTAATCGTAAGATTTCTTCCTTAAAAAGGATTTTTGGAAGAATTTATAGATTTATTTCTAAAGAAAACACAGAATCTTTTATAACACTTGAAAGAATTGTGAGTCAGATCAGACTGGGGAGTAGGGAGACGGGGTGCCCAGCCTGCCAGGCTCGGGGCTTTATCTGAAGGTGTGCTGGGATCCCAGCAAACTGCCCTGCCAGCTTAAAGCTAGTAGGAAGCCGATTTTGTTTTGTAATCCCTAAATGATCTATGGAAAGGAAACGCCCACCTGCAGGACAGTTAGGTTGAAACCTAAGGCCTTAGAAACCCTGTCAGTGAGGAGGTGTTCTAGCTGAGAGGTGGTGTATTAATTTCCTATGGTTGTTGTAACAAATTCTGTAGCTTAACAGAAATGTATTCTCTCACAGTTCTGGAGGCCAGAAATCCGAAATTAGTATCACTGGCGGAGATTAAGGTGTCGGCAGGGCCACGTGCCCTCTGGAAGCCCTCGGGGGGAATTGCTTCTTGCCCACTCCAGGTCCTGCTGGCCTTCCTTGTGTGTGCCTGCATCACTTCCATCTCTGCCCCCGCAGTCTCTTCCCCTTCTCCGGGTATTCCTATCTCATCTCCCTCCACTTCCCTCTTGGGAGGACACTTGTGATTGTATTTAGGGCCCACCCAGGTAATCCAGGATAATCTCCTTATTTTAAGATCCTCAACTTAATTACATCTGCAAAGTCTTTGCCATATAAAGTAACATTCACAGGTTCTGGGATTAGAAGATGGTCATATCCTCAGGGGCCATGATTTAGCCTAGCACAGCAGTAGCAAGATGGTAAGATTAAGAAAGAGTTAGACACATTTCTGTCTCCTCCAGAGGCAGCTGTTTCACATCATAGAAATTCAGGTTTCAATCTGAAAGATGAGGATGTGTGCATTTGCTCTACCCTGGATTGTGCAGCCCCCACCTGAGAAAGAGGTTTCCATGACTGCCGCAGACCAAGGCAGAGGCTCTAGCTCTCCCCGGAGCTATCCAGGCACCCTGGCCTTCCTCCTGAAGGTCTCTGTGGCCAGAGGGTAAAGCTTCAGTTGGAGAATACACCCATGCTGCCTAGTCTGAGTGTGTTTGCTCTCTTGGACCTTGGGAGAGGCCAGGCAGGCAGAAGTGGGTGTATTGACCCACCCAACCCCTGTGGGGCTTTCACGCTTCTGGCTTCTACCTGCTTCACTAGGAGTCGGTTCTCACCAAAGTGTCTTTTCTTCTCCTCACTGCACATGGGGCATTCATGTGGAATGTAATTCATATTTAAATCGCACCCAGAGAAAAGTGGGTGCTTGCTGTGTGTGAGTATGTAGGCATGTAGAGCCCTCTGTTTAGATGTGTGCTTTCTGCTTGGCATCCCAGAAACCCCCGTACTTGACCGGTCCTGGCAGCACTGGATGAGTAGACAGGGTCTCCTGGCCTCTCCAACTGCACTGGGGTTAAGTCCCTCTGTTCCATTGTTGAAGGATGAATGATGTTCCCCTTGGACACCCAAGTGCAGTGAGCGGGGAGGAGAAGGGAGGGTGTGTCCCTAGGAATTCCCTCCTGCTCAGCACACATGAATCATGGCCATAGGAGGTTGTCAACACAAAGACGTGGAATAATATTACAGGGGTGTTCAGATAAGCACTTATTTGTAGATTCCTGACACATTGCCTTAACAGCCGGGGCTGATAAACATTTTGTTCCTTCCCCTGCCCTCCATGTGTTCCTGTAGCTCTAATGGGCTGATCTTTGTAATCTCATAGAATGCTGAGTGAAACTGTGGTTTTTAAACTCTGAAATGTATGTAAGCATATTAAATGAGTTTCTTTAAGAAAATCATGGATTGAAGACTGGACTTGATCAAAAAACAAAAACTTTATTCTTCAAAATAGGTACCTTGTGAGTATAAAATTAAACTGTGGGATAATAATTAAGCTTTCGTTTAACAAGTAAGAGGCTGGGCGCGGTGGCTCATGCCTGTAATCCCAGCACTTTGGGAGGCCGAGGTGGGTGGATCACCTGAGGTCAGGAGTTCGAGACCAGCCTGACCAACATGGAGAAACCTCGTCTCTACTAAAAATACAAAATTAGCTGGCTGTGGGGGCACATGCCTGTAATCCCAGCTACTTGGGAGGCTGAGGCAGGAGAATCACTTGAACCCTGGGAGGCGGAGGTTGCGGTTGGCTGAGATCATGCCATGGCACTCCAGCCTGGGCAACAAGAGCGAAACTCCGTCTCAGAAAAAAAAAAAGTAAATATTGTGCTCTGATAAGAGACAACAAACATTTGAAGGTATTTTGGGGTAAAAAGCTATTAATTATAGCATTTTAAGTTCCAGATGAATTTCAAACAGTAAAGACTAAAGTGTTATTACAATTTATGTTAAGTGTTTAAACTGATAGTTTTTTCCCACATAATTTGTTTTCTCTCCTATCAGACAGTGCAGACTGAGAAAGTCACTTCTCTTTTTTTAAGTTTAAAAAAATCAGACTTTTGGCTTGAAGCCATCTCTGGCTAAAATAAGTTGCAGGGCAGGTAATCTCTTACCTGCATGATAATATCTTACCTTAATATGATTATCTCAGACATCATTCAAAACAACTTCAGAAATGTAAAGGTAAATCAGTAAAAGTTTGACAATTGGAAATGCTTTCTATTTGAGGACATTTTAATACAAAACCATTTATTTAAAAAGGTAGTAGCATGCGATCGTATAATTAAACTGTGAGTATTGATTTTAATCTAAAATTTACCCAAAACCTCTAATTAAATCAACCTTTAGGAAATCAAATATTAGGTATGAGTTTTACTTTAAGAATGATTCTATGTTTTATCCCTGGGATGATGGTGCAATTGCAATAGTGCCCAACTGAAATACGTGCATGGCATTGTAACATTGTATTTATTATTATTATTATTTTTTGAGATGGAGTCTCATTCTCTCACCCAGGCTGGAGTGCAGTGCTGTGATCTCGGCTCACTGCAACCTCCACCTCTCAGGTTCAAGCAATTCTCCTGTCTCAGCCTCCTGAAGAGCTGGGACTACAGGCGTGCGCCACCATGTCCGGCTAATTTTTTGTGTATATTTAGTAGAGATGGGGTTTCACCATATTGGTCAGGCTGGTCTCGAACTCCTGACCACAGGTGATCCAACCGCCTCGGCCTCCCAAAGTGCTGGGATTACAGGCGTGAGCCATTGCACCCAGCCTGTAACATTTTATACTGTAGAATATAATACACAGAAGTATATTAAGTATAAATGTACAATTCAATGAATTATGACAAAACAATTTCCCACCATGAATTCAAGAAGTAGAACGTTGCCACAGTCATAGAAACCTCCCTCATGCCCCTCCCCATTACTAAATTTCTCTCCTTCCCAAATTTAACCACTTTTATAACTTACAATATGATAGTCTAGTTTTGCCTGTTTTTGAAATTATTGGTTATGTGTTCTTTTGTGTTTTAGTTTTTCACTCAATGAAATGTTTGTACTGTTCATCCATGATGTTGTGATTACTGTGGTTCATTTATGTTTATTGGTGTATGTATATTGGATATGTTTGTGTATATGTGTGGTATTGTCTCCAGTTTGGGGCTACTATGAATAATGCTGTTAGGACACATCTTAAACGTCTCTTGGTGCACGTGTGCAGTGCATTTCTGTTGAGTATGTGCCTAGGAGTGTAATTTCTGGGTTAGATGATATGCAAGTATTCAACTTTAGTAGAAAATGCCAAAATGTCTTCAAAATGAATACACGAGTTTACACTTCCACCAGCAATGTATGAGAGCTCCTATTGTTCCGTATTCTTGCCAACACTTAGTATCATCAGTCTTTTTAACTTTAGTCATTTTGGTGGGGGTATTGTAGATTCATATTGTGGCTTTAATTTTCATTGCCTTGATGACTAATGATATTAAGTACATTTTAATATATTTGCTGGAGATATCCTCTTTTGTGAAGTATCTGTTTAAGTCTTTTGCCCATTTCTCTATTGGGTATATCTGTTTATTGTTTACATGTAGAAGTTTTGTGTACAGATTCTGGTACAAATCTTTTGTCTGCTGTATAAGTTGGTAATTTCTTTTCTTCTCCATGGCTTGCTGTTTCACTCTTTTAATGGCGTTTTCAATGAAAATAAGTACTTACTTTTAATGTAGTTTAATTTATCAATTTTTTTTATGGTTAGTGCTACTTGTACAATGTAATGTCTTTCTATAAGGGGACATTACTGAGGTGTTCCACTTCTGCTGGGAGGTAGAAAGCTGCACGTGAATGTTGTTCCCATTCTTAACAACAACAAGCTCAGGCAGCCTGCAAAGGCATAACTTTTCATAAATCCATCAGAGAGTTGAGGTTGCATGGCAACCCAGAAACACAAAAACTATTTTACCTTTAGTGAAACACAGGAAGAAGAGGAGGCCACCATCTAAGTGGGTGGAAAGAAATCAGCTAATATTTTCATAAAGTCCTAAAAGCTGAGTTTGGTCTAACATATCAATCGGGAATAACTGAGAGTTCCAGATACGAATTTGCACACACTCACAAGATTCTCCATGGTTCTTCCCTGGGTGCTTATTAGAAAGACGTGGCAGAACAAGAGATCAGAGAAGCCTTCCTTGGGTGGTGCAGACATGCAGAAGGTGATTGGCTATGGCTGAAACACCACCTATTTCCTTCATCTCCTACCTTATACAAACCAAAAGCCTGAAAACATTGGGATGGGGCAGCAAGCCTTCACACCCCTGTGCTATTAGAGGAGGAGTAGGAACATGTCCTAGAACAAAGTACACTCTAGACCTGCCTTGCAAATGCCTAAAATCAAGCCCTAATGAGATCCTTAGAGGAAACAGAATTTGGAGGTTGAGACCCAATAAATTAGAAGGGCTTCACAAATATCTGGGATTTTTATAGATTTTTCCTGACAAAGTATATAAAACCAAGCCTACATAAGTTCAAGGTGGTCAGCTAATAAGTGAACTATCTACTAGAACAAAAATCACCATTCTTTAGATGATGATAGCAGAATCTGGAGTCTCTACAGGATGTCATTCATAATATCCAACAGATACTAAAAAATAACTAGAATAGCAAAGGAAAACGAAAACATGACCTAAAGTCCAGAAATAAAAGTAATCAAGTGAAATTGAGCATGAGATGGCCCAGATGTTGGATTTAGCAGACAGAAAATTTAAAGTAGCTATTATAAATAAGGAATTATAAATTAAAAATAAGGAATTAAAGGAAAATATATTCAAACAACTAAATGAGAATATTATTTTAATGAGTGAATAGTTCAGGAGTCTCAGCAGTGAAATGGAAGTTATTAAAAAAGGATCAAATTGTATTTCTGTAAGTGAAAAATATAAAAACTGAAATTAAAAAAATCACTGGATGGTCATAAGAGTGGGTTAACAGAAGATGGCAGAAGAAAGCTAAATAAACTTAAGACAGAGCAATAGAAATTATCCAATCTGAGGACCACAGAGGGAAAAAAAATGAAGGAAAATGGACAAGACCTGTGGAATGTATCAAATGGTCCAATATGGTTAATCACAGTTCTAGAAGGAGATGAGACAAATATGGGCTAGAAAAAATATTTCAAGATATAAGGCTGAAATTTTCTCAATTGAAAAATAACTCAGTGAATCCCAAGCAAGATAAAATAGCCCAGTGAACTAAAAATATAAATATATAGAGATAAATATAAATAAAAGATAAATATAAGTAAATATAAATATAAATAAAAGCACACTTAGGGACATCATGTCAAATGGTTGAAAACCAAAGATAAAGAGAAAATATTGAAAGCTGCTAGAAAACAAAACATAACAAGACACACTGCATACAGAGATCAATGGCACAAATGGACTGCTAACTTCTCAGCGTAAATAATGGAATCTAGAAGACAATGACATGACATTTTTAAAGTGCAAAAGAGAAAAACTGCCAACCCAGATCTTTATATTTATATCCAGTAAACAACATCTGTCAAAAATAAGTTAAATAAAGTCATTTTCAGGTTAACAAAAGCTGAGACAATTTGTCACCATGAGAACTGTGGTACAAGAAATTCTAAGGGATGTTCTTCAGGCTAAAGGTAAAGGATTCCAGGTAGAAACTTGGATCTATGGAAAGTAATGAAGAAGGCCAAAAATGGTAAGTAGTAATCCAACTCTATAACTTTGGTAAATAGTTTAATATTTCTTATAAAGTCAAATATATACTCGCCATATGATCCAGCACTTCCACATCTAGGTATTTACCCAAGAGAAATGAGAACATATGTATATAAAAGGACAGTAACACAAATGTTCATAATGGCCCCCAAACTGGAAGCAACCCAAATGTCCATCAACAAGTCAAAGGCCGAAACATGTAGATATATGGTATTTATACAATGGAAAACTACTGAGTAATATGAACTTGGCACCAAAACTAGAATTCATAAGAGGAAAAATTAATAAATCAAATCTCATAAAAATGAAACTTTTTGCTTTGTGAAAGTTCAGGTGAAGAGGATGGAAAAAATGAACTAGAGACTGGGAGAAAGAATTTGCCAATCACACATCTAACAAAGGACTAATATTTACAGAGCATAAAGAACTCTCAAAACACAACAGTTAAAAAACAATGTAATTAGAAAATGGGCAAAAGATGTAAACAGACATTTTACCAAAGAGGATATACAGATGGTAAATAAGCACATGAAAGATGCTCAACACCATCAGGGCAATGCAAATTAAAACCACAATGAAATGTTACTACATACCTATCAGAATCACTAAACTAAAAGGGTGACAATATCAAATGCTGACAAGAATACAGAGAAACTGGATCACTCATGCATTACTGGTGAGAATGTAAAATGATATTGCCACTCTGTAAAACAATAGCAATTCCTTAAAATATTAAACATGCAATTATCGTATGACTCAGCAGTTACACTCTTGGATATTTATCCCTGATAAATAAAAACTTTTCTTCCCACAAATACCTACATACAAATATTCATAGTATATTTTATTCATTATTAGCCTCAAACTCAAATCAGCCAGATGTCCTTCAAGAAAAGAATGGTTAACATCATTCTCAGCAAACTAACATAAGAACAGAAAACCCAACACCACATGTTCTCACTCATAAGTGGAAGTTGAACAATGAGAACACATGGACACAGGGAGGGGATCATCACACTCTGGGGCCTGTCAGGGGGTTACGGGGGTTAGGGGAGGGATAGCATTAGGAGAAATACCTAATGTAGATGATGGGTTGATGGGTGCAGCAAACCACTATGGCACATGTACAGCTATGTAACAAACCTCCACATTCTGCACATGTACCCCAGAACTTAAAGTATATATATAAAGAAAAGAAGTGAATGGTTAAACAAATTGTGGTACATCCATACCATGGAATACTACTCAGTAATACAAAAGAGCAAACTACTGATACATGCAACAACTTGAATGACTGTCCAATGAATTATATTGATATTGAGTGAAAAAATACATACCATATGATTATATATACCATATATTATGTGTATCATTATATATACTATATGGTATCCTCATTACCATACCTCTACTCCCCAGGGAACCACTGATCTGATGTCTATCACTGTAGATTAGTTTTGCCTGTTCTAGAATTTAATGTAAGTGGAATCTTAAATATGTCCTCTCACATTAAGCCTTCTGGGTGAGATACATCCATGTTGTGTGTGTGTATACATTCTAGAATATACCTTCTAGAAATGAATTTTAGAAACAAAGGATAGATTTTAGAAATGAAAGATAGATTAGTTACATTTTAGAAATGAAGGATAGATTAGTGTGATTGCCAGGGGCTAGAGATGGGGTAGGAGGGGGCAGGAGGAAAGGAGGTGAGTGTGTTTATAAAAGGGCAACAGGAGGCTGGGTGCAGTGGCTCACGCCTGTAATCCCAGCACTTTGGAAAGCCGAGGTGGACAGATTACTTGAGGTCAGGAGTTTGAGACAAGCCTGGCCAATGTGGTGAAACCCTGTCTCTACCAAACACACAAACATTAGCCAGGTGCAGTGGCAGGTGCCTGTAATCCCAGCTACTCAGGAGGCTGAGGCAGGAGAATTGAACTCGGGGGCAGAAGTTGCAGTGAGCTGAGACTGCGCCACTGCACTCCAGCCTGGGTGACAGAGTGAAACTCTGTCTCAAAAAAAAAAAAAAAAAAAAAAAAAAGGCAACAGGAGAGATTTTTATGGTGATGGAAGTGTTCAGTATCTCCACTGTGGTGGTGGATACATGCAGCTACACAGGTGATAGAATTGTGTAGAGCTATAGACACACACACATATATGCACACACCAATGAGTACAAGTAAAGCTGAAGAAATCTAAAATAAATGGATTGTATCAATGTCGATATTCTGGCTGCAATGTTATAGTGTTGTAAAATGTTACAACTGGGGGTAATTAAGCAAAGTGTACAAGGGATCTCTCTGTATTTTTTTTTCTTTTTCTTTTTTTTTTTTTTGAGATGGAGTCTTGCTCTTGTCGCCCAGGGTGGAGTGCAGTGGTGCAATCTTGGCTCACTGTAACCTCCGCCGTCCCGGGTTCAAGCGATTCTCCTGCCTCAGCCTCCCAAGTAGCTGGGAATACAGGTGCCCACCACCACACCCAGCTAATTTTTGTATTTTAGTAGAGACAGGCTTTCACCATGTTAGCCAGGCTGGCCTCGAACTCCTGACCTCAGGTGAACTGCCAGCCTCAGCCTCTCAAAGTGCTGGGATTACAGGCGTGAGCCACTGTGCCCGGCCACTGTCTATATTATTTCTTACAACTGCATGCAAATCTACAAATATCTCAAAAAATTCAATTAAAAATATCTTGTGGAAAATTAACCAAGCATAGGATAGTTAAGATAGTATTTTCACTTTTTCAGATAGTCTTATCAGCATTTTTATGTGAAAACTGAAAAATCAGACACTAAATTTTTGCCTTCATAGAAACTTAGATGATCTGATTGTCATAATCTGATCCTACTTAAGAAGCTACTTATGGATATAATGGAAAACAGGAATATTCAACAGGCAGTCTTCATGATAAGCCTTTACTAGGTTCATTCTACAAATATGTGACTTTTAAAACTACATATTTTATTAGATATTTAAGATGTAGTAAAATCATTTGAAACACAAACTGATGGGCTTAGGCCATTTGAAATAATGATTTCGTGACTATTAAAGATGTTGATAATGTAAAGATTTAAAAACGATTTTTAAAGTTAAAATTCATTTTGCATGTGGGGGAAGGAATAAACTACTGATTCATACAATAACATGGATGAATCTCACTCGAAGGCATTATGGTGAGAGGACATACTTAAGATTCCACTTACATTAAATTCCGGAACAGGCAAAATTAATCTACTGTGATAGACAGCAGATCAGAGGTTCCCTGCAGGGAAGAGGTATGGTAATGAGGAGACCATAATGGAGCAGGAGAGAACTTATTTGGGAGATGGAAATGTTCTATATCTTAATTTGGATATGGAAGTCACATGGATGTACACATTTATCAGAACAAATTTACCTTATTCTACAAATATATTGGCTGGGTGCGGTGGGCTCATGCCTGTAATCCCAGCACTTTGGGAGGCTGAGGTGGGTGGATCACTTGAGGTCAGGAGCTCAAGACCAGCCTGGCCAACATGGCAAAATCCCATCTCTACTAAAAATATAAAAATGAGCCAGGTGTGGTGGTGTGCATCTGTAATCCCAGCTACTCGGGAGGCTGAGGCATGAGAATTGCTTGAACCCAGGAGGCTGAGGTTTCAGTGAACTGAGATTGCACTACTGCACTCCAGCCTGGGCACCAGAGCGAGACTCTGTCTCAAAAAATAAATAAAAATAAAAATATATGGATACTATTGCATGTAAGTTAAACCTCAAGACAATGATTTAAAAACACTAATGATGCCAAGTTTTCAAAATGATACGGAGCAACTGACTTCTCCCATACCAGTGGGAAGCATTAAATGGCATGACTTTGGAAATAGGCAGTTTCTTACAAAGTTAAATGTACACATACCCTGTGATCCAGCAAGTTTTGCTCCTAAGTATTTCCCCAAGAGAAAAGAAAACATAGGTCCACAGAAAGACTTGTGCACAAATGTGCACTGCTTAATTTTTAAGCAGTTTTATTCACAATAGTAAAAACATTATAAACAAATGCCAAAAAACAAATGAACAGAAAAACATATTTTGCCTAAATGCCAAAAAATAAATGAACAGAAAAACAAATTATGATCTATTTATCCAATGAAATACTACCAAGCAATGAAAAGGACTGAACTACTTATACACATAGCCACACGAATGAATTTCAAAAACATGCTAAGCAAGAAAAACTAGATACATAATGTATTATATGACCCCGATTATATAAAATTCTAGAACAGGTTAAGCTAATCTATAGTGAAATAAGGCTTATTGGTTGCTTGCACAAGGAAGGAGGGTGGAGTGAGGAGGTGGGGATAGTATTGTCTGGAAGGAAGTATCAAGAAATTTTCTGGTGGTCATGGAAATGTTCTATATCTCGATTAAAATGGTGGTTGTGTGGTTGTATACATTTGTCAAAACTCATTGAACAGCAAGTAGGCTTAAAATTAATACTTTTCATTGTTCATAAACTATATGTCAGTAAAGCAGATTTTAAAAAGTCTTTTTAAAGCTTATTTTCTATTGTCTCCAAGTTTTTGGTCTAATCACCTAAGGTTGGAATGCCATTAACTGAGACAGGAAAGTCAGTGAAAGGAGGTTTGGGGAGGACGAGGAGCTCAATGTTGGATTTGATTCTCTAGCAGGCCACAAGCAGTCACCTGGCGATCACCACTTGTTCCTCACATCTTCTGCCCATCCATCCTCAAGCACGGCCAATCTTCCCTGGTCATTATTTCTCAAACAGCCTTTCTTTCCTTCTGGGCTTGTCTTTTCCAACATCCACCTGGATTTCTGGTGTTTTAACTTGACTTTTTTGAGTGTGTGTGTGTGTGTGTGTGTGTGTGTGTGTGTGAAAGTTTTAAATACCTACAAGGGCCAGGCAGATGATGTGGGAACCGCAGCCACCCTGAGAGGACAGGGTCCATCTGAAGGACTGCCCTCTACTCAGCTCCAATCCATTGTTTTTGGGCTGGAATGCTGCACCAGGGTTTTTCAAGAGAAAACCCCAGTCAAACTCTCCCAGTGTTTGGAGCTAACTTAAAGACATGCAAATATCTTGTAGGCCAACTAGAACTCTTGTGCTGGGCCCAGGCTCAGCCAGTTTCCAATGCCTGTTTTATAACAAGGCAAGTTCTGGTGCTGGGATGGGCTCCCGCATGGCCTTTTGCTAACCCTGCATTCTGCGCTGGCTCATCCTGGCTGCCAGGAGCCTGTGGGTGCCTGGGATGCTCCTGCTGCTTGCTGGTCCTGCCCTCGGCTCTGACGTCTCCTACTCTAGTATCCCAGTGGCCATAATGACAAGTAGGCCTCCCTCCTAAGGACCTTTGCCAGCCAGGTTCCCTCTTCCAAGTACACATGTAGCCCCAGTGGCCTTTTACACCCTGAAATCTGGTTGCATCTTGCCTCTGTTAAAATTCTGTCAGCGACGCCCCATCATCCACCAGCAGCACCCTGTTAGTTACTAAAGGAGATGTACATGATACACTCTCTCCCTCTAGAATCCACCACTCACCACGCTCTGCCTGAGGCACCTTGCAACTGGGGGCGCTACTTACACCCTGCCCTCCAGGCAAACATGGTCCAGTTTTCTCATCTCTGAGTCTTCACTCCTGCAGTCCCCTCCGCCCAGAACACCTTCTCTAAGGCCCCTGTCAACAAACTTACCCTATCCTTCCAGGCACAGTTAGAGCTCATCTCTGCTCCAGATCTCCAATCCCTAGGGAACGGGCCTCTTTCACCTTTGTTAATCCACCACATACACCGGCTTCCCCCTGCATTTCCATGCAGGCATCTGTCTGTCTGTTTGCACTTCTCCTTCATGGCACTATTGCACCTGTAATTGATCAGCCAATTGCAGCCACAGTTTGGATGCTTTCTTGGTTGTCTGTCTGCCTTCTGTTTGTCTTGTTCACCTCTATAGGCCTGGTGCCCGGCTTGCCCGGGTACCTGAGTCTGTGACGGGATGGGTACCTGCCCCTTTCCCGGGGTGGACAGTGCCTGGAATGCTGACAACAGTTTCTTTCCGACATGCAAGCCTATCTCGGGGCCAGGCCCCAGGAGGTGCTGTGGTGAAGGTTTTGGGAATTGGAAGGAGGAAGCAGAGGCTACCTAGCCCCCTGCAGTGGCTGAATAATGGTTCCCAGATGGTGCCAGTGACGCAGTGGGGAGGCTGACAGCTTCTGGGTGCGAATGGCCCCACAATGCGGCCGGGGACCACCCTGCTCACGGCCGGTCAGAGAGCCTGAGGAAGCCGTGTGTTCCCGCGGGCCCTCTCGGTGCCTCGTGGCACCTTACTCTCTACTCCTCTTGTTCTCTAACGTGTTTAATACACTTTCGTGCAGAAAACATAAATAGACTAAACGGTGCTTTATCGCGGGCAGTCAGAGAGGAAGTTTTCTCGAGGCTGTGTCCCGTGAGCAGGCGCCGGTGGGCTCAGCCGCCGGGCCCTCCGAGTAGGGGAAGGCGTGCGTGCGTGCGTGCGGTGGGCGCGGGGAGCCCCGCAGGCCCGAGGGCGCCCCGGCGGGGAAGCGGGCTATCGGAGGCGCGCTGAGCCGGGTGGTGGAGTCCCGCCCGGCTGGCTGTGGGGCCGCGGGGGCGTCCCGTGGGCGGGCTGGGCGTGGCGCCTCCGCGGGTGGCTTCCCCGGGCCGCGGCGGAGGGGCGGCGCCCCCTGGTGGCGGAATGCGACTCCAGGGCGCAAGGGGCCGCCCACCCCGCCTCGCCCACCCGGCGGGGGCCTCCGCGCCTTTTCTGAGAAAGCCAGAGGAAAGGAGCCGAGACCGCAGTCCCCTGGGCCCGTTTCCTCGTCTGTGGAATGGCATGATTATTGCATCTCACAGGGCTGTCGTGAAGATTCAAGGAGCAAATGTATGTAAAGCGCTTCGGATGTCTGGTACATTCTGAGCCTTCAACCCACCTGAGCTGTTGAAACTCTGGGATTCAAGCGATTCGGGTCAAAGAGGAACGGTGTGACACCTGCCTCTGTCCTTTCCAAGGTGGACTCAGGGATTGCATACGTCTCATCCAGAACCCCCAGTCTCTCTTTTGTAAGCTGGCGGTCATGAGATGTAATGAGGAAAAGGTTTAAACAAATGTTGGTCCCTATCTGGGACCTCTGAAGTCACTTTTAATGGATTTGGGGATTTTACAGATTTAAAAAGGGGTGCCTACTGTGGCCCATTTATAGACCTGTGGAGCGAAGAGAAGGAGATTAGTCACACTGGGGGCCGGAGTAGAAGCCGTTTTAAATTAGTTGCCCCGCTCTGCCTTGAGACTGAGACTTTCTGACTCTCAGTTTCACCCTTGGGTTCCAGCACCCAGATGAGAAGAGAGAGAAGGTGGAAGAGGAAGAGAGGGAGGGGATAGAGCAGCGGCCACCACCTCTCCCTGAGAGGGCGCAGAGTGGGTGGTTCCCCCCAGGTGAGCAAGGTGGGGGCCCCGTGGGTGTGCTGGGTAGGGGTGGAGTGTGCTGGGAGCACGCGGGAGGACTGCGCCTCTGCTCCTCGGGGTGTGGCGCGGCCCACTCAGGAGCCCCTTCCAGTGTAGACTCCAGGAGGGTACTCTGAGCTAGGAATGCCTTCCTGAGCGTGGTTGGTGGGGGCTCTAAGGCCATTCCTCCAGGCCCTGAGGGGGCAGAGAGACACGTGAGCACTAACCCAGGAGCCGGGACTAGGCTGAGCCCACTACTCACAGCCTGGGGTAAGCCAGCCTCAAGACCCTCCAGGATGGTCTCAGCCTGCATCCGACTGCCTCTCCTGCCTGACCACTGCGCTCCTTCACAGGCCTCTGGCCGGCGAGTTCTCAAGATGTGCAAAGGTTTCCTGCTTCCTTACCTTTGCACACCTTTGCTTATTCCTTTTGCCCAGAAAGTCTTTCCCAGCACATTTGACTCTCTTGAATTCCAGTCTCTCCCGCATGGCTAGGATCAAGCCCGTTCTCCCATCGCTCATCAAATGAACTCAGAGCATAGTACTTTGCCCTGTGTTAAGGTCTTGTCTTAGCTCTGGATTATATGTCCTTGAAGGGTAGGGACCATGTGTTTGTCACCACCTGTCCTTATACACATCAGGTAGTACATAAATCAAGGGAGGCGTGAGGGACAACTGGAAGGAGCCTCGTTTTCTCCATGTACAGGATGGGACTAGTCATAGTGGCCGCACAGGGCTGTGGGAACTCTGGTGCGATTCTGCCATGAGTCACCCCATCTCCTCCTTGCCTGCAGGGTCTCGCTCCATCAGCTGTCCTCTTGGACCCCGCAGCCTCCCCATCCTGTGGCCTTTTGCCCCAGCAAATCTCTCCTCTCTGAAGCCATCCTTTCCTTGACCCTGCATCTCTCTCAGCCACCACCCCATCTCTGCCTCCTCTGAGCAAAATCGTCTTTCCCACCTCCCCAGCCCTCTGCAGACTGCCTCGGCCTTGCCTGGGCATCATCCCCTCAGCTTCAGGGACCCACAATTGGTGCTTCCTCCATTGGGAAATCTTTCCAGACTGTGCTTCCCAACCCCGACAGCCCCGCAAAGCTGGTTTAAGTGTCCCGGTGAGCAACTGTGTCCACCTAGGTTCACTACCCACAGTAGAGGGTTTTAGTGCTCAACCATATCTGCTCTTTTCTTCTCCTGAGCACACAGAATATTCTGTTCCGCTCTTGCGGCAGCTAGGCTGGGAGCAGAGTGAAGAGCGTTACTTTGGGACAAAGCATTGCTTAGCAGTGCGGGATCTTCCAGGACTTTCTTCCCCTGCCCCATCCATCATGGCAGCTTATAATGAAATGGAGGTACCTCAGGTTCCAAACAGTCTGAGTTACTGAGACACTGGTTGGGGGGGCTCTCAGGCCAATCCTCCAGGCCCTGAGCAGGCAGAGGGGCACTACTGAGCCACTGACCTGAGAGTCACCCAGATCACCACAGGTTCTGTGAGCGAGATACCATCTTTTGTTGTGTCAAGTGACTAAGATTCGAGAGGTTTGTTACCACAGCATAGCCAAGCCTTTCCCCACTGATTTACTGATTAAAGAAGTGTTTTAAATGGGTTAATGGCTTGGTAAACTGTAAAGATCTGTGCACATTTTAGTTATTATTATTGCTGTCAAGTTGTAGCAGGGCTGGAGACATGATGTGGCTGGAGAGTGGAGGAATGGCCAGGGTATGCCATGGAGAAAAACTTCCTCTCATTTATGATTTGCCAAGGGCTTTTCCAGGATCTGTTTCCATATTTAATCTCTGATGAAAGGTTATAATGAATCTGGTGTCTGGTGCTACTGGCAGGAGATGGACCTTTCTTCCAGGTATTTACTTCCTGTGGTTGCGAAAGATAGGATGTATTTCTTCTGGATTTGCTGCAATATAATATTTTAGTATCAATTTGATACTGACTGGCTTCAGCCTCCAGCTTAACTGTATCTCTCCATCTTTGAGAGTGGTTGAATAAAATCACAATATGGCTTTGTTTCTTGAGCAAGAATCTGCTAAGCAGTCACCAGATGGAGCTGTTCCCTTGAAGGTCTGTGTGCAGGATTCTCAGGGCCTTTTCTTCTCAAAACCCTTCCCTCTTTGTCTCTTTTCTCCACAACTCTCTTTAACTCATGGTGCTATAGGGATAAATTGGCCCTGTTTAATGAATAGTTGTGATGTTGTTGCTAGTTGAATAGAAGGTAAGTAAATGAACTGTTACCTGGTTCTTTTGCCTTTGTTACCCACCTTAATGGCCCTCAAGAGATTCCCCCACTTCCCTCCCATGGGCCAGTGAACATCAGTGGGAAAAGAGGGGCCTCCCCACCATTTTAGTCCATGCTGACTCTTCAGAATGACTCAGCTGGGGCAATTGGGCTGGACCAGAGAGAAGTGGACAGCCTGGTTTGAGTCTAGACCTGGCCAGCTATTATCTATGTGAAATTGGCCACAATGGTTGCTTCCTCGGGATCAGATTCCTCACCTTTACATGGGGCATCCATCATGGAGGATCACCCCAAAGGGCTTTGGGCCAAAGGATAATTGATAGAGATACGGTATTTAGTTATCACTGTATTTGCGCTTTTTCCAAGAAGGGTAAAAGAAGGATTGAATAAAAAAGGTTCCTGCACACTCTTCCTTTTCCGGCTTTTTTGTTCAGCCCTTGAGGAGCGGGATTCTGTAGGGAGAGGGAGTGGTGCAGAGGAGTGGGCTTCCTAGGACTGGGGCCGGGAGAGGGCATAGCCGCGAGTGTGCACAGGGAGGTGGGCCTAACCCTGGGGTCTCGGCTTTGTAGGGTTTCCAGGCTCAGGTGAGAAGCAGGGCCATTAAACAGCCTCAAATGGGAAAGGGACCAAAGACCCACAATGGCACCCTTGAATGCGTAGGCATCCAAGGACCTTCAGATGGCTCTAGGAGCCAGACCCAAGCATGGTTGATATTGAATTTCCAGCCAGACAGTAGGATGGGGGGTTTGAAATCAATAACTGATTTAAAGAAATAAGTGATTTTTTTCTTTTTGCACATCCAAGCTTGTGAAGTGAGAATGTCTCTCTCAGTACTGATAAGGGCCTCATATAAATGTGAGCTCTTGGATTGTTTTTCATGCCCATTGACTCTTAGTTGCAGCCATCCAAAAAATCAGATTCACAGGCATCTCTTCACCTTGTTATCCTTCACTCACCTTTGAACATACCAAAGGCCTATCGAGCCTGTAAATTTCTCAGTGGCCTAAGCACAAATGGGCATACCCCAGGCTCTATTGCACTGACAGCCCACCTCACAGGATTTGGGAACTACCCACATCAATCTCATGAGGGGGCCGTTAAAAGAGCCATTCCTGGGTCCCCATTAGACCCACAGAAGTAGACGCTGGGGCTGGGTGGAGGGTGTTGGGAATTTGCATCCTCTGTGAGTGTCACACACTCAAGAAAGTTTGTTAAGCTTTGCTCTAGAAGTGAAATGAAAGTGACACTATTATATTCCCTGCTGACAGCTGAAAAGAAAGATTTTCTTGGGAGTAGTAGTACTGGTTGTGACCATGTGATCAATTTGATTATGATATTAATTCTGTTTTGTGCCATGGACATAGCTGTTTGCGTCCAGCTCCGCTTCTGGATATAAACCCAAGAGCAGTGATGCGGCCTTCTCAGAGCCCAGCAGAACTTCACTGAAGGAATAAGCAGTGTCTGGTACTTGCCTGATACCAGGCTAATGGGTTGACAGTTGCATTACCTCTAATCTCCATGGCCATGGGCCCCTGGGGTCTATGTCATGAGCACTTCCTCTGTTTACAAGATGCAGGTGCCGGCAGGGCGCAGTGGCTCATGCCTGTAATCCCAACACTTTGGGAGGCTGAGGCGGGAGGATCACTTGAGGTCAGGAGTTTGAGACCAGCCTGGCCAACATGGTGAAACCCTGTCTCTACTAAAAGTACAAAAATTAGCCAGGTGTGGTGGCGCAGGCCTGTAATCCCAGTTACTCTGGAGGCTGAGGCAGGAGAATCGCTTGAACCAAGGAGGCAGAGGTTGCAGTGAGCCAAGATTGTGCCACTGCACTCCAGCCTGGGTGACAGAGCAAGACTCCATCTCAAAAATAAAATACAAATAAAAATAAAATAAAATTAAAAAGTGCAGGTGCTGTCTGTTCTCTGACAGATGTATATGACAACATAAATTCATGACCAAGTTACCTCAATAGCAAAATTAGAATATTTTAATAGTAATATAATAGAATAAAGGTTTGGGAGTGCAACCAATCTTCTAGAACCTGAAGGTTGGCATTCATTGTTCATAAACTCAGCTGAAGGCAGTGCCTTCCAAATGTGGTTAAATTGCCATGGGAAAGACCAGGGTTAGTTGCAGGGCATCATTTTCCAAGCAGAACCATTTCAAATGCTAAAACTGGCCCCTGAGGTTACATTGAGCCTCCCTTCCTGAGTGAGATGTTTGGAAATGAGGTGGCTTTGGAAATAAGCTTGTCTGTAACAGTGGTTTCCACAAAGACTTCAGTCTCATGGCATTGGACTTTGTTTGGACATTGACATAAATATTTTGGCATATCACCATATGAGGCTTTTCCAGAGGTGGCTTCCAGTATGCTTCTGGAGGGGGTCTTCCAAGAAGGGTGGCACTTAAGGGTCATGAATGGCCATGACCCATGCCCAGCTGTTCCAGAGGACATGGGGAGACAGAGCTGTCTGGCAAAGGGCCAGGTGCAGAGTCAGTCTGGGGGCCATGGATGGCATGGATAGTCAGGTCAGGATCCTTCATGCCAATCTGTGGCTTCTTGCTGTCCCCACCTCTCCTCCTGCTCTCACCAACTCCCACACCCCCAGTCCCACACTGCCCACCGAGCACACCCTGGGAGAAGGCCCTAATGTAAATGGAGGGAGGTGAGGTAAGAGCTGAGGGAAGCTCCATGGAGAACCCTGATTAGCATTGCTTTGCACAAAGTCGGTCTCCAATAAATATATTTGTTGATGAATGACCTCCTTCGTTGGCTTCTGTCTCTCAACATCTATCACGTAGCAGCTGTGTCTCTCAACCCAGGCACCCACCTCTCTGGAGGCAGTGAGAAGAGGCTGAGAAAATGGGAATGGTATGAGCATGTCTGAAACCAGGAAAGCCAACCTGACTGGCTGTTTTGTGGGCCGCAGCTTGCCATCCAGCTTGGTGACAGTGGACATCCACTCTGCTTCATCACTTGCTTTGCTGACATCTCTTCTGCCTCTCTACTCCTCGGAATACGGGCTGAAGTCCAGACAGGGAAGTGCATGTGAAGCCACCTCATCTGCTGCCAGGGAGATGTGGGAGGTTCTTCCCATTACTCTGAGATGAGGGGGTCTCGTCCCCACATTGAAGGGGTGGGAGGTTGGGCATCAGGACCTTTTCATAGGCCTTCCTTGGGTCTTCACTGTGTTGTAGCTTCCTCAGTTTGAAACGTACCCCAGAAAGACAGGGATAACATGTGAGGATCTAAGGACAGAAAGTCCAGGGTTCATATGGACAGCACTTAGATGACCCATCCTTGGGGTTTCTCAGTCCCTGCTCTGGTGCCTGCATGCAGGTAATGGGCAGAGACTGTACTTCCCAACATGGCAGCATCCAGAATGGCCTCTAGGTACAGGAAGTGAGGGTCTGAGGGGGAGGGAGCCAGCCCCTCCCGTAGTCTGTGCTGATGCCAAACCCAGGTGTGAAGGGGGTTACAGCCAGTCTCCCCAGTCTCCCAGTGGCTCTGGCTATTAATAACTCAGCCACTTCCTTCTTCCTTTCACCCCTGCCACTCTGCAGGGTGTGGGCAGTCAGCGGGAGAGTGGAGCTGCCTGGCAAGAAGGGCAGATACCCTTTTTCTCTCTCTGTTTAGGATTCCCCCCAGGGCTGGTGAGGGGCCTGGCTGCCTCAGTGGGCATCCTCAATGGAGGACTCAACACTGAAGTGAGCCTGGGCATCTGGGGGCCTCTTCCAAGGGGCCAGGGAAGACTCAGCCCCCCAGTTCTGGCCCACACAGCCCGGGTACACAGTGGCCCTTAGGAACTGTGGGGAGGACTCTGGGAGGAAGAGGTAGGGAAGGCAAATGAGGACTGGGGTTTTCTTTCTTGTTTAAAAATACAAAAAGGAAATGACGTGTTAACATTAGTGAGTATAGGCAGGTGTGGAAGAGTCAAGGTCCACTCTCTGGAGCAGGGCAGTGGCCCAGGGTGGGGTCAGATGAGGCCTGCCGCCTTCTGCACGTTGTACTCCTTGTTCTTCTTCACCCTCCAGCTGATGAAGCAAAGCAGCAGCATGCCCAGCGCCTTGTAGCCCATCTGCAGGCCCAGGTACCTGTGGGCAGGAGGAGGCAGGACTGGTGAGGGAGGGGGCTCTGCAGCCCACATCCCAGGGCCAGGACCACTGGGAAGAACCACATCATTCCCACGCTGGCCCGCGGAAGGTGTGGGCACCATCCAGGTGAGGATCACTTTCCTCATTTCTTTGACCCAAAAGGGAACAAAGCTGTAGGGAAGCAGGCAGGGAGTAGGCATGGGACTCTTAATCCAGGGCTCATCATCCCTCCACTGGCTCTTTCCAGAGGGCCAGAGGTGACCCAGCTGCCCCAGCCACCCCCAGACGGTCCTGACCTCCAAGCAGAGCCAGAAGGAGAGAGGCATCTTCTCACTGCCCTCTTGGCCTGTCCCTTTTGTGGTCTTCTCTGCCACTCCCATACCATTTCCAGCCCCTGCCCAGTCCCCTCAAGCCCACCTTCCTGTGGTTTCTGGGCCATATGACAACGGCAGCAGGTGAGGTGGCTGGAAGGGGTGCAGAACCCAATAGCACTGCAGCTGGACTTGGCCCATTGAGGCAGGTTGGTCCCCCTGCCCTGGACCTCTGCCAGGAGCCATGATGTGGCCCCCCTCTGTCTCTGAGCAGCAGGAGGCTGCCCCCAATTTTTCCACAGCCATGGCCTCTTCCTTGGGCTCCAGCCATCCCCGCCCCTTCTTTCTGCTGCTGCCCCTTCCAAAGGCTTTCGGGTCAGGGAAGTCCCTGGGTCTGCTGCCCCTTCCAAGGGCTTTCGGGTCATGGAAGTCCCTGGACATCTCCCTGTGAGCCCTGAAATGCCTGTTATAGTAGCCCCTGCTCCCTGTCCATGGCAGGGCCGCAGAGGTGGCCCTTCATGTTCTCTTCCTTGGAAGCCTGACAGCCCCCACAGTAGCCACTGGGCATATGACTACTGTCATCTCAAGCCCAGGGCCTGGCTCTGGGACACACATACATGATGGGCCCTCACCTGTCTCGGAGAGCATCGTTGTCATAGTAGGCGCAGGCCCCTCGCCTCCCCAAGCACAGCGAGTTCCACCGGATGCAGGAGTGGTCAATGGTGAGGCCATAGAGGGCTGGAGATGGCAGCCAGGCTGGAAGAGGGTTCAGAAAGCCCTGGTCAGGTGGAACTGCAGGCAGAGGTGTCCAGCAGGGGTGTGGGAGCCAAGTCCCCGACACAGTTCACATACATGAGAACGGCTCTGCCGTACCCATAGGACTCACAGTGACTCTGGAAAGCAGAATAGCTTTCAGTGAAGCCTGAATTTCTCTTTCACCAGAAGGCTTAGAAGACAAAAGGGACCTGGGCCATTCTTTCAAGTCAGAGTAAGTCACAGGGATCACCTTGATGCCGGCTCAGACATCCAACATAGTTCTCCTGAGATCAGCTCAGAGTGGAGATACACGGGCCTCCACTGTGTGGCAGGAGGCTCTCCAGGCATCGACTTCTCAGGTCCTCACACTGGCCCCGAGGTGTGGGTGCCCACTTTTTAGTGAAGAGGAAGGGGTTCTTGGCTGGGACACTGTAACACAGCCAAGAGAAGTCAAGGCCAGACTTGGAACCCTGGTTTATGGAGGTTCGAATCCCATGTACTTCCACCACACCAAGCTGCCCTATTGGATTAGACAACACCCCTCTGCAGACCTCCCAATACCTGGCTGCTCAAAGCTTCTGCTCTGGGACCCCGAACTTCCCAGCAGCTGAGTGTTAAGATTTGGCTTGGCAGGGGCTATGCCTTCCTGGCTGTCTAATATTCCGGATGCCACACTACCTGTGGGTAGCGTACCACTAGCTACAGCTCTAGGCAGTTACTGGACTGCGGAGGGCTTGTCCAGGATTTACACCAAGGCTGGCCCATCCCATTCTCAGCACCACAGTGCTGACAACAGCCTCCCAGACTTTGTTTAGGGCCCTGTGAGCAGCTGCTTCCAGAAGAAAGACAGACAATGCTCCACTTGTGGCACTGCCCACAAGTGGGAAACTCTAAGAAGAAGCCTCTCTACTCAGATCCTGCTCACTCTCAAGTCTCCAGGTGAACAGGGGGATGAAAACTGGCCAGAGTGATATATGACACTTCCTTATGTAGAAGCAAAGTCCGGAAACATTGTCAACCCAATCCCAATGTGTAATTTAAAACCTGTAATAGGAAGTCCTTTTTTTTACCCAAGAGTGGATTGTGTTCTTGGGTGATAAATGGAACCCCTCCAGGCCTGGGTTTTCTCATTGTGGTCCCACATTGAGTTATCTGAGCTCAAATGGAAAAGCAAAAGCAGCGAGTGCTTCAAGCAGTGCGAGAGAGTCCGAGAGAGTCCTTGTTTTCAAGGTCATTTTCAAGGTTGCTGGAGGAAGCAGGAAAGGGCTCTTTAGAGCCTATCCTAGGTGCTGGATGGGCTGAGAGGAATGTGAGGTCTCTTTCCCAGCAGAAGTGTTAGAGAAAGTTAAGTTATAAATGAAAATAAGGAGCTCTGATGACAGCAGAGCCTCTGCTGGGAGGACAGGTAGATCCTGCCGCCCTGCTTCCTCTGTGTTTATAATGCAGGCAGCAGGAGCAGGGTCTGAAGGGGCTCTGCAGGGACTAGAGGAACAAGAAATCCCACTGAAAAAGCTGGTTCATTCCCATCATCCAAACACTTCTCCCAGCCTGGGACTGGATTGGGCTCAGCAAGGGCTCCCGCTCACCTGGCCCCAGTAGAGACATCACCAATACATCTCAAAATGGGGATGGAAGCCACTGCAGGGCGCGGTGTTGACCTGGCCCCTGGGTAATGAGGCACAGTGGGCTATACATTATTTCAGGATTTATAGTCAGAAACGACACCTTATAGTAACTGAAGTTCCTCTTGCTGGAGTCTCCATATTCCCCTCTGTAGTTTGCACCCTTAATTAACACATCCTCAGTTCAATTAGGTCCCTTTACTACTGTGTGCCTGTCATTACAAGGATCTCTCTATTGCTGCCTTGTGTTAAGTCTAGTGCACAGATATGTCAAGAAGGAACAGCCAGTGTGAGCAGTTCAGGAATGGGCCTGCATTGTGCCCCCAGCCCTCAGCCCAGGCACCCCGGGAGAGCACTCCTGCTGCCTCAAGCAGCTCGCTCTCCCCTGGGGCACTGCTGATCACTTGTGCACAGCTCCATTCCTCTGGTGGGCTCTGGACTGCTTGAGGGCAGGCAGGACTCACCAGCAGAGGACCCCACAGGGAAGAAACTTTTGCTAAATAGTTTTAGGAGGAGTGAATTTTGTAAAATGGAAAGGAAGCCAGGGCTGGGCTCAGCCGCTGCTCTGGCTTGGCAGGAATGCAAAGTTTTGTTCCTACAGTGAGTTTTGTGAGAAGGATTTAAAAATACCTGCCTTTAACACTCTATTAGGTATTCTCAGCTGTGTTCACTTTTCATTTTTCTTACATAACTTAGTTAGGAATGAATGCCATAGATGGAGTCTTTCCTAACCTCAAGCAATCTGGGAAACCGTCCACATGGATTTTGGCATCTGCTGTTGATTATGCACAGCTTCTCTTCGCCATGGAGATGAGATGGTGCTTCCTCCATCGCTACCCTGCACCCATAGCCTTCAGATGCCCCATCGCCTGGGGCCACTTCTTGGGAAGAGGGGTCTTAGACACTTACCCAGCAAGCGCATCAACAAGAACTGCACCCCGATGGCAAATGACTTTTCCTCCTGGTTCACCACACTGAAAAGACAGACAGGAAATCAGCAGTGGGAGGATTCAGGGCTGCACGATCCCTTGGGTAAGGGGCAGCCAGCCTCAGAGCAGGTCAGAACCAGCCCTGATGTGGCCTGACGAGCCCTCTGGTGACCGGGTTCACCTGGGCTGAATGCTCTAGTTCTTTACATCAGTGGCCTCAAAGCGTGGTCCCTGGATCATCAGCATCCCCTGGGAACTTGTTAGATATGCAGATTTTCAGGCCCACCCCAGACTTACTGAGTCGGAAAGTCTGGGGATGGGGCCCAGCAATCTGTATTTTACCTCCAGGAGATTCTGATGCATCACTGAGAACCACCAGTCTGTGTGATTTTCAGGGCTGCCCAGAGCCCCCTTCAAGAAGCAGAGGGCAGTAGAGGCTAGGAGTGGAGAGAAGGATGCTGTGGGTGTGTTGATAGCAGCAGGTCTGAACAACTCCCACAGAATGTCTTATAACAGTAAAAGACAGCCCTGCTGCAAAGTGTAATTAGGGCCCTTGGGCTGCAGGCTTCTGTGCACAGCTAAAAGAATTCCCTACCCCAGGCTAGCTCTGTGGGTGTGTGCATACAACTCCACCCTCAGAAAGGTCCCATGTTTGGCTTAATGCTCTGCTGCAGCTGTCTGGAAATTCTTAATTTCTGAGCCAGGGGCTTTACATTTTCATTTGCAATAGGTCCTGCAAATTAGGTAGCTGGTCCTGCCCCTAACCATCTTCCTTCAAGAGAGGAAAATGTGTTTGGCTGAGGAAGGAGATTCAGAGAGAGCAGGGGACGGCCCTGCCATCCCAGCTGGGGAGTGGAGAGAGGGAGGACACCTCCACACAAGGTGGGGAGCCAGCAGCTGGCCAGCAGAGGCACCTGATGAGTGACTTGACTCCAGGACTCTCTGTGCTCTGAGCACACACACTCCCGGTGGGTGCTTGTCAGGAAGAGCCTTCAGTGCTAGGGGACAGTGAGGAAGGGAGCTCAGAAGTAATCCCCAGGCCTCTACCTGTGGTTTGTTTCACCACCACCATCACAGTTCTGCTAGCAAACTGGAAAGGGACCTTTGCCCAGTCCCCCTGAGGGATGGCCCAGTGAGACAAATACTCATTGGGGCAGGGGAAGAGGCACCCCTTGGGACCCCCACAATGCAAAGTGTCTCAAATCCTGTTGTGTCTACAGATCCCTCCAGTGGTCCAGTTCATAATAGATACCTGCCTTGTCTTGGCCCTTGCCCTGGGCAGACTCCCCTAGATTCTCAATGAAACGGGACTTGGCCACCCCAATTTGGCTTTTGATTGAGATCTTGGGCCCCTTCTAGTCTCTGTCCCATGTGGCCCTGAATGAAAGCTGACCTTCTGACCTCTCTTTCTCCTTCCACGTTTTCAGCTAGCCTTCACTTCCAGCTTGTGTTCCCATGGCTAATTGGGGGCCAGGACTCATATAAATAATGCTTGGGTCACCTACAAAGTCATCTTTTTTTTTTTTTTTTTTTTTCGGAGACAGAGTCTCATTCTGTCACCCAGGCTGGAGTGCAGTGGCTCAGTCTTGGCTCACTGCAACCTCCACTTCCCAGGTTCAACCAATTCTCCTGCCTCAGCCTCCCAAGTAGCTGGGACTACAGGCGCCCATCACCATGCCCGGCTAACTTTTGTAATTTTAGTAGAGACAAGGTTTCGCCATGTTGGCCAGGCTGGTCTTGAACGCCTGACCTCAGGTGGTCCACCCACCTTGGCCTCCCAAAGTGCTGGGATTACAGGTGTGAGCCACCACACCCGGCCTACAAAGTCATCTTTAAGCCTCTCCTTCTTCACACTAAATAGCATCAATTCTGTCATCTTTCCCAGTAGGATTTATCTTTAAATCGTTGTGGGATCCTGGGGCCTCCTCTCCACCCCCTACCCCAACTCGACCTAGAAAGGAGAGATTTTCTAGAGAAGCCCATCCTGTGGTTGAAATGATGCTCTGTTCTTCACGACCTCCTTGTACCTAGGGTTTGACAGGAGTCCTCTGGGAGGTGATTTGACAGGGATTGCCCTTCTTCCTGCTGCATAGCGACTTGCCAGGGAGATTTTCCTACTCTGTGCCCTCTCCTCATCATGGCCTCATGTAGTTTTATGTCAGGGCTGGAGGGTCCACTGTGGTCCATCTGACCCAAGGTGCAAGAAGGGAAGCCCGCTGAAGAGTCTCAGGTGAAGCTGTCAGTGCTTTGAATGCGCAGGATGGGGAGCGGTAGAGAAGGGGGTGACAGTGGTGTCAAAGGAGGCAACACGCCGTGGGTTCCAAGCATCCCTGCACCTTCTTGCTGAGTAAGCTCAGAATGCAAGGTCCTGACTACTGTTTTCCTGTGCCGTTTCTCCGGGTTGTAGTTGCAATGAGCAACTCTGAGGCATGAGTTAACGTTTCCTCCAAGACCAGGAGCAGCGGTGCTCACTGCTCACCATAGAAGTGGTGGCTCTTCTATGCTCAGTGTTCTTGCAAAGTGTACACCTGGGCCTCTCTGTGTCACCCCTGTAGGATTTGGGGGTCAAGGATAACTGACACACCCTAAGTTTTGTGCTGCTTTCTGTGCTGTAATAAAGTATTTTGTCTTTGACCCAGGAGTCTCACATCTTCTGCCAGCATCCTTGAAATAGTAGTTTGATTTGATAGCTTTCACACTAACTTGATAGCTCACTTATAAATAGGGTAAAATCCCAGATCCCAACAAGTGGCTGCATCTGCTCCTTCCTTTTCTCCTAGCCTTCTGGGGAAAATAGGTCACAGACACCTAGCTAGCTGTGAATTATTATTATTATTATTTGATTAATAGTGATAATTAACCAATATGTAGAACACCTTATATTTACAAAGCAATTTACCATATAATCCTGACACCAACCCTTTGAGTTCGATATCATCATCATCATTTCATGAATAAGGAGACTGAGGCTCAATGAGGTTAGGCAACACCCTAACACAGCCAGTATGTGGCAGAGCAGGGACTTTAATCCTGGCACCGGGAGTCCAAATCCTGTGTTTTTGCCCTCTCTGCTTGCGAGGTGAGTGAGGACAGGAGGGAGGGCAGTGGGGGTGGGTTAGGTGAATTTGGTACAAATGTTGTTTTCTCCTTGCAGCCAGTGAGGTGAAGAGCGGGTCATTCCCAGTGAAAACCTCAGAAGCATTCATTGCCAGCTGCCAGCTGTAACGGGACACCCCGCTCCTCCCCTCCAGCTCTGGCCAGCGGCTCCCTTCCTGACCTGGGAACTTGGTCCTGGAGCCAATCATACCAGGATTTTCTCATTTTCATCCTTTTCCATAGCCCTCACTCTGACTCTGAAACTTTCCACGTTTTCCTGCCTTGGTTTTATGCATCCAACTAAATTCTCTTTGCTCTTCTCATTTCTTTTAGGATTTAAAAATAAGCAAACCTACAGGCATTTCCATGGTGTGGAGCCAGGCAGCCTGGCTTCAACACATGGCTCAGCCATTCACTGGCTCTGCCATACTAGGCTAGTGATTTTTTTTTTAATTATTATTATTTTTGAGACGGAGTCTCACTCTGTCACCCAGGCTGGAGTGCAGTGGCACAATCTTGGCTCACTGCAACCTCCGCCTCCTGGGTTCAAGTGATTCTTCTGCCTCAGCCTCCCAAGAAGCTGGGATTACAGGCACTGGCCACCACGCCCAGCTAATTTTTGTATTTTTAGAAGAGACGGAGTTTTGCCATGTTGGCCAGGCTGGTCTTGAACTCCTGACCTCAGGTGATCTGCCCTCCTTGGCCTCCCAAAGTGCTGGGGTCACAGGCACGAGCCACCGCGCCCAGCCTAGGCTTGTGATTTAACCTCCAATGTGCAGAGTGGAGGCGCCAACAGGGCCTGTGTCACATGGACGCTGTGGGACTGAATGAGGCCCTGCAATGAGGAGCTCAGCACAGAGCCTCCCTGGGCAGGGCTCCCAGCACTGTTGCCATTAGTATTATTTCCCCTCAGCAAAAGAACCTTGCACATTGTCATTTAAAGGACTCTGAGGGCCACAAAAGGGGGGAGAGATGAGAAACAGGCAACTAGGCGCAAAGTCAAAGGGAGATGTGGGGAAGGAGAAGCCACGCCCCAGACTCACAGAGGTTTGCCACTCACCGCAGAACCATCATGTAGAGGGGGTTGTGGGAGATGCAGGCTATCAGGGACACGAAGGAGATGAGGAAGATGGCCGGGAGCAGGAAGTGGGCACAGGGGACAGGGCACGATCCTGTCTTTGCTGAAGCGGATCCCCCGGTCACACAGCTGCAGTTCAAATAGATCTTCAAGAGGAAGGGGAGGGAAAAAGGGGGAAATTTGTTATTATTTCACTTTCACACACTTCAGACGTCTGCACCAGCTCTTGTTGGAGACTGAGGTTTCAACCCTTGTGTCCTCTGGGTCTGGTTCCCAGGGAAGCTGGGTGAGCCTGGGGCCAGGTGAGGGTTTCAAGCTGCCCCAGGGGTCCCACCTCTGTCACTGTTTGGGCAACAGAAACCATCTTCTGGGCTGGGCTGGGCTCCTCCAGAAGTCATATCTGCCTCTGGATGCCCAGGAACACTGCCAGGTTAGGCCCCCAACCCCCAGCTTGGAGCCAGGGGCCCAGGAGGGCTTGTGCCCAGCAGTGGTGGTTTTGCAGATTGTTGTTTTTGCTGTTTGTGTGTTTATTGCAGAGGGAGGCATAAACAGTAGGAGGGCAGTGGGAACACAGTGGAATTCCCTGGGTTCTGATTCTGTCAGGCCTTTGCTGGAGTTCCCTGCCTGAAAGGAACTCCTGCCTAGAAGGGACTCCAGAGAAGGAGGCCCCTGTCTCAAGTCTGCAAGTCCATATGGCTCAATACTGTTGTCCAACTCACTTTGGTGGCCACTGCCCTTGTCTGGTGGTCTTCACCTTCCTTCGCTGCCCTTGTCAGATGGCCCAGCCTGTGACAATTTCAGTGTCCAAGCAGTTACAAGACTAATATTGGAACTAAGGGACTAGTATGTTTCCTTCTGCCGACAGTGGTAACTATGCACCCTCTTCACTTGGCCCCTAGGAAACTCCAAAGTTAGTTATATAAAATATTGCTGTTACTTTCCTCAGTCTGGATTTTTTAGAGATTTTTTTTCTTTATAATTTACTGATTTTTTTTCTTGATATTTTGCTAATGGGTTTTTGTCTTGAGGTATGTATGCTGTTACGGGAAACTTGCCAAGATTATTTCTGGAAGTAGGTGACTCAGAGGTAAGTTAACAAAGATAAGAAAACCACAGAAGCCACCACAACTGGAAGGCAACTTAAAGAGCATCTTGTCCAAGTTCCTTGTCCTTCCTCTGCCTGGGAGCCACGCTCCTTCGCCCGCAGAGGTGGCAGTGGCAGCAGCCTTGCCCTGTCCTTTCAGAGGAGGTTGGTAAGTAGGCACTAGGCTTGCCCATCCCCTCCATATGGGCTTAAGGGAATAAGGCATGTTCCTAGCTTACACTAACTGCACAGTCTTCTCATTGCTCAGCAGTTCCTAAGCCTGGCCTGCCTGGCTCTGGCTCCTGCCTGCTCCCTGGCCAGCTGGGTGTGACACTCCTCCTACAGCACCAAGCCCGGCCTTTTCTCTTCTTTCCTACAGCATGCCCAGTACATTCATGCCCTTGGGACTTGTACTTGCTGCTCCCTTTATCTGGAATGCATTGCTCCTGGTGTGCATAGAATTCTGTTCTTCTGGTTGTTCACTTCTAATGTCACCCTCTCCCGGAGGCCCCTGGGAACTCTCCATCCTATTAAGTCCTTCCATGGCATGGGTTACTTTCTAGAATTATCCTGTGTGTTGATTTGATAGAATGCACCCTCCATGAGAACAGGGACCTTGTCTGATGGGTTCACCATCACATCCTCAGCACTCACGGCTGTGCCCAGTGTTCTGTTTATTGAATAACTAAACAAATGACTCAAGTCAGTTTGCTGCTGGCTGATCCTAGGAGGTGTGGAGCCACAGAAAAAAGGACTGTACTTTGCCAAGTGAGTCTAGTGAATGGAGGTTGCCCAAGTGGAAAGCTGGTGGCCAGAAGATACATGGCTTTGAATAGAAGTGCCCCAGACTGAGGCAGAGCCCTGGGTTCAAGTGCCAGGTCAGCCCGAAATAGCTGCATGATTTCAGGCCAGCCATGTGGCCACACCTGGGAGCTGAGGGGTTGAACCAAGTGCCCTCAGCTACTGCTTCTGGCTCTACCCTTCCAGGTCCATGTCACAGAAGCCTAATGCCCTCGATTTATCTGGGCCACGGCCAGCCTGCAGGACCCAGAGATGCCCATGAGGATCTCTCAGGATGGGGCTCAAAGGCCTCAGCTGAAGGAGTGCTTTGACTGGTTTCTGCTCTGAGCAGTTAGGCCTCAAGAATGTGAATTTGTTGGACATCGGCCAGTCTTTAATTGACTGTGGGCTGTCAGCATCTGGTCATGACCCCAGGGTAGGGAGGTAGAGAGAGGTTGGATGTGGCTCAGAGGAGGCCAGGATGCTGGTAATGAGTGTGTGTGTGGAGCCCTGCCTATCCTGGAGCCGAGAAACAGTCTTTGAGGGCATGCGCTGAGCTCCGAGATCCTGTGGGGCTCCTCTTGCCTCTGGACCCTGGCTGCCCTTACCAGTTGCTTGGAGGTTGCAGAGCTCATGTTGATGTTGCTGCAGCCGGCATGGCAAGGGGAGAGGTACTCGATTCCATTGTCTCCACAGACCGGGTGGAAGATAGAATCTGGGCACGAGCAGTCCCTGCGGCAGGCAGGAGACTGCGGATGTATAGAACTTGATGTGCTGCCAGCAAAAGAGGAAACGGGGAATCAAACAAAGCAAGACCAAAGAAAAACCCTACACTCCAGCCCAGTGTGAGTTCCTGGCCTGGTGAGTGTGTCTGTGCATCTTTATTTCTTTTGGGCCAGTGCCACCCTGGGATCTGAATTATGCCTGGTGGAGCCAACAGTGAATTTGCCACTGTTTAGTGGTCACGGCATCTCTCCATTTCTTCTGCCACTGGGAGCCCAAATCCACTAATTATGCTCTGGGAAGGCCTGGCTGGTGAATCCCTTGCCACAGTAGGCGTCAAGACAACCAACCACCCAGAAAGGGCAGCTGCAATGGGCAGGTCACAGACAATATTCGCCTTCCCTCTTCTTCAGCCGAAAAACAGTGGCTGGGACCGCTGAGGCAATCCAGGATTTAGTTTGCTGTCTGTCTCCTGGCTTAATGTAGACCTTGCCCAGAGTTACTCCATCCCCTTGAGCTTCAACCAGAGGGATTTCACTGGTTGATCTCACTGTTCCCACTGTTCCCCGGTATCTGATATTCATGACCTTCTTCGGGGAGGGTTGGGAAAGGGGCTGACAAACCACTGTCCAGATATTTCACTAGTATAATTATACGAATGAGAGTTCATCTCGTGCCAGGCACTGTGCCCGGGGGCTTTACATGCACAATCATCACAACGAGTCTACAGTGAATTATTTGCCTGTTGTGGATTAGAAAACCAAAGCTTAGATAAGGTAAGCAACTTCCCCCAACTAGTAAGGAACACTGGTATACAGTCCAGGCCTGTCTGAGGACAAAGCCATGTGCTAAACTCCCAGTGGACGCTGCCAAAAGGCCCAAAGGCTTCTCGGCTTTCCTCAATCCACAGTCAGCCTGCAGAAGTGCCGTACAGACTAGGGGTGAGCTCCCTACCCCGAGCAACCCTCCCTTCCCCCAAACCCCTTCTCTCCTTCACCCACCAAAGACAGAGGAGGTCATTTCAAAGAAAAAAAAAAAAAAACAGAGAAAATACCAGGGCTGAAAGGTACAGCATCTCCAAATGTTGCAACTTCATTAGGCAAAGTCTTAAAAAAAAGCTTGTTGACAGGTGGCACCCAGGAAAAATAAAATAAAATGCCCCTTGGTTGGCATCCTTCCCCTCACAGGGCTCTGAAGCTCTTCCTGAACATAAAGCCAAAGTTAACACTGTGACCCATATTGCTGTCTGCAAACCAACAGGCAGACTTTACCTGACCTTCTCCTCACCTGCCCTAATTTTTCAAGTCTGCCATCACTCTCATTATTCTTCTCCAGATCTTTTCAAGTCTCCTTTCATCTCTCTTCAGCAGCTCAATGAAACTGAAATTCTAGCCAGCACAGAGCTGATGCTAAACATAGCTTATTTCCTGGTTCCTGTGGCTCACAGCCCTACAAATTCATCCTGAAATCAAACAAATTAGTTTTTGGTGCTTCTTAAGAAAACAGAACTCTAACCCTGATTGCTGGTGGCCCAGTAAGAGCCTTTGATCTCTTCTTATAATGGAGCAGACCATTCAAGACCTGATTTTCTAAGTTGCCACGTGAGAGATCAGATCAAAAGTGGGCCGGGCGGGGTGGCTCACACCTGTAATTTCAGCATTTTGGGAGGCTGTGGCAGGCAGATCACTTGAGGTCAGGAGTTTATGACCAGCCTGGCCAAAATGGTGAAACCCCGCCTCAACTAAAAATACAAAAATTAGCCGGGTGTGGTGGTACACACCTGTAATCCCAGCTACTCGAGAGGCTGAGGCATGAGAATTGCTTGAACCTGGGAGAATCACTTGAACCTGGGAGGTGGAGTTTGCAGTGAGCCAAGATCACGCCACTGCACTACAGCCTGGGTGACGGAGCGAGACTCTGTCTCAAAAAAAAAAAAAAGTGTACAGCAAAGAATAGAGTTAAGGAAGCAGGAAGGAAGATGTATAACAGCCAGATCTAAGCCCTGGCCTTATTAAAGGGGATCTCTCTACCCCTTATTCCCATTACCTAGGGGGGTAGACTTCGGCCACAGTTGGGGTGGAGCATCCCATGAAGAACAAAGGAACACAAAGGATCATGGAGATGGTGATGATGGTGGTAGCTATGCGGGGAATGGCTTGTAGAGAGAAAACAAAGCGCTTCATGAGGATTCCTCCAAACAGCATCCCCAAGGCTGCAGCAGGGAGGTTCACAGCACCTATAAGTGGAAAGAAGGAGGTGATCCAGGTGCACAGGCCTGGGACTGCATGTGGGCTACAAACACTGAGCTGGATCACTGAGAAGGAAGCATGGCTTCAGGAAGGAACATTTGGTATGTTAAATTGTAATCGAAGTAGCTGACATTAATTGAGCATTTACTGCTTGCCAGGCACATCTAGAGAAATATCTTGAGACAGGATTGCCTTGCCTACACAAAAAATACAGAAGTGGGGTTCTTGCAGCTTAAGAGATGTGGGTTGAATATGCATTTATTAAGCACATTTCATTCCTTGGGGCCTCTTTGCATGGGACCGCATGGGGTTAGCAACACAAGAGTGATGACCCCTATGTACCAGTCAGAGATGGAAGGCCAGAGGGGTAAAGCCACAGCCAAGGACCAGCCAGGGGGTGCACGGGAGTCACCCTCCAATCTCATGCACTGATCACCTTGCCAACTCCATATGGTTAAACTCACCTGTGGGTTGGGTTGGGCCCAGTGATTTCCTAGGGTACTTGGTGGGACCACATCTGTAGTTCTCAACACAGTTGAAAAAATACTACTGCTGGGTGCCACCTCCAGAGATTCTGGTTTCGTTAACCTGGGATAGGGCTGGGCATCTGTGTTTTGTAAAGCTCTCCAGAGGAGCCTCTGGTGCAGCCTGGGTTGAGAATCTCTGGACCATATATTGTCTAACCAAAGCAAATATACTCAGGTCCCTAGGGAAGAAGAGAAAATCCCGGAGGCATTTTGTCTAACCTCAAATTCAACCTTCCCTCTTTCCTGTGTTGTTCCTGATGATGTCAGGGCCTTTGGGAAGCTGTCAGACTTCCAGCCCCTTTACAGGGAGGAAGGCAGCCCCCAGCCTCCACCCACTCCTGACTGGAAGGACAGGAGTCAGAAATCTGCCAAGAACTTTCTAGATTGCCAACCAGGAAAACTGTCCTTAAAATTCTTTCTCCTGGGCAGTCCTCCTCCGGACCCTGCCTATGTCCGGTCTGGCCTGCGCCCATCCCTGGATGGGTGGCTGGAGTGCCTGCCTCCTGGCCCAGGCAAGCCCTGCGGATCCTGCAGCACCCTCTGGGCTCACCAATGAGGAAGTTGGCATAGGCTGCTGAGGTGCCATACTGCTTCTCCAGGAACTTGTTGAGGAAGGTGGAGAGGCCAGCAATGACGGAGGAGAAGGTGCACTGGGCCAGGACCACCAGGACGAAGAGTGAGTTCATCAGGAGCCTCAGAAAGATGCATGGAAACCCTGTGAACAGACCGCTGTCAAGGCTCTGGCAGAACCCCTGGGCTGCAGGCACACCTAGGGGATGGGCCAGTTACAGGCCCTCTGCTCCTACTGTCCCTTACCGCACACAACACCACAGGGGCTGGGGTCCCCCTGGCCACTATCCCCTCCCCCGCACTGTGCCAGCCCACCCAGGGCTGTAGGGTCAGTTACGTTTAATGAAATCCACCAGGGAGCCTCTTGACTTGGCCTCCTCCAACTTCCTTGCTTCATCTGCTGTGGCAGGAGCCCTCTGAAGGCAATAAAAGGGGTGAGTGTTCACGGCCCAGGCTCACTGTAGCCACCCTTCCCTGAGCCCTTGAGTCTCTGGCCTCAGAAGCTCAGGGCTGGGTGGAGGTGAGCCCCCTCCAGGCGTGTGTGCATGGGAGGGCATCCAGAGAATGCTCTCCTGAAGCAAACAGCACCTGCATTTCCGTGAGCCTGGTGTTTTGGCCGACAATCAGAACACATCTATGCCAATGCCTCCCACGATACCTGTGGGCATATCATTTCATATCTAACTTTCCTATGACTGTTGCCAAAGGTGTCTTCCTGGACCCCACCCCTCACCCCCATCTGTCATGGCTACGCTTCTCCCCTACCCTCAGATTCCAGGGGATACTGGCTTCTGGGACACTCTGGTCTAGAATGCCATCTGTTTCCAGCCCCACCGTCCTCCCCCTTTCTATCTCCTCTCTGGGATTCTTGCTTCCTCCTGAGCCTAAAGGTGAGTGCTGCTCAAGGCTCTGTCCTAAACCTTTACCTGCACTTTCTTGGGTATACTACCCCAGGGAACCTTCCTACCTCTTCTGACCTTGTCAGCTCCAGCCTAAGGCCCTGCAGCTCTGAACTACCTTTCAGATGCAAGGCCCCTGGGCTCTGACAGCATTAGGATCCTGCTGGGAACTCATCTCCAGGAATAGGCTCTCCCATTCACTGAGTGCTTACTCCCTGCTGGACCTGTGCCCAGTATTCATATGCTTTGTCTCATTCCTCACAACGCTTTCCCATACTGCTACTCTAATTAGCTGGAGCACTGTAAAGAAGAGGAAGCTTAGGAACAAAGAAACTTGGCGAAGCTCACTCAGCTAGTTCATTGTTTTTTATTTTTTATTTTTATTTTTTTAGAGACAGGGTCTCACTCTGTCACCCAAGCTGGTGTGCAGTGGTGCAGTCATAGCTCACTGCAGCCTCGAACTCCTGGGCTCAAGTGATTCTCCCACCTCAGCCTCCCAAGTAGGTGGGACTACATGCACTCAACACCATGCTGAGCTAAGTTTTTAAAATAATTTTTTTTTTAGAGATGGGGTCTCGCTATGTTGCCCAGGGTGGTCTTGAACTTCATTCCTTCCCTACCCACCAATCTCAACCTGGGCTCAAGCAATCCTCCTGCCTTGGCCTCCTAAAGTGTGAGATTATACACCTGGCCAACTCAGCTGGTTTATAAGTAGCAGAGCTTCATTCAAACCCAGGTCTGCCTGACCCCAGCACCTGCATGATGTGTAGCCAACGTCTGAAATTCTTCCCCAAGACAAGCTGAGGTCCTCCCACCCCTGCCCCTCTCCCCCCGGCTGGGCCTAGATTTTATATACCTCATTGTCAAACATTGAGCTCTATTTTGGGACTTGAAGCCTAGGCATAAACTTTAGCTCCTTCTTCTCCTCCAAGCCAGCTCACTGCTGAGTCCTTCTGGGCATCCACCCTAGGAATGTCTATCCTTATCTTTGCCCTGTCCCAGCTCTCCGACAACCATTGCTGCATTCCCCATCTCTCACCTGGTCTCTGCACTGGCCTCTTCAGATCTCCAGCCTCCATTCCTTCCCTACCCCCTAAACTCAACCTAGCTGCCATATTGCCACCCAAGTGGCCACCCAGTCACTGCAGTGCTCTAGAACTTCATGGAATTAGAACAATCTTTAGACCCTTCAGCTGAACATCAAGCCCCTACCCAGACTTCTCTTCCTTGCTCTCCGTTCTCATCCTTCCCTGATTCCTTTCCCCAGCAGGCGTGACTGGAAGATGCTTGGAAGGTCCTCTGCTCAAAATATGCTCCAATTTCAGCCACCCTCAACACTGTTCAATGCTAGGAATCCCTTCCTACTCAGTTTTTCAGGTTCAAACACTGAACACTGATAGGCCCTATTAAATGTAAAAGTTGACTGTACCAGGTCGCAGACTTGGCCTTTATTGGCTCTTAATTCTTTAGCTCAATTTAGATAAGCTCAGTGTTTCCCAAACTGTTCCCTGGAGGTCTCCTGATCCTTGACATGCTAACATGGTACGGGAACACATAGGAGATACCACCTTTTGGAAATTCACCAACACCCTCACCTCTTAAAGCCTCTGGGAAGTCCTGCATCATGAAATTTGTTTAGATTTCACCCTGAATTTGCTTAACATGCTGCAGCTTTTTAGCTCTATTTATTTTCTACCCCCACATCCCTTTCTTCAACTCCATCAGGTAGAGTCATGGGCTCTTGGAACCTTACCTTTGCTCCTATGGGCATTGCTCGAGGGAAGAAAAAAAAGGGGAAAGAGGTGAGAACCAATAAAGCTGAAGAAATGAGCAGGCCTAGCCACCAGGCTCCAATCCATCGGGGGTCACCCGGGACCAAGTTAACTGCAGCTGAAGAGAAAACGAAGAGTGCAAATGTTTGTTGAATGCATGATCTCACCTTACTGGAAACAGAACCTCTGATCAGGGGGAGTTTCACTGATTTTCTTCCCAGGATGCAGAAGAGGCAAGCCATGAGCTAGATTCTTGGTCAAAACAACATTCCCTCTCCCAGCTATTGGTCTTCCCAGAGGACCAAGGCCACTGCACATGAAGCACAGCATCAGAAAATCCCCGGGCAGGAGGGAGCAGTACCTTCACCTCCTTATTCAACTCCCAGCCCTTGGCAGAAGTAGTGAAGAAGGGAGCTGACTCTCACTCACAAGGGCACACCATGGGCCAGACTCTAGACCACGTGCTTTCCATCTGTTTTCCACTGGGTTCTCTAGCAAGTCTGCCCACCTCTCACCAGTCAAGAAACTGAGGATAGAAGGGGTTAAGTCCCTTGCCTCAGGTAAAGGCTAGTAAGTGCCATTTCATTGGTCAATTTCAAGCCTGTGTCTCCCTGGTATGCAAACCTGCCCTCTTAACCATTAAACTACTGCCTCCCAACTTTATGGATCCCTAACAAAGGAGGCCCCATAATCCTTAGAAGCCTAAAGAAACAACCATCAACTGTGTGAACTGCCTGGCTTCCAAAGGAGCAGCTTTCTCTTGGCAATTCTCTTGCACACGTGTAAAAGTCTGCCATTGTGTTTCTCTGTGTAAAGAAACTATCCGGGCATAAAGGGAAGGAGAAGGTGGCAGAACGGTTCAGTCAAATCATGACAAGCTTCCCTGGGCACTGCCCTGAGTGGACTGGGCACTCAGTTGCTGGTCTCTTTGGGCAACCAAGAGCCAGGAACCAATTCGGGGAGTGCCAGCAAAAGGACAGGGATGGCTTGATCCTGAGGCATAAGACACCCCCTGGCTTTCTACTTTCATTGGAAGTACAGCCAAATGACACCATGCAGATGGCACTGTGGTCTGACAGTCTTAGGGACGGGAGTCTAGGCTCTAGCAGCATGGTTGCAACTAGCACCTGCCAGATATCTGTGACGTGACTTGTTTGCAGGGCAGTGGTGGGAGTGCTCTTCCTGGAGTCTGGCTCAGTCCTGCCTTTCAGCCACCCCTTCAGCCGAGCTGGAACTTCGTATCCCACCCACACACTCCCCACATTCTCCACCCTACAGCACTTTGCCTGTCCCTCTGTTGTGGTGCTGACCTTCCCCATCTTGTGGGAGACTGGGTAGTGTGGGACACACTCTCAAAGGCAGGAAGCCCTTGCTCCATTCATCCTGGGGCTGGCTCCCTGAATGGTTAACTCAGAACTTATGCTGGTGTCTAGGGACTATATATTCTCATCCATACCACTTGTTGAAGAATACGAACTCATACTGTTGACTTCTTAATATACATTAGGCTTGTTCTGATCTTTAAAACAACTTTATTTTACTATCATTAGCTCCATTTTACAGATGAGGAAGCTGAGGCACAGAAAGACAAAGTTACTTGCCTAAGATCACTTGGCTAGTAAGAGATGGAGCCAGGATGAGACCCAGGCAGTCCCGTCCCAGCGCCCACACAGTCAAACACCATGTTATACCCTCTGGATGTGAGTCATCATCCGTGTGTATATTTTATATGATGTTTCTTTTTTTTCCTCAAAAGAGCTCTTATTAAATCTTAAAGAACCAGCAACATCTTAGAATCAAAGAACCATAGAATTTTTTTTTTTTCTTTCAGACAGAGTCTCACTCTGTCGCCCAGGCTGGAGTGCAGTGGCATGATCTCGGCTCACTGCAAGCTCTGCCTCCCAGGTTCACGCCATTCTTCTGCCTCAGCCTCCTAAGTAGCTGGGACTACAGGCATCTGCCACCACGCCCGGCTAATTTTTTTGTATTTTTAGTAGAGACGGGGTTTCACCGTGTTAGCCAGGGTGGTCTTGATCTCCTGACCTCGTGATCCACCCGCCTCAGCCTCCCAAAGTGCTGGGATTACAGGCTTGAGCCACCGCACCCAGCCCATAGAAATATTTTTAATGCCACCAAGATGGGCGCTGTGGTGGCAACACCTGAGGTCCTGCCCTGGGTCTCCAAACTTCTTAAGGGCAGAAAGTGAGTTTGCTTCAGCAGCTTGTTCCTCACAGTGGCCAGCGTGGGCCCTGAGAGAGGAGGCACACACTGTCTGCTCCTGGCTCTCCGAGGGACTGCAGGGATGAGTGAGCGAGTGAGGAGGTGGCAGAGCGCATCTGGAGCTGAAGCTTCATTCTCTGTTCTGATTGGATGAGGGGGCTGGGGGCTGCTTTATTGAGCTGGGGATGGGAATGGGTGTCCTCTGCACATACTCACCTGTGTTGACCCTGCCATAGTCCACAAAGATCTGCAGCATGACAGAGCCCAGCAGGTACCCGAAAGCCGGTCCAAATACAGAGATGGCAAATAAGATGGCTGGAAAAGGAAGTAAGGGGAAGGAGACTGAGATAAATGGAGAGAGTTTGGCAGCCTTGGGCTCCCAAGCTGAGGGGGAGTCTTGAGATATCACTTCATCTGTTCCCAAGCCTGATAAGCCCACACCTGTGGCATCTCCCACCAGCAAGGCCAGAACCACTCAAGATTCCAAGACATATAGAACCAAGGCTATTTCTTCCTCCAGCCAACTTCCAAAGAGACCTGCTTGCCAGGAAGGAAACAGGCTCCAAGGCATTTAAAAATGCCAGGTGATGCTCCCTGTGGGTACGATGCTGGGGGCCCTCGGAGGAGCTCATGGTGCCACAGAGCCTGTGGGGGTGGTCTGTGTGGTCTGGAGTATAGGCCCTGAGGATGCTCAAAGTGGTGTGTTCTTTTTTTTTTTTTTTTTTTTTTTTTTTAGATGGAGTTTCACTCTTGTTGCCCATGCTGGAGAGCAATGGTGCAATCTTGGCTCACTGCAACCTCTGCCTCCTGGGTTCGAGTGATTCTCCTGCCTCAGCATCCCAAGTAGCTGGGACCACAGGTATGCGCCACCATGCCCAGCTAATTTTTTATTTTTAATAGAGACGGGGTTTCTCCATGTTGATCAGGCTGGTCTCGAACTCCCGGCCTCAGGTGATCCGCCTGCCTTGGCCTCCCAAAGTGCTGGGATTACAGGCATGAGCCACCACGCCCGTCCCAAAGTGGCTTGTTCGAAGGGAAGGATTTGGGCATTCACGTGGTCATCTGCTATCTGCTTTGCATGGGCTTCTTTGAGGCCAACCTGCTCCTAAGTGGATGTCTCAGAGAAGATATGTGTGTCCTGGCCTGTGCCTGAAGGACTAGTCAGAGAGCAACAGTAGGTGCTGTTGGTTTAGGGTCCATCCAGTGCCCAACACCAGCTAAGTGGTTACATATGCCATCTCATGTATCCCACAGCCATCCAGCGCACAGATAATATCAGCCTCCTCCTGGAGGTGAGAAACCTGGGGCCCTGGGGTTCAGCCATTTGCCTCAGATCACACAGCTGGGAGGTAATGGAGCTGACATTCAAACCAAGTCTGTCGGATCCCCAGGCCTCTGAACTCATTTGCTGGGTTGTAAGCAAAGAGGGTGGGACCTCAGTTTAGTGCCCCAGGGCCTCATCAAGTGCTACATCAGGACCTCACCCCTCCCCAAAGCCCTCTTCAAGCCGGTGACTCACAGATGTACAGGGGCGAGTTGCTGGGCTCTGAGAAGTCATCCACATAGGAGATCCCAAATGGCTGAATAGGCACTGTCCCGATGCCAGCCAGCAGCTGGGCAACCACCATCAGGCCCCACATGCTGCTGGTCTCCTTCTGGGGGTTCTGGGTGGTGCTGTGGCACTTACTGGGAGGCAGGTCCTGCCAATGCTTCTGGCAGAGCTCGGCCTGCAAGCGGCTGTTGTTCCCTGCAACGAGAGTGCTTGCTGGTCTCCACCACCCTGGTCTCCTGGTTCCACCGGCTGGCCTCCAAACCCGGCCTTTCTCCCAGGCCCCTTGGGGAAGGACCAACTTTGGCCAGAGGCTGTGCTAGCAAATGGGACATGGTTCCTGAGGACCGCGTCCTTCTGTCTGGCCAGCAGGAGGGACTCTAGAAACAAAGGTGTGAAAGAGAGGTGGAATGTGGGCTCCCCGGCCCCAGGAGCTGCTATTTCTCAGGTGGAGAGGAATCTTCCTCTCGTGAGTGTCCATGCCTTCTCCTCCATGGGCACTGGTGGGGAGCTGAGCACGGAGAAGTCAGTACCTTCATCTGTGGAGGAAAGGGGCACCCAGCTGGAAAAGGGGGAGGGGGTCCAGGGTCAAAGCCCAGGCCCGTCGGCCTCCAGCACCCTGTGCTCAGCCCTGGGGCTCTGGGCCCCCAGGGTTCTCTTCAGCAGGACAGAGGTCATGCTGTTGCACCGGGTTGGTGTCACCTACAACGTGGGTTGAGTCCCTGGTTGTGACTCCCAGGGCCTTTGCTTCTTAGTGAGCCCAGCTCCAAGTCACACTGGAAGACCTACTGCCAAAGACATTTAATATCCTTACCGTTCCGGGGAAGCTCCCAGAACTTCTGATGCTGGAGGGGCTTTAAGACCCTCTCGTTCAGCCTCTCATATTACAGATGGGGAAGCTGAGGCTGCTTCTCGAAGCCCTTCTGTGAGGGTCCCAGACACCCTGGGTGAGGCCTGTGGGCACTATGGTTCCTGTGGCTGTGGCCCTTGCCAGGCTGGGCTGCCGCTTCCATGCCTCTGTTTTTAATTTGGCCCACACTAAGCAATCAGCATTGGCAGCTCTCCAAGGCCTTAGGGGTTCTCGAGGGCTCCTTTCCATGAGATCCCCTTTCCCTGTCTCATTCAGGCTAATGGAAACCACTGACGTCACCAATCTCACTCGCTTAACACTAATGGGATTCCGTTTAATTCTCACTTGTGCTGCCCTGAGCTAGGTGAGCCTAAGTCCCACAGAGAGGAAAACCGAGCGCCGTAGACTAGCCCTGCTCCTCACACTGGACTCTGCCGGTGCTGTTGGGCTCAGGGCTGCCCTGGATGGTGGGGCTGGGGAGAGGGGTCTGTGCTCTTCATTGCCCTTTCCCCTCTCCCCAGTCGCACACGCCTCGTCCAGCCTGGCCCCACTGTTGTCTGCCCTCTCCAGTGGTGTCTATGCAGGACACATTAGAAAGTTGCTGTCATGGGAGCTCCCCCATCAGTCAGGGAAGCCTGTCCCAGGAAAAGGAAAGGAAGCCAAGGCGTCTGTTTGGTCAGGGTCATCTAGACCTTCAATAGTTGTGTCCGTGGAAGGAAGCATCCTGGCAAGCAGCCAGGGACTGTAGTCAGGGTCCCTCTGTACCTCCCTCTTCCCACTCCATGTTCATTATCCTGCCTTTCAATGCAGAATTCAAATAGAGTGGCCCGACCACATGGTGATATAATATGCAACCTTTTAGAATTGGGGTGAAAATATAGCCTTTTTTTTACACAGAAAGACAGCTGGAACAGCTTGTTAGAATAAAAAAATAGTAACTAGTAGCTTGGAGAAGAATATGTTCCCTAATTTATAAAACGTTTGTGGACTACTTGAATATGCAGAGAAAACCTCTGGAAGATGATGGCTCTCTCTGGGTGATGAGATTGTGCTGATCTTTTTTTATTTGCCTCATTTATTTTGTAATTTGTCTGGAATGAACACATTTCTTTTGTGTTAAAAGAAATACTTTTGAAATAAAGCAACAAAGTTTTTAAATTCAAGGTTTTTGTAAATAAATATATCCAAAGCTTAACAACGTCTCTCCCATTTCTTCTTTGTCCCATTCCCATTGCCCTTCTTTCTGCTCTAGGCTCTAGGCCTGCAACAGTGGAGCTGAGTCTCTGCCCATCCCCACCAACCACAACCCATCGCTGACGTCACCGATCTTGCTCACTTAACACTGATGGGATTCAGTTTAATTCTCACTTGTGCTGCCCTGAGCTAGGTGAGCCTAAGTCCCACCAGAGCCCACCACCACCTCTCCCCCGTGGAGTGTTGGGCCTCTCTCTGATTTACAGGCTCTACCGTAGAGATCCAAGTCCTAGCACCAGAAATGTCAAACACCCATGTACTGACAGGGCCAGGCCCTGTGCCAAGGTTGTGATGTATGTGGTCTCCTGCTCACAGGGGTTACTGTGAGCAGGAGACTACATAAGACCATACCTAAGTAGCTGGTTTGGGGGTAGAGCTGGGATCCGAACCTGCATGTGTCTGACTCAAAGTCCAAACTGAAATCAAGTCTGATGGCAGCTTGAAAAGACAGAACACACATTTTTCAGGGATGGAAGAACATGGCATGGGAAGATTTCCTCCATCCCTAGCCACCTTCAGACATATGAGCTCTCTGACCTCTGTAGGTGGCTGGGACCTTACACCTACTTCCTCTCAGGAAAGGGGCTGGCTGCTGGGATGTGTGCTAGAATCTGGGACAATAAGATGAAATAAACACAGTACAGGGAGTTAAGAAATTGGCTTTATCCCTAGGTAAGATAAAAATTGGTTTTATCCCTATGTATTCTTGAGCAAGTTTCTAAATGTCTCTGAGCCTTAGTTTCCCTTGGCGTAGAGGCCATAAGGTGGCTAGATAGAAAGATTCTCTGTGTCATTAAAGAGGTAGAAGACTATGGTTCCAAAAAGATGCCCAAGCATGAGAAGTCAGACCCTGCCAGTCCCACACCAGGTCTAGAGGCTGTGTCTGCCATCTTGAAAGAAGGCTGGTGCAGCTCAGTGATGCTGCAAGGGTCCTGAAGCACAGAATTGTAAAATGCTCCTGCTGAAAGACCACAGGGGCTGTCTGGCCCACCCTCCCACTCAGGAATCTATCAAATGGACCATTTCCAACACCCAGAACTGGGTGTGGCGCTGGCTGACTCCTGCAGATCCCAGGGTGAGGTCAGGGTGGCTCTGAGTGGGCAAGGCTAACAGATGTTGGAAGGCCTGGACTGGGAGCCTGGGACCCAGATTCCTATGACCCTGAATTCGTGGCTCTCTATGTTGGTGATTTTGACTTTGAAAGCTCTCAGAGGACTCCAGGGAAGGACCAAGCACAGCAGAGGGTGAGAGGCTGCTGGTGGATCTGGTGGGCAGAGTGTTAGGCTCACTGGTCACTCCCCCAGTGCAGCAGCCAGACAGGACACCCGGGGCTGTTGCCCCAGGTGGGTAAGAGTTTATATGCACAGGCTATGCTGGTCTTTGGAGGGAGTGAGGGACAGGTAACATGGCCCCATGCTCTTCTCAGGACCAAATAGGCATGTAGGGGAAAGAGAGCTAAGCCAGCTGCTCAGCTTGGGAAGTGTTCAAACATTTATACAAACCCACCTGACCTGGCATGGCTAACTGACTCAACACAGCTGTGCAGTCACTCAAAGAAATCAACACGCACACTTCTCTGCTAACTTCTCTGTGCCAACTTTGACCAAACGGATGCATTTCTGAAGGACATATACTTTGCATCCATAAATAAAAGGGCTGCTGCTACATTTCCAAGTGGGTATTTATTTCTGAAGATTCAGACAAATCTTGGGTACACTGTGTATGGAGAAATAAACAAAGTCTGAGTTCCCTAAAACCTCAGGTTGTTGTCATTCACAAGTGTGCTTGGCTGAGCCATTCCCCTCGGTGTGACAGTGGCTCTCTGTGGCACGTTGTCTCATAGGCCGTGGGGTGGCAGGACCAAGTCTAAGTTATGTGGGAGCACGGTTTAAAGCAAATCACAATACCTGGAAAGAGATGCAAAGAATCAGCCTCTGTTCCCAGTTCAGCCACTGAAGGACCATGCCTAGATGCCTAGGTCTGAGCAGCTGCCCCTCAGCAGCAGTATGAGTGATACCTGCGTCACAGGGGAAAAGGAGAACGCGGAGTCCTGAAAAGGACCTGGACCCAGTTACATTCATTCTTCAGTCGCTCAGTTATTTGGTTGATAGTGGCTGTGGGTGGGCACTCTGCTTGGGTGGGAGATGTGGGCATGACTGAGAGGCACAGGTACTGTGCCTAACAAACCCTGTGGTCCACTGTGGTACCCAGAGCATCAAAAAAGCAACCGTAATATTGCTTTATCAAATCAAAACTACAATGAGATATCACTTCATACCCATCAGGATGGCTATTACCAAAAAAAAAAAAAACAGAAAACGAGTGTTGGCAAGGGTGTGGAGCAATTAGAACCCTATGCATCGCTGGTGAGAATGTAAAGTGGTGTAGCCAATGTGGGAAGAAGAAGGGTGGTTCCTCAAAAACTGAAAAATAGAATCATCAACACTGGGCGTGACGGCGCGCACCTGTAATCCCAATATTTTGGGAGGCCAAGAGGGGCAGATTGCTTAAGCCCAGGAGTTCGAGACCAGCCTGGGTAACATGGCAAAACCCTGTCTCTACTAAAAATACAAAAAATTAGCTGGGCATGGTGGTACGTGCCTGTAGTCCTAGCTACTTGGGAGGCTGAGGTGAGAGGTTGGCTTGAACCCAGGAGGCAGAGACTGCAGTGAGCCAAGATCCTGCCACTGCCTGGGCGACAGAGTGAGATCTTGTCTCAAAAAAAAATAAATACTAATGGGCCGGGTGCGGTGGCTCATACCTGTAATCCCAGCACTTTGGGAGGCTGAGGCGGGCAGATCACAAGGTCAGGAGATCAAGACCATCCTGGCTAACACGGTGAAACCCTGTCTCCACTAAAAATACAAAAAATTAGGTGGGCATGGTGGCTCGCACTTGTAGTCCCAGCTACTCGGGAGGCTGAGGCAGGAGAATGGCGTGAACCCAGGAAGCGGAGCTTGCAGTGAGCCAAGATGGCGCCACTGCACTCCAGCCTGGGTGACAGAGCGAGACTCCGTCTCAAAAATAAATAAATAAATAAATAAATAAATAAATAAATACTAATAAAGATAGAATCATCATATGATCTGGCAATTCCACTTCTGAGTATATACCCCCAAAAATTGAAAGCAAGGACTTAAAGAGATATTTGTACCCCCATATTCAGAGCACTATCTTCCTGATAGCCAAAAGTTAGAAACAGCCCAAATATTAATCAACAGATGAATGGGTAAACAAAATGTGGTATATGCAATGGAATATTATACAGCTGTAAAAAGGAAGAGAATCCTGACACATGCTACAGCACAGATGAGCCTTGAGGACATTATGCTAAGTGAAATATGCCAGACACGGAAAGACAAATGCTGTGTGATTTCACTGAGATGAGGGATCTAAGAAGTCAAATTCACAGAAACAGAAAGTAGAATGGTGGTTGCCAGGGACTGGGGGAGATGGGAATGAAGAGTTAGTGTTTAACAGATACAGAATTTTAGTTTGAGAAGATGAAAAAGTTCCAGGTGTGGATGATGATGATGGTTGCACAGCATTGTGAACGTACCTTAATGCCACTGAACTATACACTTAAAAGTGGTTAAACAGTAAAATTTATGTTATATATATTTTGCCACAATTTAAAAATATTGCACAGGACATGTGAAGCTGGGACAGGGTGCCAGGGAGCATATGAGAGAGGCAGCAGACCCAGTGTTGTAGGAGAGGACATTCTGGAGAAGGTTTCTGGAGAAAGTGGCCTCTGAACTGAGAAGAATCGACAGGCATAGATAGAAGATAAGGGTGGGGAAGTGGGGAGGTGAGGAGGAGAGAAAGAGAGTGTGGAAGGGCTCAGATGCGGGGGTGGTACATTCCACAACATGAATAAAGGTCAGTGAGGCTGGCGCTCAAACACAAGTCCTCCAGGGTGAGGCCTGGCTGCCCCTGGAGGACTTGTGCATGATGGGAAGGGGCCTGGATTGTATCCTAAGGAAAACTCCAGAAGGGTGAAAATCATGAGGGGTCAGTGCAATGAACACACTAGAGGACTTAGGAGTAATGTGCAAGGCCCTGTCAACTGAGACGGGTAAGGAGGGGAGTTGATTCCATCAAGAAGCAGTCAATGCATAGTATGAGGGGCAGGGCTTAGTGGCTGCGAGGATGGTGAATGCATAGCCCAGAGGGTGTGTGCGTAGACACACAAGGCCAGGCTGCTGTAGGATAGCAGGGGCATGACATGAGAAACATCACCGGGAAAAGAAAGGGCCAGAAAATGTGTGGGTTTTTTGAATGCTAGTTCTTGATTCTACTGATTCTCATTAATTTATTTAATACATATTTATTTGAACATTGTTGCTGACTTGACTAGCAAAATCATTTTTTGCAAGGTATTTAATGGTCATCAAAGATGGTAAAAACATTGAATGACTTATTAAGTCTTCATACGGCATGTTGCCTGCTGCACCACGGCCACAAAAATCCTCATGAAGTTCATCTCATGCAGTGTTCAGGAGGTGAAACTTTCTGGGGATTGTTTAACTGCTACCACTAACTTTAAAAATGTCGGATTACATGTCAGAAACTGCCTTTATTAAAATATGTATTTAAAAATAATCAATGGGCCCCAATTACATCCAAGTCTACTGAGTTCCTCTTGGCCTATTCTACATTCCAAATTGATTCAAGATCTTCCAAAGAACTTTCTTCCTTATGCCAACTCAATAGGGCCCAAACCCATCCCACATCCCAGATCAAGTTCTGACACATATAAAAAAGGGAACAGCAGTTAAATGCAACCCCGAGGTCAGTGCTATCAGAGAAGCTGTGGCCCACTAACAGAACCGGCCTTATGCGGGGACAGGTGTTTATGTCAGAGACAGATGTAGTGTGGGCTTCCCAGACAATCAAGCCTGAGACACCCTTGGCAGTGGGCGGCCCTGGCTAGCTCACTCTGGTCAGAATAGAGTCTTCTAGAATTTATTTTTATTTTATTTTATTTTATTTTTTGAGACAGAGTCTCGCTCTGTCGCCCAGGCTGGAGTGCAATAGCATGATCTTGGCTCACTGAAACATCTGCCTCCCGGGTTTAAGCGATTCTCCTGCCTCAGCCTCCCAAGTAGCTGAGATTACAGGCACATGCTACCACGCCCAGCAAATTTTTGTATTTTTAGTACAGACAGTGTTTCACCATGTTGGCCAGGCTGGTCTCGAACTCCTGACCTCAGACGATCCACCCTCCTCGGCCTCCCAAAGTGCTGGGATTATAGGCGTGAGCCACTGCGCTCAGCCAAGTCTTCTAGAATTTAGAACATTAAGCTCTTCCCTTATAAAAATAAGAGGACACACATTTTAAAAAAGAAAAAAAAATAGGAGGACAGGGATAGGAGTTCAAGGGGCAGGAAGAAGGGGAAGAAAAAGACCTTGTATGAGCACCAACCCCGTGGGCAGCCTCTGATCTAGCGACATTGATAATGGACAGCCTCTGGCAGACAGAATGGGGGACTTGAGTCTCTTTGCACCACTCCACACCTCTCCTCCCTGGAGCAAAAGCTCCAGCCTTTTCAGGAACTCGGGCACACATTAGGAAGAAACAGCAACCTCTCATTGCTTCGCAAGCACTCTAGTAAAGGCTGGAACACAGCTACTCCACGTAACTTATAGAAGCATGGCAGGTTAGAGGTTGCTAACTCTGACCTTTCCACCAAGTCAAATCCTGTAGTAAGGTCAGGAACATGCCTGCCTTTTCCTGCTACCACAACCTCCAGAGACTGCCTGCCCAAACACAGCCACCTGCCCCTATCTTGGAGGGGTCTGGAGGAGGGAGGGGCGTCTATTTCTTAGCCAGGTATCAGTCTGTTTCTCATCTTCCCCCAGGCAACCTTCTGGAAGGCTCAAGTTCATCAGAGCACATTTTTTCCCATAGAACACCAGAGGGCTGGCTTTGCCAGTCTAGTTTTCACAGGGCTGTGAAATGTTAACTAGAAACAGGCCGGACCTCTTCCCTCCTCCAGCTCCCCCAGCCCCACCCCACCAGCATGTGAGTCAACCCTCTGACTCACTCCACCATTTAAATATGCAGAATTTCATTTCTAAATTCTGGACCCTCAGCAGCTTTAGAAATGTAGGAGTCTCTGTCAGGAAGGTCTACTTCCCTAGAAAGGAACCTCCAGAGATGGGGTAGATCTGGGGCAGGCCAAGGTCTAGCCATGCCGGTGTTCAAAGCCACATGTTTCAGCGCTCCGTCCCACCCCTCGGGATGGCCAGGCTGAGGCCAGCCTTCCAGCTGTCAAGGGAATAAATAGTAAGAGGGCTTTGCACCAAGGTCTAGAGCTGGGGTAGGGAGGGGACCCTAGAACGACCAAGCAACAAGAGAAGGCCATGGCAAGAGGGGCTTTCCTTTGACTAGTCATTCTCATCATTCTAGTAAAGCAAAGAGAGAGACTTCTGCCAGGAAAGAGGAGGGCTCCTTCAAGTCATGGCTCTTAAGAGCCACCCATCCCCTCCCTGCTCAGAAGGAGACATGGCTGTCATCTGGGAGTGTGTGGGTGAGTAGGGTCAAATGGGGAAGAGGTTAGCAAGCCCCAAACTTCAGAAGCAATCCATAAGAGAACAACAGAGAAAGGCAGGGGTGTTTCCAGAGAGTTATCTGGAATCATGGCCAAGGTGCCAAGCCCTTAAACTATCAGCACGACTCCTGGAACCTCATTCAGAATGTTCCACTCTGAAGGACTTATTTCCTCATCTCCTAAATTCAGCTACTCTACAGTTCCTCCTGAAACTCTGGCAACACCCACTGGCAGGCTTGGAACAGACTGTCCCAAACTCACTCATGATCTGAGATCCCAAAGTCGATTGTAAATTGGGTTGTTTGCAAATCAGAAATGATTGGGTTTCCAGTGTAGTCCACAAAGCCTAGTTAATCCATAATGCCCCAGTAATAACATGTGTTCTATTCCAGCTAAACTAAGCCTCCATTTATAAAATGATTCCTATGGGCAAATGCACTCAGTTTCATCTTGGAAAACTAGGAGAACATAGTCTTCTGCCCCAGAGGAAAAAATGAGTTGACGTTGACAGTCTGGGGCACATTGTGGGGCAATGGAAGAAATTCACACCTTGAAGCCAGACAGATGAGGTTCCAATCTTGGCTCTACTGCTTGATAGTCAGAGGCCTCTCGGAATGAACCTCAGTGTCCTCGTCTTCAAAACAGATATAATACCTGTCTTACAATATTCTTATGAGAATTAAAAATAATGAGTATATTATAACCTGGGACATAGTGATTATACGATGAGATCGATTTTCATCCAAAGAGATGAGTAACTGTGAGAAACTCAAATAGATAAGGGAAATGGGAGAAGCTTGGAGACAGGCAATGTTGCCCAGGCCTTTAAGAACTTGGAAACTGGGTCCAGAAACTAGATACCAGTAAGATCAATGCTGGTCACCAGCAATGGATGGATTATAATAAAGCAGTTACAGGACAAGTGAGTGTGCTTGGAGAAGTTCACATCTGTGGAGGAAAAGAAGCTCAGGGCAGTGGAAGGAGGAACTGCTCTGCTTCTCTCTCAAGACTGGGTTTCCAAGACTAGTTCTGAGGCTGAGGCTGGATGTCCCTTCCCATACTGCCACCTTGGCACTAGAGGGGGCCCTAGGGAAAATGCCTACTTGTATTGAGGAGGCTGTGCTATGAATGAGCTGGGCACAAGACGGTAGGCTCACTGTGCATGCCCAACAAGGCAGGGTGCTATATTGCTGGCCAGGGGCTTTCTCTTCCGCTGCCCACACCCCCACACCCTGGCCCAGCACATGGTCTGGCACCAGCACCTGGCTCGGCTCATCATCAGAGCTGGTTCTTTAGTGGATGAAGGGAAGGAAGACATACCTGAGGGAGCAGGATGCAGCTCAGAGCCATTTAATTTTAACATGCAAAGAAATGTGAGCTTAATTAGTACTCCCCCACCCTGATGGGTGTGAGATAGAATTTATTGTTCACAGATTTATTCAGTAAGCTGATGAGAAGCTCTTTAAAGGGGGAAAAAAAAACCGTTAGCGGAGCCAACATGAGCTCATCAAAAGCCAGTCTTGCCAAACCAACCTCATTTCCTTTGTTAATGGGGCTCCTGACCCAGCAGGAAGCCATAACATGGTGTTACTTGATTGGAAGAAGCCTTTTGACAAAGCCTGTCATGACATCCTGCTAGACAAGATGAGGACACATGGCTGGGGAGTCCTCAGGGAAAACTGGCTCAAAGCATGCCCGGCTCGGGTGCCCGTGGGCCAGCGTCACCCAGAAAGAAGCTGCTCTGAGCGCATGCCACTCAACGCTTGTCACGGACTTTGGAGAAAGAAGGAAACTGCTTACAAATGTGTGAATGACATGGATGACACGAAGCTGGGAGGATTGGACAGTCCAACGGCTGATAACTCAAAATTAGACCCACGGCTATAAGGAGGGACCCCAACCAAGGAGAATGATTCCTACAGGGAGAAAATATGAAGCTTGACCGTAGCTTCAAGGAATTCAGCTAGTCAGCTTGGCACAATGTATGGGGACAAGTCTCTGGTGTTTTGACCGCAAGTTCACAATTCCAGCCTGTGAGGAGGACCCTCAGATTCAGATGTGAGCCTCCCTCTGTCTTCTTCTCAGGGAGACCACCCTGACAGCACCGCACTGGGCCCCCAAAGGGCTGGAAGCCTTATTTTGTGTAAAGACCAGCAGCTCAGGAAGCAAAGGCTCTGGGCTATGTGATGGCTGTTTCCACCACTGTGGACTGATGGGCTGGTTCTGCTTGGTTCCAGAAGACTGACCTGGGACTGATGGAGTGGAGTATAGGAAGAGAGAATTCAGGGAAATCTAGGAAAACGAGTGACATGGGAGAGAGGGAGGGGCCTGCTCCCACAAACCATGACTGTCCACATTCAGGCAGCCTTACAGTCCCCATTCTTGAGCTTCAGCTCCAGATGCCTGAGGGCAGTAGTGGGCCTGGCAGAGAGAACTGTCTGGTCCAGAGATTGGCAAACCACAACCCGTGGGCTGCGTTCAGTTCCCAGCCTGTATCTATCAATAAGTTTTATGGGGACACAGCCACGCCCACTTGCTTATCTATTGGGAAGGGGAACTTTTGTGCCACTACAGCAAAGTTGAATAATTTCAGCACAGACCTTATGGTATACAAGTCTGACATATTTACTACCTGGCCCTTTACAGAAAATGTCTGTTGACCCCTGGTCTAGTCCCATGGTGTTCAAACACATCAGCCACCAAATCTTCTGCAACCAATGCTTCTGGAGAAGCACAATGTATGAGACAGACAAGAGCAGGTGTCACCAGCACAAGACGATGAGAGGGGAGTATGGAGTCCCCTGCTCACACCTCTCCGCACTGCAGCCCCAGGCCAAGAAGAGGCCAGGAAGGAGCTCTCCAGAACATTCCAGAGCACCAGCCAGCCCCCTTAGGTCCTGGTTTGTGGGTCAGTCCTCTGTCACGCTAACTTCTCTTTGCTGTTTCCCTCTTTTAGATTTCTGAGGCTCACATCCTCTCTGACTGTGTCCAGTCCAAGCTCTCAATCCTGAAAAGTCCTTTTGTTCCTGAAAGAAAGAAACTCTCCTTGTTGTTTCCAACCTCCTGGTGGGTAGCACGCTGCCCAGTTGGGCCCAGTGGTTCCCATTTCAAGGCTTCAGGGCCACAGGAGATGCCTGTGCACACAGTCAGTGTCCCAGCTCTACAGCTCTACTAAGTGTGGCAGCAAGAGCAGAAAGTTCCTCCCTGTCTCCCTTGGGGATGCTTGGGGACCTCAAGGCATCTTGCAGGGAGGATCAATGGTTTCTTTGAACCACATTTCCCTTTTTCTGTGGGGCTTTCCCTCATTCTCAACACTGTTCCCAGGATGCCCAAAGCCACTGGAACAGAAGCCCGCTTTCCTTTTTACCCTGGATACTAACTCCCAAGGAGGCCATCCTCCTGCTACAGGTGGGCCCAAGACACAGTCTGCCAGCCTTCCTGGAGAAGCGACTCTCAGCGGAGCAGGCTGCAGCTTGCCTCCTGGACCCTCCCCCCAAGCAGACCTGTCACTCAGCTTCATTCCTGAGCAAGGGAAATGATCAGGCATGCCTGAGGGTCCACACTTAGGTCTCCACCAGGCCTGTGCTAGAGACGCAGAACAAGGGGTCCAGTTTCCAGGTAAGCCAAGGGGAGTTGTGCCTTGCCCACAAAAACAGATGATAGAAAAGCCTGACAGAGAGTCAGCTACTTTTATGTCACGGCTCAGGCTCAGGCCCTCAGAGAGGCTGTCACACCATCACCATGGAGCGCAGAGCTCTCCCACCAGTTTCCAGCTTCGCTCCTTCCCGGGCCTTCTCTACCGCAGTCTAGTGTTTTCTATCATTTCTCCATGTTTATTTCTATTCTTTCCTACACCACGCATTTAAAAAATGTTCCACATCAAATCTCATTAAGTTTTGTTCTGCTCATCCGTTCAGGGCTCTATTTCTCTCAGTCAAATTAATAACACCCATGTGTTTTGTGATTTTCTCTGTTGTTTATTTTCTCTTTCTTTTTGAGTTAAATAGATCCACTGGCCAGGTTGTGCAACTCCCACTAGGATGCTCCACCCCGCCCTCCACCAATACATACACCCTTTCTCCTCCTTCCTTGCACATCTGCCCATCCCCACCCTCCAATCACCTACCACCCCACATGCTTCCCTTCACAGGCACCCCACCCCACCTCCATACCCCCCACACATGAACACACGCTTCCCCCTCACAGGCACCCCACCCCACCTCCACACCCCCACACACTTCCCCCGACATGTACCCCACCCCACCTCCATACCCCCCACACATGTGAACACACTTCCCCCGACATGGACCCCTCCTCACCTCCACACCCCCCCAACACATGCACACACACTTCCCCATCACAGGCACCCCACCCCACCTCCACACATTTCCCCCACACCACCTCTTCCCTCACACCTTCCCCTTCACATACACCCCAACCCTCACCCCACAACTCCACTCACACATCCACATACTTTACTCTCCTCTGCCTCCTACCCAAGTCCTTCCCATCCCCACATGCCCCCCACATCTCCACATACACCTACCTCCCCTCCGCACCCACACACCTCCTCACCTACTTAGCTTCCTACTCATAGACACGCCTCCCTCACATACACACCTATACACAATTACCCACAAACAAACTCAGGCTGCCCAAACCACGGGTGCCCCTCTCATTCCTCCAGGGCTTCCTAGCACACCCATCTCACACCATAGGTGGGTGTTCACTGTGGAAAGGCTGAGCTCCCTGTCCTCACCAGTTCACTCAGGATCCCGAGGCTCCCCGGCCCTGTGCCTTCCCACCGCCTTCTTTCCCAGGGACACCCTTGGGATATGCAAGCCCAGGTTGGGGATGGCAACTTCATGAATAAAGGACTGGAAAGTGACTCTTCCCTTTCTTTTTCTTGTCTGCTCCAAAAATACAGTGCTCCCCTGCCCCTCCTTAACCTCCAGGAAGCTTCCTGCCTGCGGCATCCATTGTCTGCATGTGGGCAGACTTCCCTCTGGACTTGGCTGAAGGATCATTCACAGGTTACACCTAGTCCTACCAGACACTGGTTTCCGAAGCCCCTTCTCTTATCTCCTGGGAGGACTGGTCTCACGTTGGCCAGTTTCCCATAGAGGAAAACCTCTCCGCGCCTTCCAGACGTGGTCTTAGAGGCTTTGGCTGGATAGCTCGTTTTTTCTCTAAAGGCGCCAGGGTACATTTCCGGACCCCACTGACATTTAGAAAATCTAAATATCCATAAATGTCTTCATGGCCTTTTAAAAATTAGCAATTAGTTGTTAAAGGTCTCTGTGATTCCCAAAATGTTTAGCCCTTCTTTAACTTTTTTTTCCTAAAACACATTGCTACTCTTCCTTTCCCATGTTCGTTTCTGGAGCAGCTTTACTCCAAGAGGAAGGAATCAGTAATCAACACAAGTAATAGGTCTGAGTAGCAGATTTCAAATACCACAACAAGGGCAGGCAAATAGAAATATGCTGAGCAGGTCAGGCGCAGTGGCTCATGCCTATAATCCCAGCACTTTGGGAGGCCGAGGTGGGTGGATCACAAGGTCAGGAGTTCGAGATCAACCTGGCCAACATGGTGAAACCCCGTAGCTACTAAAATACAAAAAATCATCTGGGCCTGGTGGTGGGCACCTGTAGTCCCAGCTACTCGGGAGGATGAGGCAGGGGAATTGCTTGAGCCTGGGAGGCAGAGGTTGCAGTGAGCCGAGATCGCACCACTTCACTCCAGCCTGGTGACAGAGCCTTGATTGCTGCCCAGGCTGGAGTGGAGTAGCATGATCATAACTCATTAAAGCCTCAAACTTCTGGGCTCAAGTGATCCTCCCACCCCAGCCTCCCAAGTAGCTGGGACTACAAGCATGTGCCATAATGCCCGGCTAACTTTTTTTTTTTTGTAGAGATGGGGTCTCACTGTGTTGCCCAGTCTGGTCTCGAACTCTTGGCCTCAAGCAATCTTCCTGCCTCAGCCTCCAGAAGTGATGGGATTACAGCATACCTGGCTTATTTCATTTTACTTTTACTCTCAGAACACACTGAAAGTCAAGGTATTCTTGCTCCCATTTTATAGGTAAGGAAACTAAAGTTCAGAAAGGTGAGGTAGCTTGCCTAAGAAGACTTGGCAGGTAAGTGACTGAGCTAGGATTCAAATGTTAAAGTCCATATGGAGTGGGGTGGGGTGCATGTCTACCCATCATACCAGGCCACACCAACACAAGAATCTGGGAAGAGAGCACAACAGCAACCTAAGCTTCCACCAACAGAAATCCTAAGGACTCACATGTGAGGATGCAGCAGGGACCATGCCAAGGGAGGCGCCCTGCTCCAGAACAGAGCAGAGGACCTATGATGTAGACCAGAAAGAAGCTGCCTTCAGATGTCCCCAGGCCATCCAGCCCATAAGCTGTCACATTCTTCACAGGAAGTAAGGTGCTTTCTCCTTTGGGATCCAGAAAGTCTACTAGTTTACACAACATCATGTATTGTCCCTACCACCGTGGGGACAAAAGCCACCACTTAGTGATTACTGCATGTGACAGCCACCAGGCTAAATTCTGAACAGGCACCTTCTCAGCCCCTGCAGCCCTACGAGGGCTATAAAATAGACACTCAGGGATGAACTGAAACTCAGAGCAGGGAGGAGGTGGCTCGAGCCCACTTGGGAGTCCCATAGCTCAGATTCAGACTGAGGACTGCCTGGTTCCAGTAGACCATTCAGGTTCACACCCCCACTCAGAGTGGTACATTTAATGAAATGCATTTGTTCCTGACGACCTTGCATGATTCAAAACTAAAATTTCCATAAGAATACATTTGAAGTAGGAGTCACATTTTAAGCTATTCCCATGAAGTAAGACTTTATAAATATTTTTATTTGCACATATTAGCATAGCACACTCACGTGGTGCACTGGCACCGTGTGCAGCCCCAGCTAGATCGCATGGATGAGGTTCCTGGGCCAAAGTCCTTCTCATCCCACCCCCTGGCACCAGGAAGATGCCCGAAGGTAGCTCAGCTCTGAGCACTTCCAGCATCTGCTTCTATCCCAGCCAGACTGAGGGAGACTGCTGTGCCCTATTGTTGCATATAGAATTTGCACCAATGAACAAGAACTACAAAACAGCCCACTCTTCTGGCCTATGGTGCGCCCCTGCAGCCTTGAGAGGCAAGCTGTGGTCTTTTCACAGCCCCTCTTTCCTCTATCAGAAGATTTTGTCTTAGAGCACTGAGGTCAAGGCTGGAACAGCACAGTGTTTCCTTCTGAGCTGAGAGGGTCATGGTTAGCTGAACCCAAACTGACTGATTATTCCTAACAAGGAACAGAGTGAAGTTGTCTTAACCAGTCTCCTGTGGCTGCTCAGTGTGAGGCAAATGCCACTGGCATGTGGGCCCAGGCCATGGGAGCTGACTTGCCAGGCTGAGCAGGCCACGATGTGTGGCGCCTGGCAGGAGGCCCTCCCCTCGGCCTGGCCACAGTGCCCCAGGCTCCCTTGCTGATTTCATTATCCCAGTCTTCACGTGACGAGAAAGGGCAGGGATTGTGGCTCTGGAAAGAAGACAGTGCAGCCAGGCTGGCCACACTGCTCTCTGAGAAGATGGCCAGCAACTCCTGACTCGCTTCAGAGCTGGCCTCAAGCTCTCATTAGACCAAGGGGGAGAAAGTGTATGGCAGGAGCCTGGGGCTCGGATCTTTCCTCATCCTCTGCCCACCTGAAGCAGGATTCAGCCCCACAGAGTCCATACATTTATGAGAAATGACCAGTTCACTGGAGATTTATAAAAAGGTGGGGGAAAGAGTTCCATGACCAGAACCCAGCAGATATTTCATCATTAGACACCCCCATTCTTGCCCTATTCTTTTCCTGTTCCAGGCACTTCGTTCTCTCCATCACTGGCCTGACAATCTTAAGGGCTGCCCTCTATTATTCTAAGTGGTTCATCTCTCAAACCTGGTCTACATATCTGATTGAAAAAATAGCCTGGTTTCTAAGCAAACCAAAATCGATTATTCCCTCAGCACCTCCCTGGGGGCTCATTTAACCTCAACTCCAATACAGTGGACTAAGGGTGAGCATCTATGAACTAGGCCTCTCACAAATGTCTATCACAAAACCACAGCCACTTTCCACAGTCCTTAAAACAAGTGCAAATTCATCCTAAGTCAACACATTAACATAAAATTAGTTCCAAAGCAATGACGGTCCTGGGTGCTGAGTAAATGTAAATGCCAAACCACTCTGTAGGGCTATTTCCTTACCCAGGCCACATACAATTTCCACAGGGCAAAAAAGCCCACTGCAAATGGCTCATGGTCAAACTCAAGGAGGTAATCCACCATGAACAAGAGCAAGCAGACATAAAACAATGGGAGGATTAACATGCTTAAAACTTGAGCTACTAGAACGATCTGAAAAAGAGTATAATATAAATATATTTAAAATAGCTGAAGACATCAATAACACAAAAGAAATCATAAGGAAACACCAAAAAATAGTGTCACAGAGCAGAGAGATTTGAACAACTATTATAAGAACTTCAGGAATTAGCAAAATATGTAGTGCCATTCAAATTCATAATGTAAAAAATGGGTTTGACACCAATTAACAAAGCTGGAGAGAGACTAAGTGAACAGGAAGTCATACTTTAAGGAAATTACCCAGGATGCAGCATAAAGCACTGAAAACTATGAAAGAGAGGTTAAGAGACAAGGAGGCCAGAAATGAAAATGTGAAGCCATATGTAAAAGGAGTTCCAGAAAAAAAGGATGGAGAAAACAGGGATGTGCAATATCAGGAATGTTTTTGGCAGAAAATTTTTCAAAATTAAAGAAAAACTCTAATTTTCAAAAGAAATAGCACATCGAACTTTCTAACAGATAAGTGAAAATTAAGCCATACTCAGATACCTTATGGTAGACATACAGAACAACAAAGAAAAGAAAAGAACAAATACTAAATAGAACTAGAGAAAAAACAGGATACCTAAGAAGGTATGACAATTAGACTAATGGAAGAGTCCCAATACCAGAAGACAGAGGCATGGTACCTTCAAAGTGTTGAGAAGAAATAACTATTGATTTAAAATCCTGTTTGTAGCTAAACTATAATTCAAGAGCAAGGGTAAAATAGAGGCATTTTCGGACAAAGACTTAGAGATTTTCTTACTCATAGGCCTACTGAAAGTAACACTAAAGGATATCCTTCAGGAAAAAAAAATTAATCAACAGCATGGGTGAAATGCAAGAAGCAATCAATGGTGAACAAAGAAACCAGTAAACTTGTGAGTACATAAATAACCACTCACTTATTTATAAATAACAGTATAGTAACAATTTATAATAATGACCACTGTGGGGAGGTTAAAGAGAGGTAGAACAAAAATATGGGTCAACCATAAGTGGAAGATGAGAGAGGATGGTGGGCAAAAAAGCATCTATGATCCTTATTTTGCTCTCTTGGAGAATAGAGACATTAATGAACTTCAGTGGTTGTTAAGTCATACATCAATGTTAAATATAAGGGTAATAGTGAGCATCCTATGTTCATGGATCGGCAAACTCAACATAGTAAACATGATCAAATGAGATCGTGCAAGTGCACTGTCACCTAAAGACAGAAGAATGTACAAATGTCACGAAGTGCTATGATTAAACATGGACAAAATCCACAGACTTCATCATGATTTAATGCTTTGATCCTCCTCCTGCCAAGCCCCATTGCAGAAACTGCTCACAGTGTCCCCAGGGAGGTGGAGCTTGGGTCATTCCTGGCATGAAGCACAGGGAATCACAGCAGGAGGTGAGCCATGCACTGCACACTTTCCTGAACAAACCAGAGTTCAGTTGCTCCATAGCTCTACATACTTCAGTATAGTCTGAGCTTCATATGCCCTCTTCCTGGAGTGGTATCCACTGCCCTAGGAGTATCCCCACTAACTTTGTGAGATGTTCACCCATTCCTTACCCCTTGAGGCAGGGGTTGGAAGCCACTCACCAGTGCTGGCCAAGGTGTACTGGTAGGGCTCGGAGAGGAAGTGTGGGAGGGTGAGGATGAAGGCACCTGCAGCCAGGAAGAGACCTCCGATGCCAATCAGACGTGGACGGTGCACCCGGCTGCCAAAGTAGCTGACAAAGATGATGAGGATGGCATTGCTGATCTGAGAAGAGAGCAGAAGGGCTGAGTGAGACAAGAGGCCCTGTCCTCACCCACCCACAGAGAAGACCCGATCACACTTCATCCAGGAAAACTGGAAAGGGAGGGGGCTGCCCAGTGTCAGCTGGGGCCCAGACAGAGTTACAGTGTCAGCTTTTCCCAGAGAGCTTCACAAGGGGCAAGCATAAGCAATTTTGGTTTTCCCTCTGTTATCAGAAACCCTTCTGGGTCTCCATCTCCTAGACCAGACCAAAGGAAGTATCTGGAGATTATGAAACACTCAAAACCTAAACTTTAACCATCTTAGAACCAAACCTTTTTGGGAAAAAGCCAAAGAAACCTCCAATTCTGGCTGGCTCCTAGGAATAAAACACATTCCCTAATTAAGCTTGAGAGTTTGTACCTAAAGTTTAGGCAAAATCCCAAGTTTAATTAGGTACAAATTAAAGGACCCAAGGACCTTGGCTTGGTGGCCAGAATAACAAGCAAGCAACATGCTTATCTCATTTAATCATGAAACAATTCTCATTTTATCTGACAAAACTGGGGTTCAGAATATTAAGTAACATACCCATCACTATGAGGTTAGGGCATGGCTTGAACCAGTCTTGCCTGACTCTAAAACACCAAGGCTTAACTAGAGTTGTCTGCCACCTCTTGGAGAAGAGGGTTTCTGCCCAAGCAGCTCTGCTACTATCCTGCCCTTTCCCCTGCCTTGGTCTGTTTTCAATTCTGTGAAATGAAGGATAAGAACTAGAGCACCCCTAAAACCCTTCCAGCTGGAAACATGGGTAACTCCATGCTCCTGGTGCTCCCTGGAAGATGTGCTCTCTGAGCCCCACCCAGAACCAGGGAAGGGAACTGAAGGCTCCAGCATGGGGAGTAAGGTCTTCAATGGTAAGGGGATGCTGCCAGGCCTTCTGACCACGTCTCCACCAAAGATGGTCCTCTCCTCAGAGCACAGTTCACCTGGACTGGAGGAGCTCTGTAAATCTGCAGCCATAGCCCTGCCTTGTTACACCCCACTTTCCTCCTGGGTGGAGAAACGGGTACTCCTATGTCAGGAAACAGAGGCTAGAGCCTCAGAACATGGCTGTCACTAAGGTCACCAGTGGCCTCCTCATTGGCAAATGTACTGGTCAATGCTCAGTTCCATTTGACTCAGTTGACCATTTCTTTTTTCCTGAAACACTTCTTTCAGAATTCCCATGACACCATCCTCTCCTGCTTCCCTTCCCCTGTCTGCTCCTTCTCGGTCTTCTTGGCTTATTCCTCTTTATCTCCTTGGACTCTCAACATTGGGCCCAGAGCTCTGCCCCTAAGTGTGTCCAGTTCCATGGCTATTTATGCTCTGCGTGTGCTTCTAAGTCCCACAGTCTCAGCTCATCTAAACTCTCACTCTTCTTCCTTCCTCCAAAACCCCAGTCCCCTGTCCTGGTCCTCCTTGTCTCAGTAAATGGCACCTCCATCCTCCCAGTGGCTCACACAAAACATTCGAACATCATCTTGACTTCTCTCACACTCATATCTAATCGATCAGCAAATCCCCTTGGCAGGACCTTCCATAGCCACCTGGAAGCCAGTGATTCCTCAACCTCCAATCCTGTCTGAATTACTGTGGTAGCCTCCTAACGGGACCCTGCCTTCACCCATGTCCTGCTACTGTTCATTCTCCACCCAGCAGCCAGAAGGGTCCTGCTGAACTATCAGACCATGTTCCCTCAGCTCAAACCCTCCAGTGGAAAAAGGCAAAGGCTGTCCCAGAGCCTCCCGAGTCCTACACAGCCTGCCCCCTGGTCACCTCTCAGGTCTGCACTCTTCTGCTCCTCTCCCTCCCTCCATCCAGCCATACTGCCCCCAGCTGTTCTTTGACCACACCAAAGAACAAAGGCATTCCCCCAGCCCCTTTTGTTCTTGCTGCTCCTTCTGACTTTACGTCCTCAGGACTCCATTCTTAACCAGATTCAGGCCTCTGCTCAGATTGAATCATCTCAAGAAGGTCTTTCTCTGACCTCGTCATTTAAAATACACCTACATCCCCAACACTGAGGCCCCGTATACCTTTTCCCATCCATGACTCTCTCTCTTCATTGCACTCATCATAACCTGATCTACAGTATGTTTTATTTCCATAAATACTATATTTATCCTTAGAATGATATATGAGCAGAGATTTTTGTCTGTTCATTCCTGTTTCCCCAGCACCTAGAACAGTGCCTAATACTTGGTGCTCGTTAAATATTGTTGAACAAATGAATGAATGAGTAAATGGTAGACTTTTTCAAGAGGAGGACATAGTTGCCCAGGAGACCCCTCCAGCATGGCCAAGAGTGAGATGGTTTATGATCTACAGAGAAAGGGGATGTGAAGGTGTGTGAGAGGCAGCTCCTGCCAAAGGTGGATCTAGGACATCCTGAAACCCACACCTGGAAAGAGAGCTTTATTCTTATGCTTCCCAGATTTCGTTTATTTCCTTCTTGTTTCCGTATTGCTTTTCATAAAATGATTGTAAATGTCAGATCATATCAGCTGTGCTGACTGTGGCTGACTTTAGAAGGCCTGGGTGAGGGTCAGTGGAGGGCCCCGAAGGGGATCTCAGGGAGGAGGGACAGAGGAGAAGCTCTTCTGCACTCTCCAGGGGCCTGCACTTGTTTCTCTGTGGGAAGCTGAACCTCCACAGGTGTTACAGCTAATGTTGGCTTAAGACCTTGTTCTCAAACTTTTCTTCAGCCACAGAGTCCCTTTGAAAAAACTGTTTTTCCCTAATATAAAACAACCCCCCAAATGCAGCTGTTCCGGCTGAGAAGAGAGCCTCAAGACCTCAGTCTCCTCAGCCCTGGAGCAGCCCCTAAAACACTACCATGGACTTGCTGTGAGACTCTTTGAAAGCTGTTACAATGCCCATCATGACATGCCCCTGCCCTTCAACATCTCAAACCAAAGGGCCGCAGGGACAACTGGTGGGTGGCGTGAAGGGCAGGCAGCCTCTAGGGCTCAGCCCTAGCCTTTCGTAGTGGACAAGAGAAGCTGCTGCTTCAAGCCAAGTTGCTCCATGTCTTCTCTTCTTAACTAAGTTCCTCCTGCTGGTGCTGGCCTTTTACGCCCAGCCTGTCAAAGGCTTCACCTCACCTACTGGGCCCCCAGAAGGCTCTCTGAGACTGGAAGCTGCAGACTGAAGGTTCATGCTTCCTGGAGGTTCACCGCACACTCCACCACCCGGGCAGCCTCACCTTCCCCTTGCACCAGGCCGGGCTCTCTTCTCACATCCCCCCTAGCCTTCAGGCATATACTGTACACAGACAGACACATACAGAGTTGCACACAAATACTCAGACATACACAGACACAGATACACACACACAGAGGGTTATAAGGTCAGAGGAGTGAACTATCTGATGATATTTGCTTCAAATCATGCCCACAGGCATGAGCTGAATTCAGATTCTTGAAAAGTTCATCTGAGACTGGGAAAGATTTTAATGGGTGAATTATTTTTATTTCTGATTGAACTCCATCCCTGGGAAAATATTAAGCTCTTTCATTGCCTAATCAACCTCCTGTCTTAAGCAGATCCTGCTACAAGTCCTAGCTAGCTACTCCCAGCCCATTGAGGAATCCAGTTGTTTCCGGGCCCACATTTTTGTTCCAAGCATAGGGTCAACATGAATGAAAATTTAACCATGGGAGATCACAGATTTGGCTACCACCTGGGCTGAGGTGAAGGAGAAGATTCACCTCACATGCCAGCTCTGACTTTGATTAGTAGCAAGGCCTAGAATATTGTGTTGAGAAGGATTCTGAGGCTGTGCATGAACTCAGCAGGAAAGGGATGGGGTGGGTAATTAGGGATGCCTGCCAGGGTCATGAAACAAGACCGTGGTGACGCAAATGTCGGAGATTTGTTTTCCCTGATATCCATCATGAGTGAGGACAACATGTGCCAGGGGAATTACCAAAGTCAGAGGTCAACATCGATGAGGGTCATTCTGTGTGAATGCAGGGCAGGGACACCAGGGTGCTGTCCTGGAAAAGGAGGCAACCACACAGTCAGGCAGACCCAGTCACCAGGCATCACCAGGAAGCTCAGGATAGCAATACAAGCAGACAGACAGAGACACAGGCACACACACAGACCAGTACACAGACACACACCTGGCACAGAAAGCAGGGAAGGCACACACATAGGCCTGGAAGCTCAGAGGAGGAGGTCTCAGGCCAGCAGGGATGACTTAGACAGGCTGCAGGACTGTGCGTGTATATGTGCATGCATGTCATATATGTGGCGAAAGAGCCCATGGAGGGGTGCCCATGAAGTGAGGGGCACCAATGAAGATTCCAGCGATGTGTGTGGAGGTTGAGACTGGCTGGAGCAGTGCTTGTGAGCAAGAGACTGGAGGAACGGTAGAGAAGACAGTTAGGAATCCACAGAGGAGGCCTCGGCATGCAGCCCTCAGACAGCCCTGGGCTCAGACCCTGGCTGCACCATGCACATGACAGGGGGCTGACCTGGATGGAGTACTCAGGCTTTCTGATGCCGGGTTCCTTGTCTGAGAAACACGACTGTGAAGAGTGCCTCCCTCCTAGGACCGTAGAAGGGACTGTCACAGGAAAGTGGTCCTGGGGTCACTGCTATGTGGACCATCAAGGAAGGGGGAGGGGTGAAAGGGAAAGCCTTATTCCAGCAGGAGAAGGCTGGGGAGAGGAGATACCTGCCTTCTTTTACAGTTCTGTTTTGGCCAGAAGCTGCCACAGGACAGGGGCCCGGGCTCTAAGTGACTGCACTGACTTGAATTTCACTAAGTCAAGGGAAGACCTCATGATGCTCCAGAGGAGCAACCCGGCTCTGGGGAAGGGACCACTGCCTGCCTCCATCCAGGAAGAGTGGCCCTGGGGAGAAGATGGAAGCCAGCCCAGGAGCCCTGTCTCCAGACTATGGAGACAGGATGAAGGGGTTCTGCTGCCTCCGCTCACTCTCTCTCCCCAGCTTCCAGTGGCTCCTGGCAGGCCCTGCCCTCTGACCTCCCACCTCCTCTGGCTTCTCGGCCCATCTTGTCTTCCTCTAACTTTGATATGCAGTCACTGAGGGATGGCAGGAAATGCTCGGAGGCCATAGAGCTCTGATCTCTTCAGGGAGTCAAGGCCATTAAGAGCTCTGGCTCTTGTGGCCCTCATAAGACAGGAGATGCCTGGGCCCAGGGCTGCTGACCCACCTGCATGCCTGGGGCTTATCCTCTCTAGACTATGTATGGGGCAGGGGCCCCACAGGCTGGCAGATTGCACAGAACTAAATTAGAAGCACAGAATTTGAAGGCGGACAGCCCTGCATACCTGGAGCAAGCCACTTGTACTCCTGAGCCTCAGCATCCTTATCTGTGAAGTGGGCATGAACATAGTACCTGCTGGCAAGGCTGCCATGAAGAGGCCCCCAGGTCAGGCATGGGAGGCTTTCAGCTCAGTACCTGGCACAAGTCAGGCCTCAGGAAATCTAGCTGCTCTCACTGTGCCCACTGGATCTTTGCTGTTTCGTTTGCTGTTACCCGGCAGAAAGAGGCATTGCACCTATGTGCACATCTCAGCCCCCTGTTCCTCTGCTTCTCCTGGATCTTGTGGTCAGCGTGGTGCACAAGTGGAGTCTGATGGACCAGAACCTCCTGCTCACCTCATTCAAGCTGGAAATGAGACCCGATGAAGAACTGGAGAGCCCAAAGCGCTTCTCAATGGTGGTGAGGCTGCTCTTGAAGTAGGCGCTGTACAGGAGTTGGCAGAGCTGCAGGAGGCCTTGGCAGAGCACAAACACCTGGGGGAAGAGTGATGGGCCCGTGAGGTTTCTGGACGACAAGCCCTGGCGCCCTCCCAGCCATCTGTTAGGGGCCCCGGCAGGCTGACCTCTGTTTCCTCGCCTGTTATCTAGGAGCAGTTACTTCCCAGGGTCTCCAGGATGAAACGTCATCATTGCAACATTGTGTTGCACCCTACAGGAAGCACTCCTAAAGTGCTAGCCATTCCTGTTATTACTGCATTCTTATCACTGCTGTGATATGTGGCCCAGTGAAACCACAGGGTGTTGAAGATATGACAGGGTTGGGGACTCACCCCCAAGGGAAGGGCCTAACTGCTCAGCTGAGCATCTTGGATTATTCCCCAACAGCACCACAGTGCTCCACAGGCTGCACATCTGCCCTCCTCCTGTGCCCTGTGAGGGCTGAAGGCCACTCCCCATCCAATTCAGACCACTCTTGGGAGATGAACAAGCCCGGGTCACATGGATCCATCTCTCTTGACCTGTCTTCCATTCCCAACACCTGTCCTCTGAGGCCCACCTCTAATGCCTCCAGTAAGGCACCATGATGCAATCCCCAAAGCACCTGGTTTGAATGAATGTTCCCATCCATGTCCTCATCTCTTACCAGGACTATCTTGGCCTCTCAGGAATGTCTGTGACTGACTGTGCTTGCTGCCTGCTCAATGGATGATCAAGGCCCCAGGGAAGGGGCCAAGGCCATTTATCTCTGTATCTCACCTGGCCTCGTACCTGGTCCTGGGGTACTGAGTAAATGTGAGTTCCATGGTGGATGGGAACAGATAACACATCAGGGAGGGTAGGAGAAGGGTTTCATGATGTCCCTAGTTGGCTCCAGGCTGAGCTCTGGGCTCCCCCAGGTTCTCAGCTGTTGCGCTGACACCGAACAGGCTCTGAGCCAGGAGTCCTATTCTCAAGCATCTCCTGGAAGGCGCCCCTCTGGGTGAGGTTTTCCTCCAGGGAAGGGTGAGTGCTGTGCCATTTCACAGTCTTCCAAAGCTCTTTCCATGAATGAACAGCTGCCATCACAGGAGAGCAACCGGGGCTCCACCTTCATTTCCATTTCCTTCCGAAGCTGAGCCTTCCTCTATAGGTGCCCTTGTTCCAGGCTGTGGGGTTTCCTTCCTGCCAGGGCAGAACCTTTGCGAGGCCAGCTTGGGATGTCAGACAGAGCCCAGAACTCACTGCCTATCCATGTGTCCATGCTCACAGCCTCCAGGTCTGGAGAGGTCTTTACACCCACAAAACCAGACACCTCTCCTGACTGCCACCTGAACCTGTGTGGCCACCCCACTCCTCCCAGGTGGTAGAAGGAAGCCTGCCTGTCTGGGGGCATGGTGGCACTCCACCCCTGCCATGCTAGAGAGGCTCCACTGGGCTTTCTTTTGTATTCTGAAATTCTTCTTAATATTTTGTAATAATGTCATCCCACTCTCTTTTCACAAATGGGGAAACTGAAGTCCAGCAAGGGGTAACCCAAGTGCCCAACCCATGCCCTGTATGCAGTAGGCACTTTGGGGCTTAGATGCTAGTCACCTGACGCTTGGCATGGACCAGATCTGGACCTGCCTCTTATTCAACAGAGCAAGCTTAGCCAGAAAGGGTCCTGTCTCTGTCTAGAGACAGAGTTTAGAGTTTAGGGGGCATTAGTCTTTAGGGAATGGTCAGAGGAGGAGAATCTGGCGAGGCATCTGAGGTCAAATTGCCTCGTTCCTAGGTCTGGCCTGGACCAGGGAACAATCTCGGTTTGTGTGTGCTTTTCCCCCTTCTGTGCCCTGGGTTTTCCCAACTGCAAGGTAACTGGACTAAGTCAATGGTTCATAACTCAGCTTTGATTCAAAATCACATGGATGGGGAGGTGGGAGTGCCTTTGAAACACAGAGGCTAGGCCCAAGCTCAGATCTACTGAATCAAAATCAGCAGGAGTGAAGCCTCAAATGCTTTATTTGGAAAACTTCTACCAGCAGAGTCTGGGGGACAACGTGGTTTCCAGTCACCGGACTAGAAGACTCTTTCTGGCTCTGACCATCCTTGTAAAGGGTAAGATGTGAAAGATTAGAAAAAGAAAAGCAAGGCTGGGCGCGGTGGCTCATGCCTGTAATCCCAGCACTTTGGGACTTCGAAGCAGGCGGATCATGAGGTCAGGAGTTCGAGACCAGCCTGACCAACGTGGTGAAACCCCGTCTCTACTAAAAATACAAAAATTAACCAGGCGTGGTGGCACATGCCTGTAATCCCAGCTACTCAAGAGGCTGAAGCAGGAGAATCGCTTGAACCTGGGAGGTGGAGGTTGCAGTGAGCTGAGATTGTGCCACTGCATTCCATCGTGGGCGACAGAGCGAGACTCCGTCTCAAAAAAAAAAAAAAAAAAAACAAAACAAGAAAAAGAAAAACAGTCATAGAAATTCCCTAATCCATAGGAATTGCCACTATAAGGCTGAAGGAAAGACAAGAGCCACATTATAGGTTATAGGTTATAAGAAAGCAGCACAAGACTGTGACAGTGATGGGGATGGGATTTGTCAACGTTCTGTCATTTTCCATGGAAACAGGACACCAAAGCTCACTTGAACCCAGATTGTTCCCTGGTCCAGGCCAGACCTGGGAAAGAGACAATTTGACTTCAGATGCCTTGCCAGATCTTCCTCCTCTAGCCACTCCCTAAAGACTAATGCCCCCAAAGCCTGCCTGTAGACCCCTTCTCTGGACATGATCCATTCTGCACCTGCTCATAGGCAATCCCATTTGCCATAGGATGATGGCCTCCAATCTCAGTTCTGTACCCAGAACTTTCGCCAGAGTTTTGCAAGCAGGTCCACTCCACTGTCTGCTAGACGTATCCACCTGGACACTCCTAGGCCCCTCAAACTAATCACTTCCCAAATAGGACTCATCATCTTCCCCCATAAACTGCTCCCATTTTTCCTTCATTCCCCATCACCTTCACTCAGTTTCCCAAGCCAGAAACCAATAATCCTTCTTGATGTCCCTCCTCCTCACCCTCTGGTGTTTGCCCCATCCCTCAGCCCCATGGTCTCTTCTTGGTGTCTCCCACATTGGAGCCCTGCCTCTTCTACTGGTGTAAGCCTTGGCTCAGGCCCTCACCATCCCTCCTCAGATCACTGCAACAGCCTCTCACAGGTCCCCTGCTTGCTCCTCTCAAATCTTCCACCACACCACCCCAGGGGGAGCTTTCTCAAGCACAAACACGAGCAGGTCACGCCTGAATTGGCCTCTCTCACTGGCGTCCCATTTTCTATAAGGTAAAAACCAACACTGCTGTTAGCCAAACAGCTGTGTTGGTTTGTGAGGGGTGATAGCCAAGATGCTACAGTCCTGGACCCAGCCTGCCTCCATATTTTCTGCTGAGACTGATCATATTTTGCAAAGATGGCCACACCAATCTCTCCCATCCACATACACCTCTTACAATGACACTCTATCAAGGGGTGGGTTCTGTGTTCTCTCCCTCTGAATATGGGCCAATCTTAGCTCCTTGCTTCTAATGAAGAGAAGTGACGCTATGTGACTTCCGAGGCTGGATCCTAAAAGTGGACAAAGAATCTGGCTGGCTCTTTCTCCCTTGAGACCCTTAGTACCCCGACATTACATCATAAGGAAGCCCAGTCTTCCTTACTCATGGCGAGGCCACATGTTAATGTTCCACGGATAACTCGGTTCAGATTTTGGTCCTCAGCCAGCATCAACCACCAGACATGTTACTGAGCCAGCTTTCAGATGATTCCAGTCCCAGCCCTCGATGCCAAGTGAAGCAGAAATGAGCTACCCCAATGAGCCCTGTGCAGATTGAAGATTTGTCAGATTTGTCAGCAACCTAAATGTGGCCATTGTTTTAAGCACCAAGTTTTGGATTGTTCTGGTATGCAGCATTAGACAGCTGCAGCACCTGCTGCCACCTTGTCCTTCAAACACATCAAGGTCACACTCTCAGAGTTCCCTGAAGGCCCTATGTCAGTGCCTTTGCTCACAGTCTTCCCCTTCTTTGTCTGGATAACTTCCCCTGCCCTTCAGGAGCAGTGTGGGGCCCAGCATGGAGATCAGTTGTGTGTCTAGTTCAAGGTTGCTTCTAAAAATCCCAGCACCCTGTGCTGACTCCTGTACAGAAGCATCTGAAGGATTGGCACATGGCTGGTGGCAAGAGTAGCATCTAGCAGAGGAATGAGGGCTGTCATACAGCTTTGGGAGAGACGAGGGCTGGCTGGGGTAGTGGGTCTGGAGAGGCACCAAATTAGAGGCTCTTGCAAAGGCTGGCTTGACACCGCTGTCACCGATTCAACGTGAAAGAAGAGACGGGGCTGTTTCCAGCCTGAGGGCCAGGAAGAGGTCAAAGGCATGCATGCATGGAAACGGGGGATCCAGAAGGAGGAGAGCATAAGGAGATCAAGGACTGAGAGTTCAGTTATGGAGCACTTGAGTTTCTGAGCTTGAGGCTTAGAAAAACCAGTCTCCCTCCATCCAAATTAGTAATGAATTAACAGGAGTGACTAATCATCACCAACTTCTCCAGTTGTCTCATGAGAGGAAGATGGGGATGGTGGGAGAGGAAATTTGTCTCAGATCTTTTCCTGAAAGACATGCCTCTAAGTACAGAAATTCCCCCACTTTCTCCCCCGTGCTACTGGGTGAAAGACTCTAGCCAGAGCTGGCTCCTTTCCACATCCCCCACCCCTTCACAGAGCCAATCTCGCCACCAGCTATTGGCCCCTGCAAGCCCTGTCAGGTCTGGGTGCCTCATGGGGGCCCTGGCAGAGGTGTTTGTATATATCTGGACCCCTTGGTTCCAGTGGATATGGAGAGGGATCAGATTGATGGCTGCAAGGTAGAAAAGGCAGGGAGAAAAGGCAGGGAAAAGGGAAGGAAGTCGATGGATGGTTCTGTCAGGGCCACTCAGGGTCACAGCCATCTGGCCCCACATACTAAGCTTATGTGATGGGACCATGACCTCGGCTGCTCGAACTTACCAAGTACCTCCTATATGGCCAGCATGTGACAGAGCAAGCAACACTTGACACCGTGCAGATAAAACACAAGCCCATCCCTTGAGGAGGACACAGGTTCAAGAGTACATGGAGATGTATTGGTGGGAGGAAAAGGTTTGCTAGTTGGGTTGCAACCTACCCTTCCCCATTATTTAGGCAATATAGTGTTATAGTTTTTGATGATTTGAGTTTTGGAGTCAAACAGGCCTAGGTTCAGGTCTTGACTTTGTAAGCCATGGTGTGACCTTTGGCTACCAACTGGGTCTCCTTGAGCAGCAGGTTTTCCCATTAGCAAGTGAAAACTATGATAACACCTGAGTTGTGAGGCTTGCACCACAGAATGTTGCAGGCCCCTGCCACCTGCCCGTCCCACACCTTGCCTGGTGAGTGCTCCACATCCTGGAGGGATATTCAGTAACTTGAAGCTACCTCCACTCCCTCCTCTTGCCCTCTGAGTAATTTAACTTCCCGGTTGCTTTCAGTTCTCCGGTAGTCTGAGAACCCTAGAATAGAATTTCCCACAATGTGTTACCAGAACATCACTTGCTTAAGATGCTCTAGGCCAAACAACTCCCTGGAGAAAACAAATTGGAAAACATAACGTACTACAATCCTCCCTCACGAATATGTGCAATCACATTTGCATATTAAAGGTTCTGAGTTCCGTAGTAAAGACTTAGTTAAGTTGTTTAAGTCAACCTTCCCATGCTTCTTTAACTATGTAACTCCGCATCCACACACACATCACCACTACTTTATAATAGATGCTAGCACTCTCCAGAATACACTTTATGGAAAGATAACATGTGCCTTTTATAAAACACCTTTGGTAGAATTTGAGTCTTGCAATTTCTTCACAAAAGGAAAAGAAAATGAAGATGAATTACACGGGCTGCATTATCTTCTTTAAAATGGTATATACCATCATTTTCTATCTCCTCACTCGACTTTTTTTCTTTTCTCGGCATGTATTGCTTCCCCAAATTACATCATGCGTTTGATTTCTCATTTATTGACATTTCCTCCCACCAGAATATAGACTTCATGGTGGAAATACAATGTGTGTTTTTTAGAACAAATCCACAGTGCATGAAATGATGCCCAGTTCAAAATTGGGGCTCAATCTTTGTCAAATGAACAATATGTCTATAAAGTACTCTAACTGATAAGTCCAAGCTCCAGAATATACATCCACCACAGTAGTCATTCTGGGAGGCTGCAGACTTGTTCCAGTGGTCTGTCTGCAATCATTTATACATTTGCCCCTTTGGTGCTGCTTCTGATCAATCTACAAGCCACACAACTTACAAGGCACAAAACAGCATTTGTCAGTTCAGCTGCCCTACTTACTTACTTGGCTAAACCCAAACTGAAATAAGATTTGCAGCCATGTATGAAGGGACTTTCTACCGTGGTGGAAATATTCTACTTTTTAATTTTGTGGTGGTATTTATACAGGTTTATACATTTGTCAAAACTCAACAAATATTTAAAGTGTGTGCATTTTATTATATGTAAACTAGATACCTCAATAAAGTTGGCTAAAGAAGAAATTCATTTGAAAAAAGATTTGCAACCATGAGGTATTCAAAATAATGTTCTGGGGCTTTGAAGGGAATTTGACAAACAGTTTTTTGTTTTTTGTTTTTTGTTTTTTCAATCATGAGCGTTGGCAATGTCATTGGAATAACTTTGTTTATTCAAGAGTCCTATTTTGACAGGTTCAAAACCCAGGCAAATATCTAGGTTTGTGTGTGTGTGCTAATCTAAACATCTAGGTTGACAAGGGCTGTGCGTGTGTGTTAAGGTAAACACATCACTTGAGACACATCTTATAGAAGGAAGCTGGCAGAGAAACCCCACAGAGGACGAGCAACATTCTTGCAGGGCAGGGAGGGCAGGAGGCACTCAGGCTTCTAACTGTCAAGGCCATGCTCATGACGGCCTCATTCATTCTCCAATCCTAACAAACATATAAAGAGGAAGGAAGCGGGGAAACTGGAGTGGCCACGAAGTTCTTTAATAAAGAGAGAACTTTTTACCACCCGTGTCAAAGAGCTAAGAAAGGCTAAAAAGCTACTGAGATGCAAGGTAAATTTGGGGGTGTGGGGGACTTGGCCCAAGCCACGCTTCAGTGACATAAGTGAGATGACCATGGTGGATAAGCCACAGGACAAGGAGGGAGGCTCCCACAGCTCAGGATGAAGGAGAAAGCATCAAAGAACAGTCTAGACATGGCTTTTTTTGATCTACATGTTCATGCCTCTCTTTTCCAAACTAAACATCGGAACTACGATCTAACCATTGTTAGGTCACAGTGGCATCTAACCGTGGTTATAGGAACACCAGCGGAAGGTCTGAAATGTGATCCCCATAGGGTTATTACCTATTTAATGACTGACTGTGCTGTCAACCCACTCTGATGTTTTCCACACAAACCCCAGGGAAGGAAGACTAGAAAATTTCAACTGATGTCTTATGTCCATGTAAACCAAAAATAAAATTCAAAGCCCCCCCCCCCGCCCCCGCCCCGCCACCCCCACCCATCCCCATTGTGAATGGACTTCCTCCTCAGCCAGAGTACTCTTAAAATTTAACCTGAAAGACTGGTTCAGGTCTCGACAGGAAGTGGGGGTCAGACAGACCTCATTATACCTCTCTGGCATTAACATCAACACAGACCTGAAGTCTGATAAGAAACATGTAGAATCGATTCTCTCTGAAGCCAGCCGGCTACCTGGAGGCTTCATCTGTCTGATAAAACCCTGGTCTCCACAACCTCTTATCGCAACCCAGACATTTCCTTTCTATTGTTCCCAGGTCTTTAGATAAACTCAACCAATGTCAATCAGAAAATTTTAAATCTACCTATAAACTGGAAGTCCTCCCCCCACCCCACTTCAAGTTGTCTCGCCTTTCTGGACCAAACCAATGTATTTCTTAAATGTATTTGATTGAAGTCTCCTGTCTCCCTAAAATGTACAAAACCAAGCTGCGCCCTGACCACCTTGGGAACATGTTCTCAGGCCCTGTCACGGGCCATGGTCACTCATATTTGGCTCAGAATAAATCTCTTCAAATATCTTAGAGTTTGACTCTTTTCATCGATATCCACTAGGATGCAACTTCTCTGAGGTGATTCAATGTACTGGAAGAGTCCAGGAGTTGGAGGAAAACCATTCAGGGCAGGAGATGTGGCTGGACTGAGACACACAGCCGGTGACCTCTCAGTTTGAAATAACTGATTCTATCCCTAAATGGCAGCTATCTGCTTTCCCAAACAGGACTCTGACAGGGCAATCTGAATGAAACAGTTCTTCTAAAGGAAGGAAGAAAGGAGGGAGGAAAAGGGAGAAGAAAAGAACAGCACAGAAAAACCTTATTCTCACCCTCACTGAGTGTAAACCAAAAAGAAAATTCTAAGTATTCCCCCTCACTGCCCCAAGCATCTGAATGGACTTCCTCCTGGTCAGGGCACTCTTAAAATTTAACCTGAGAGACTGTTTCAGGCCATGACAGGAAGTGGGAGTATAATAAGGTGACATGCCTCATTATACCTCTCCAGCATTAACATTGACACAGTCTGTAAGCCTGATAAGAAACATTTTACAACCTATTCCCTCTGAAGCCTACTACTTGAAGGCTTCCTCTGCAAATAAGAACTTGGGTCTCCATAATCCTTTATTTTAACTTTACCCAGACTTTCCTTTCTATTGATCCCAGGTCTTTAGATAAACCCAACCAACTGTCAATCAGAAAATTTTTGAACCTAAACTATAGGCTGGAAGCCCCCACTGCAAGTTGTGCCGCCTTTCTGGACCAAACCAATGTATTTCTTGAATGTATTTGATCGAAGTCTCATGTCTCCCTAAAATGTATAAAACCAGCTGCACCCCGACCACCATGGCACATGTTCTCAGGACTTACTGAGGGCTGTGTCACAGGCCATGGTCACTCACATTTGTAAAATATTTGAAGAGATGTATTCGGAGCCAGAGTTTGACTCTTTTTGTCGACAACAGGATGCAGGGAGGGAGAGTTCGGGGTACTGAGGACCATGCTGCTGTTCTCTGAAAGAGGGAGGGGACAGCCATGTGCTGCTGGCTTTAGTCCCTCCCAACCTCTGAAAGTCAATTTGGCCTCAGGGGACATTCTGCTCTTCTGCTCTCTAGGCCGAGCTGACTGCATACCAGACAGGTGGGAACACGTGAGACAGGAGAACAGAGTCTGGAGACAAGGAACTTAAGGCCGGTTTGTGCTAACTTCCTAAAAGAGAAAACATCAAGGTCTGGGGGCAGGGAATCTAATGCCAATTAACACAAACTTCCTAAAGCTAAAGCAAAAGGGAAAACCCCATCTTCCCACTCTGAGTAACAAAGGATCAAAGGCTACTCTCCTTGCAACCCTCCCCCTTCCACCACGTCTCAGATGGAAAAGGAGAGTGCCTTAGATTGGCCGGCGGGCCCTGCAGGGACCTTCCCTTTATCTGCATATGGCGCCAATTCACCTCAGCCTTTAATTAGCCACAAGCCAAATCCTTCATCCAGATAAAGGGAAGAACCTCAAATGGTTACTTACAGCCCAGAAAACTTTATAACTGGGCCTTTGAGCTGCTTGCTAGGGCCCACTCCCACCCTGCGGAGTTCTTTCTTGCTTTAATAAATTCCTGTTTTCACTGCTTCATTCCTGTGTTTCATTCCTTTGGTACTTTGTTTCTGCATTTTGTTCAGTTCTTTGTTCAAAATGCCAAGGACCTGGACAACTCATAGTCAAGACCCTCCAGTGGTAACACCCCTCTGAGACTTCCCTCTCTTGGGAAGAAGCATAACTGCACAACCACACTGACAACCCCCCTGGATTTGAGCAACACTGGACAGGCATCCAGTCCTCCCATTCCACAGTTAACTGGAACCCACCTATGGAATTAAAATCAATTTGCAATTCTTTCCACATTTTATTTTATTTTTTTGAATCAGTGTAACATGTGCATGTGTTTAAAATATCAAGTAGTGTGGAAGGGCTTAGAATGACAAAGCCCAACTCTACACTCAAGTCAGCCCACCACCAGTACCGCAGGTTGGGAATAACCCCCTCTGCTTTTAGTTTTTAGTTTTTCTGTTGATGACATCCACACATCTCAAAATAATACACTTGTTCTGCAGTTTCTTGACTTACCATTTTATGGTGCCTGTTACTACAGAAGAGGATTTAGCACAGTTATAATTGCAAAGCCCCCTTCTCCCTACTCCTCCCAACTTTTAATAGTTCTATCAGTATTTTTATTATCAGATCACTTTGTGGGAAGCAAACTGGGAGCCAGAGGAGCAGGGCTTCCCTCCTGGGCACAAACCTTCACACTGTGTGATAGTTCCCGTTAATTCTAGGAGAGAAGGTTTCTTGTGTTTTCCGTGGGGTAAAGGGCTGTTCTATCTTAATCCCTTAATCTCACTTCTCCTTCTGCCACGTTCGCCAATTCTAAATCTGTTGCCTCTCCGGGCTGTGCCAAGCCCGCGGGCTCCCCGCTACTGCAGGCCCCGTGCACGCAGTTGACCATCTGTCTTCCTCCATTCTATTTTATCCATCAACACTTCCCAACCACTGTCCACCCTGCTGAAATTATTGAAATCTTTCATCCACTCATAGTCTCCCTCCTTCTTCAGTTTTTTGTCATTGATTTTTCTCCTTTTTCTTCATTAGTTTCATTATAATGAAAGTGTCAGAGAGGAGGGGAGACAAATGTGTTCAGTCAGCAATCTTGAATCATAAACCAATCTATTTCCTGGTGCTAAACCTAGCAGACAAATCATTCTGTCCCGTTTTTCAATGGGAAAAAGAAAGGCTTCAAGAAATATGTACTTGTCAGTGGACTAGGCTGTCAAACCAAAAAATATACCGAACCCTTCCTCTCCTCCCACTACACTCATGAGTCCCGATACCACCTTTACTTGACTAAGTCTTCCAAAATGCCTGGTGTGTCTCCAACAGATGGCAGGTGGCCTGAGAGTGGTGCTGGCTCTGGGTGTATGCCCATCTCCACTTCTCCATCGCACTGTCTGCCTTCACACAACTCATTCTTGGTCCTGGCTGGCAGTTCTCCTCACCTGGGAGGTGAGGCTTGGGGCTTAAGAGGCCAATAAGGATAAAGAAGTGAACTCAGAAGGGTGACTCCTGGCTGCTTCCCAGTGTCATCAGACATGCAGGCATCTGGCCAAGCATAGTGGCTCACTGCTGTAATCCCAGCACTTTGAGAGGCTGAAGCGGGCAGATCACCTGAGGTCGGGAGTTCAAGACCAGCCTCGCCAACATGGTAAAACCCCATCTCTACTAAAAATACAAAAATTAGCCAGGTGTGGGGGCAAAGGCCTGTAATACCAGCTACTCAGGAAGCTGAGGCAGGAGAATCGCTTAAACCTGGGAGGCAGAGACTGCAGTGAGCCAAGATCGCACCACAGCACTCCAGCCTGGGTGACAGAGCAAGACTCCATCTCAAAAAAACAAAACAAAAAAAAACAAGCAAAAAACAAAACTGCAGGCATCTGAAGGTGGGCAGGCTTCTAGGTTGGCTCCTCTGAGGTGCATCTGAAAGATCCTCGGAGCTGAAGCAGGGAGTAGCATCCTTCTCCCTGTCCCCAACCCCTAAAATGAAGGAAGCAAAGCAAGAGTCCAGTGCATTCTAGAATAAAAGCCCTCCATCAGCCGTTGGCCTGCTCACCCCTCCTGTCCCTTCTGCAGGGTGTGGCTGTGAATCTAAACCATGGCCCAATGCCCCAAAGGGGAATGACTCTTTCAAGAAGTGATTCAGGAAATCCAATATTTTCCCACGCAGGAAGAATGCCTGCACAAGATAAAGTTCAGAGATTTAAAATAGCCAGCCTGGGGTCAAAGTTGGTGATATTCCTCATAGCAATGACAAAAGGTATCTTTAGTATTATTCATTTTATTATGAATTAGAAAAAGCCTTTGATAAGACATGGTCCTGTGGGTCACTGGAGATATAAAAATCAGAACAATCTAGGAAGAAACACATAGATTTCCATCACAGCTTCCTTGTTCCTTAAGAGGGGAGTGGCTAGGCTGTGGAGCTGGGCCTGAGACCCTGCCTGGGAGGGGAGGCTGCAGGGGGCCGGAGGAGCCAGGCCTCCAACAGATCTCTCACTGCTCAGTGTAACTCTTCCGCTTTCTTCTCTCCAGATTCCCTTTGCCAGCCTTTACTGCCCACAAAGTTGACCTTACTGTTTGGCAGAGTTCCCCAATATGACTGAGCAAAGGCACCCTCTGAGGCCTATGAGAACAGCTTCTGGGAGGACTGGCACATCTGTCCTCAGTGGAGGCCACAGGAAACCACAACAGGCACAGAGAAGCAAACTGCAAGGTGGATTCTCTTTCCACCTTTAACACTGCCTGGGGAACCCTGGTTAGGGGAACTCTCTGAGCAAAGTCCTGACCGAATCGGACTTGCCCAGGATCTCTTGACCACTTTTTTAGTTTAGTACGCTCAACTTCAGCAAAAATCACTTGAAGGTCATCATATAAGATACAATTTAAATGGACACTGGAAATCCCAAACTGCATAATTCTGTAGTGTTTGTTGTTATTTTGTATTTTTGCACCTTGTGTTATTATAAGCTTAAAAAAGCCTTTGATAAGACAGGCTCCTGGGGGCCCTTGAAAGGACAAAGGTCAGGACAATCTGAAAAAGAAACAGATTTCTACTGCAGAGGCATTGTTTGAAGGAAGATAGAGCACAAGAAAGGGAGGTAGAAAAAATTCTTAGCTCCTAATAACACCAGTCATCCTAAAAAGCTTTGTATTGTGGCTGTGATAGGGACAGGAGGCAGAAAAATTCCAGGCAGGCAGAAGAGGGCAGGTCCCTGGCGAGGGCCCCACCCTCAAGCCTGGAACTGTGGCCCAAAGTGAGAACTTACATTCCTGTTTTCCGGCTTGAATGTTGCCTTTTCCATAACCACCCATGGCCCGCCCTGCACCCCCATCCTGAGCCCATAAAAACCCCAGGCTCTGCCAGCAGAGGGAGGAGAAACAGCTGGACATCAGAGACTACAGTTGGATGTTGGAGAGAAGCATCTTGACTTCAGAGGAACAGTTTGACAGTGTAGCTTCAGAGAGGTGTCTGTCCAGGGACAGCTGGACTCCAGGGAATATTACCTTCCTGTTCCCTTTTCAGCTCCCCTTCCAGCTGAGCCACTTTCATTGGCTGTTAAATCCCCTGCATTTGCCATCTTCAATCCGTTCGTGCAACCTTATTACTCTTGGACGCCAGACAAGAGTTCAGATGTCATGAGTGTGGGTGCTGTCATGAGTGTGGGTGCTGTCATGAGTGCTGTCACACTGACCCTGCACTGAGCTGTTAACACTTAAGCCGTCCACAGATGGGCTAAAAGGGCACTGTAACATTCCTTCTGGGGCTTCAGGGGTCATGGGCACCCCACCTCCAGATGCTGCCGTGGGGCCCACAAGGAGTTTTGCTCCTGCTGGAGTCCAAAAGTACTAGCCCCAGAGCTCTTGCACCCGCTGACCTGTGCTCCCCCTCCCCAGGGAGTAGAACACAGTGGACTTGAGTGAGTGGAATTCATCCTTGCCAGTGCCGAAGCGACCAGCTAGGTCCAGTTCCCGTGCACTCCAGTTCCCGCCCGTGAAGGGGTAAGGGAAATATCCTGCTTCCGTTGTTTTGTGTTGTGTTTCTTTTCTAATGGTGCCCTGTTCAAAGCTCAGGAGTAGGAATGGAGCATGTGGATAGCTGGAGTGGTGAGGTCTGTGAAAGAAGGTGAAAGGGAAGCTCACAAGTGAAAGATTGCCCCATGGCAGGGGGCCAAGGGTCTGGGCTTTAGATACCACAGATTGAAAAAAAATTCTGGAAGAGATGAAACATAAACATGTGAGACAAGATGAATTTTCCAGGTCAGCTGGAAGCCTGGTTTCCCAGAAAAAAAAACACTTGAAAACATAATTATCACGGATATTTATGTAAATATGTGTCCAATTTCTTCTTTAGAAATTCTCCAATTAATTTTTTTTTTAAGCCAGAAACATTTTCATCAAGTGCCATCTTGTCTTTCTGGGAACTTGGCAGTAATTTGTTAGGTTGAAAAGAACCTGCTTTGCATCCATTTATGGCAGGTATAGGACATTCAGACCTATTAGATATTATTCAAACATCAATATGGAAACTTCACTATTTTATATTCTTCCTACTCTTTGTTCTAATAATAGGATGGGATGTCAATATTTTTTCTTGCATCCTGGAAGAGTTTGAAGATTAAGCCCTTCTCTTCCTGCCTTCAAGGAAAGAGAAGCTAGTTTTTCAGAGTGAGAAAGTGGGGCTTGGGGACATGGTATCAGAAGAGCTAGGATCTTAGGAGCTGACCCCAAGGAATCCAGTCAGGAAAGGAGGGACCCTGCAGTCCAAGAAGGCTGGGTGGTGGCTGCAGGGAAGCATGGGGGGCATTTATTTTCTTCCCATCAACTCATTGATTTACTTATTTCTGTCTCCCCACTTGTCACTCTTGGTCACTCTGTATTTTCTGTGTCTGGCGGACTATCTGAGATATAATAAATGTTTAATAAATATTCGCTGAATAAAGTTAATCCTCATATCAGCCCTGAGAGGTACATGTGATCCCTTTTGTTTACAGTTGAGGCACTGAGGCTCAGGGCAGAGTTGGCAAATAGTAGCAGGCTACTGATGCCAAATCCATCACCTTGCTCCACCATGCTGCCTGGGGTGAGCGGGAATGTGCTACCGAATTGTTTTTACCAAGACTGCCAGTTACCTCAGTGCCATGTCCAGTGGGCCCTCCAACAATGGCTTTACCTACCTTCTGCAGGGTTCCCCTTGCCATTTGTGATGTCACTTGCTGTCCCTGTGTTCTAGCTCTCTCTCTCTGACTGTTCCTTCTTTGAAATCCTTGTGGCAGCCCTCTTCCTTCTCCCCACATGATGTTGATGGTGTCTGGGTTCTGTCATTAGTCCTGTGCCCATCTTCCGCCATGTCTCCCATGGGTGCCCTGCTCATGCACCCTTGGGGGGAAGCTGGGCTTCACACTGAAGTCTGCCAGGCCTCGTATCAAACTGCATCTTACACATTTCAACTCTGACTTCCCCTCAGTTCCTCAAATCCATGCCCCCAACCATTGTTGGGACCTCACACTGTCTCCTCCCCATTCCAGTTCTTGCCCCGCTTCTTCCAACTCCAAACCAAGCTCCAAGTCCACTCTGCACGCTCCACCTGCTTGGCCACCTCCAGTCCAGGTCCCAGTCAGCTCTCATCTGGCCAACTATCATGACTTCCTACCCGTTTCCTACTCTTTTCTTCTGATCTATTCTTTAACCAACTGCCAGAGTAATCTTTCAAGAACTTTACTGATATATAACACTCATCTTTTAAAAATGCATAAATCATAAGAGTACAGCTTGAAACATTTCACAAGCTAGGTGCACCCGAGGGACTGGTACCCAGATGAAGAAAGAGATCATCATCAGCTTCCCAGAAACCCCTAGAGCCCCTCTCAGTCACCACACACCTCCAGGGGAGCCAGTCTTTTGACTTCTAACAGCAAAGATGAGTTTGCCTGTTTTGTACTTTATATAAATAGAATCATATAGTGTGTCAGCATGATCTTCAAAAATGGAGATCAGAGCCTGTCACAGCCCTGTAAAAACCCTCCAATGGATTCCCCCCACCTCAGATCAAAATTCAGGCAAAGCACCCCTACTCCTCCCCCTGTCACTGAGCTCCCCACCACCGTGGCTGCCTCTCCGTACCAAGCTACTTACATCATTGCTTGAAAATAAGCAGTAGAAATCTGTAGCTGAGTGGAAAATGCATGGCCCTCCTCAGGTGATGTTTTGTCTCAGAGTCTTTGTGGGTGGGGGCCATCCCCACTGCCTGGGGTGAGCTTCTACTTATCCATCTTCCTGGTAGTAAAGAATGTCCCTCCTGTTACCTGGTCTCTATTGTTCCTTCAGGGCACTGAGCCCAGATTGCAATTACAACCACCATGAGTGTTTAGGGCCCCACATCAATTCTGTCACCCAGGACACACCTGTGGTGCCAGCAAGGCAGAGGAGGGAAATGACCAAAGAAGCAGGGAGTAATCTTCTCCACAAACAATGACGAATGATTTCAGAAGAAAAGAATAAATGTCAGCGAATGACCCCACTGGTTACCTAGGCACTCATACGCCATAAGTGAGTGAATATAAAATTAACAAATTGGGTTATAAATTCATTGTAGAAACAGGTATTTTCCTTCTATTGTATCCATTTATCTCCCCCCAAATTTCTGCAGGAATAGTAAGTTATTCAGCAAGCCCTTGTCGACATTTTAGGGCCAGCTCCATACCAGAGCTCCCAATACAACCATCTCCATTTGGAGAATTGGAGCCAGTTTTGACTCTTGGCCTTTTCAAGGTTTTTCTGTAGCAGGCAAGAGACTGGAGACTCACTCCTCTTTGCAGTGAGGAGGAGAGGGCGTCCTTGGGGCTGGTGGTGAACAGCCCGAGGAGGTTTCATCAAGAAGAAGTTAGTGCCCTGGCAGGATGGGGAAGGAGCCCTCATCTGGGGGAACCTCTGCCTGGGGGTGGCCTAGGCCCACCCACCACCTTTGGCAGCAGCCACTCTGAGAAGACCTCCCAACAAACCACAACACACTCGGCCTTTTCAAAGCCACAGTGGGGGTCTAAGAACAAAGCTTCAAGAGTCTGTAATCAGACCCAAAACAACAGATGCTTAGAAGCAGGGCGGGCAGGCTGCCCACCCCATGAGAGCAGAAGGTAGGACGGACGTGCATGGACGCCTGTCGGCTCTCCCCAGTGCTCTGCTCTGACAGTGGAGTTGCTCCTGAGGCTACGGCATTCCGGAGTCACACATGCTACAGACAGGCTAGCTTAGCCTCCCGCTGAACCTCACGACACTGGCAGAGGCGGCGGCTCCCCTGCAACAGCCTGCTGCTGACAGACACACCTTCTGGCATGGGAACATTTCCACACCCCAGTCTGGTCACCCTGGCATTCCCCTGCCTGCCGAGAGATCTGGGATTCATGACCACAGGCTGTCTTCCAAGACCTCATCATTCCAAAAGTGATGAGCAGCCCCCTGAAAACTGCGTCCCATATACAGCAAGTCTTTGGCAGCCAGGATAAAGTGGTCAAATAAACAAAATAAAAACCCAGTGTGCAACACAGTAGGTTCCCTCCACATGGGAAAAAAGCACACTTCTGTGGTCACTCGTCCCAGTTTTTCTGGTGGCAGGTAGAAGGATGGCAGTAGGAGAAGGCTTTGTCCAACATTCAAATCTCTCTGTCCTATGGGATACTTCCAGAGAAAGTCCTCCCTAAGTGCTAAGCTCTGAGCACAATTCCAGATTCCACTTGACCTCCTGTGGATCATAAGAGGGTCACATAACCGACTGTCTTGGCTTACCAATGATCAAGAACAAAGTACCAAAGACACAGACCTGAAGGGCCGCATCTCCTGGATATGTCCATCCTCAACACACCCTGGGGATCTCCACTTCCCTCCCCAGAGTGCCTCTCACCTCCAGCCCCAAAAGCAGCCCCCAGCACTCTTTGCTATGATCCCCACGGCTGGTGCCACCCTACTCCCTCTGCCTCTGCAACTCAAAGCAAAATGCTGAGGACATTCTCTGCCCCCAGTCTCCTTGCTAGGTATCACAGGTCAAATCATGCCTCTCATAAAGATATGTGGTGGGTTTAACCCCCGGTGCTCATGACCGTGACATTATTTGGAAATAATAGGGTTTTCACAGATGTAATCAAGTTAACATGAGACCATGCTGAAATCAAGTGGGCTCTAATCCATTGCCTGGCATTCTTACAAAAAGAGGAAATTTGGATACAAAGACACACAGGGAAGAATACCATTTGACAATCGAGGCAGAAGCTGGAGTAGGGTGTCTGCAAGCCAAGGAACACCACAAGTTTCCAACAACTGCTAGAAGCAAGGAGAGAGTCCTGGAATGGGTTCCCCCTCAGAAGGAACCAACTCTGCCAACACCTTGCCTTGCACTTTGAGTCTCCAGAACTGTGAGAGAATACATCTCTGTTGTTTTAAGCCACCAAGTTTGTGGTATTTTTTAAATGGCAGCTCTAAGAAATGAATACCCGGGCCAGAGGTTTGGCCTGAAGGCAAGGGTAAGGGCATGAGCTTTGTTGAGAGACCTGAATTTGATTCTTGACTTTGCCCAGTATTACAGACTGTAAAATGACGGGCAAGTTACACTATTTATGTTAAGCTTCAGTATTCTCACATGTGAGGTGGTGATAACAGTAGTGACTGTCTAGGAGTGTTTGGAGACATTGTAAAGCCCTAGCTCACAGCCTTGCTCACGGTGCCGGGGAGGTGCTGGCTGTCTTATGCCAGGGATCGCTCATCAGAAAACCTGCCTTCAGCAAGAGCCGCCTCCTGCTCTATACAGGCAGGCTCCAGGAGGTGCACAGCTGCAGCAGGAGACATGCCATGGGATCCCCTTGGTTCCATGGCAGAATCCTGTCCCTTCCAGCGCAGGCTTCCCATTTCATCTTTCCTAGGCCCACCACACATTTCCTCCTCCAGCTCTGGGGAGAGTCTGCTTATCCTTTTCTGGCTCTCAGGTGACTTAGGAAGCAGTCACTTTATTTTTAAATTCTTCAAGTCCCTCCAAATTTGCTCACTATTTCCTTAATTCGTCTGTTACTCAGTTAGTGTTTGCTGGAGACAGATGTGGGGACAGCCAGGCCTCCTGTGTCTGCCGCCCATGTCCTGCCTCCCCCTGCTCCCACCCCTTGACCTGTCTTGCCTTTGGGCTCCACTCCCCTGCCTGGGCATCCTCTTTTCTCATTCCCAGGCGCTCCTGTCCACACTGGCCTTTTGTCCACACCTGGAGGGTTCTGACTGTTCATGTCCCATGAGCATCTTCCTCAAATGCACAGACCTGTCCTCTGTGTGAGCCACGTAGCTACAGGAAGCCCACACAAACTGAAGGGGCCTTCCTTTTCCCCGTAAGTCAAACCTTTTCCTCTCCTTCCTCTCGAAGCTGTCGTGCAGAATGGCGCCCTGCCTTCTCTGCTGATGGCAAATTCTTGCAACCACCAGAGTGGGTCTACAGACATTTCTCCACCGACCAGTGAATTCACCGATTCTTCCAGATCCTATAAAGGACAAAGCTCCATGTTGATTTGCTTTTCCAGACTCATTCTAAACCTGTGCCTCCCAGCACACATCCCTGGAAGAGGCCTCTTCCCCTGGCATGGCCGGCTCAGGAAGGTGGTGGCAGCTGTCACACTGACGTTTTGCCATACCTCCATATCTGGATCCTGACTCCTTGCGTATTCTAACTCTCTGCCTAGAGCACTCTCTTGCCCCCTCTCTGGCCTTCTTGCCTGCCTAGCTCTGACTCCATTGGCAGCTCTGTTGGAACACCGCCTCGCCAGGATGCCTTTCCTGATCCCTTCTCTAGGTTACTCCTCGGCTTACAGGCTCCCCCAGGGACCTGTGAGCCTCTCTCTACCATCACACCTGTGATTCCAGGCCAGGCATGGCTTACATGGAGATACACTCCTGAAGATCGCAGTTCAAAACACACACTGTTCAAGACTTATCAGGAAATGGATGCTGGGTCTCCCTGTGATGACTGAAATGGTGCTTTCCTCTGGCAATGATGCACACAGTTTACAATTCCCCTGGCCTGCCAGCTTGGAGAGATTTTATCAGGGGCTGTGTGTGAGTATGGGTGGGTGTATTATTGCTAATTTTGCCCAGAAGGAACATTTGAAATTATATGGTAAGCAAGTATTTATTGATTATTATTCTAGACCAAGCACATTCATGGGAGACCAAGGGCCGAGCAGGGCTGCCTCCCCCAGCCCCCCAGGGGCATACTATTACTAAGATGAGGCACATGCACAAAACAGTGACAGCTACTCTCAGGGTGATATGGCAGATGCCAAGGAGAGGTACAAGTAGTGGTGTCAGAGGGGCTCAGAACACAGGAAGATGAGGAGAGATCCCTGGAAAAGTGAGGCTGGAGCTGAGGTTTTGAAGATGAGGAGAATTTCAGAAAGTGGGTAGGAAAAAAGGGGTCATCCCTAGTCCTAGGAGACAAGATGAGGAGAGGAAAAATGTAAGGGTGATTAGAGGTCTGAAAAAGATTGAGTTAGTCTGAGAGAGTTCCAGGTAGGTGAGAAGAGAAAACCAAGTCAGAAAAAGGGTTGGTACCTGAGAGAAGCTACGGAATTTTATCTCTATCTGGCCATCACCGAAGACTTCTGAGCAGAGATAATGCATGTCAAACACTTTAGAAAGAGGAATCTGTAACAGGCTAGAGGCACGGAGGCCACGCAAGATCTTGGGACAAGGCAAAAACAAAACAAAACAAAACAAAACCCTCCAGTCAGGCGGTGGCAGTGGCCAGGGGACAGCAGAGGGAGAGACACTGAGGGGAGGCAATGGCCGATGATTAGGAGATGTGGGGGATGACGAGTGCATATCTGAGTCCAAGAGAAGGGAGGGTGACATCAGGGAAGCAAGGAGCTCAAGATGCCAGGGGGAGCCGGACGAGTGCAGGGAGGCAGCTTGAGGCTGTGGGGCTGGGAGACCAAGTAGAGATGTCCAGGGAGGCACTGGGAGTGTGGGAGCACATGCAGATGCAGTCAGGCCAGGGACACGGGTCTGAGTGGTCCTCTCTTCAATTCCACAGAGAGGAGGTCACTGAGGAGAGGGGTCAGGGAGGTAGGGATGGGGGTGCATACAGCAAAGGGAAAAGGGCCGATGGGAGGTGTTGAGGGAGAAGCTAGGCACCTTCTGACCACCTAGGGCAATAAGACCAGTTCTCTCCAGCCTCGTAAACAGATTGTGACAACTTGAGTCACACACCTGGGGAAGGCGGTGCAGGGAGCTAACTGGCAGGAGCATTAGGAATAGATCACTGGGTTTTAGCCTACGGAAACTCTAACTCTAGGGAAACTAACTCTAGGAAAAGGCAGCCTCACTTCTGTCAACTATTCAACCTCACACCCTGGAAGAAAAGGTAAGGTCCCTTCTGGTGCACATGGAATCAATCCAAGACCAATCCCCAATTTAAAATGGCAACCCAGTCGCAACATTTGGGATTTTGAAATAAACTCCCCTTGGGCTTTACACAATGTTGGAGCTCCCTGAGCCAGACTGTAGGTAAGGTAAATGTCTTGTCTTATTATGTCTGCTACCTTTTGCTTCTGCTCCCTGAGACCAGAGCTTTGTGCCTTGTTAAACTCTGCACATCTGCACATTTCCCTTGCTAAGATGGAGGGCTTGCCTGAAATACAGCCGCAAGGATACCTGTTCCTAACAGAACTTCTCTTGCTAAATTAGCAAGAAAGCAGGAGGACAAAGGCCTCATCACTTGGCATATGTTCTAATACATCTGATCCCTGGCTTCTGAGAAAGCAAGGATCTGGAGCCCCATGGGGGCTGTTGGTGGGTGGGTCCACACAGAGTCTTTGGTCTTTTTTTTTTTTTCTGAGACAGAGTCTCACTCTGTCTTCCAGGCTGGAGTGCAATGGCACGATCTCAACTCACTGCAACCTCTGCATTCAAGGGATTCTCCTGCCTCAGCATCCCAAGTAGCTGGGACTACAGACCCACGCCACCGTGCCCAACTAATTTTTGTATTTTCAGTAGAGGTGGGGTCTCACCATGTTGGCCAGGCTGGTCTCAAACTCCTGGCCTCAGGTAATCCACCCCCGTCAGCCTCCCAAAGTGCTGGGATTACAGATGTGAGCCACCACGCCCAGCCTTGTCTAGTCTTTAGATGGGAGGAGTCTGCTTTATCACTGGAGGCTGCACCGGACTGGACTTTTCTCAACAGAGGGCTGGCTGCTCCTTCTGTGACCTCACCTCTTTGACTTTTCCCTGTGTCTCCCAAGGCATTTTCTCCTCCCTTTCCCCTCTGTTTGCCTTCCCCCTCTCTCTACTCCTCAGATCAGCAAAGACAGGGAAAGAGGGTGAGAAACATCTGCAGGGTCTGGGTAAGGAAAGGTGGGAGAAACGGAATGAAAGGTGAGAGTGAGGGGCTTCAGTCAATGCTACAGAAAATACCCAAATCCCTTCTCAGAAAAGCTCCCCCAGGTTCCAGGCTGATGTGAGAGAGGAAAGGAAACTGTTACATGCAGAGGTCAAGGCAGGAGATCAAGAGAGGCATGCTTGCTCCTCTCCTATCAGAAAACCGTGTTTAGATGACAGCAACAAGAACTTCCTCTCTTCCACCCCACCGCCATGACCCCAGGGAACAAGGCGAGTAGACCACAGCGATCGCCACCCTCGTGAAAGGGATTGGTCACTCAGGACATCCAGGTCTTCTCTGCACCATGAAATGTTTAGTTAAGGCATGGAAAATAAGGGCAAGAGTAGCCACAAAGGGGACCCCCACCAGCCAGTTTCTCAAATTCCTTGCTTACCTACAGTATTTAACTTGAACCTGTAAACATCATTAGTGAGAACACTCCTGACTCCAGCCTCCCAAAACGTTTGCCATTTCCAAACTATCTGGGGGCAAAAAGACAGAAATGGAACTCAGCCTAGCACAGCAAGCCTGTGTGCTGTGAGCACTCCTACAGACTCTCCAAATTCCAATATGTGGTGGTCTCTCCTTGCTGAGAAGGCTCCGTCCTCAGCACCCTCCTGCCTCCTGGCCCAGGGGTTCTCAGGGACTGAGGTTCACAGCCCTCAGTTTTTGCCCCAGGCCACAGCAGAAAGCTCTGGGAGGCCTTCCCTGGCAAACCTAAGATGCTCCTGAAGTTCCTCCCATCAATGACAGCTCCTACATTTAGAAGCTCATGTTCCCTGGCAACCATTTGAGTTGAATATCCATTACTTCCCACAAATCACTTTAATGAATAACTTGGCCACCAGAATATCACAGCCGCCTCAGTGAGTGCTGCATATGAATCACTGCCCTGAGATGTGTTTGCCTCAGAGCAGATGTTCTTGAACTTTAGGGTATATTGTAATTACCTAGAGGGCTTGTTGGAGCAGTTTTCTGGGCCCCACCTCCAGTTTTTCATTCAGTAGGTCTGGGATGGGGCCCAAGAATTTGCATTTATAATAAACTCTCATGTGATGATAACACTGCTACTCCAGGCACCGTACTTTAAGAACAACCACCTTAGACCCAAGTAGGTCTTCCTGAGCTCTAACCTAAATCTTTCCTTGTTGATAACTCTTTCTTGGAAACAAGGCTAAACCTCTTGTGCAAATCTATTGCATAAAACAGCGCAGCTAAAAAAAAAAGTCTTTCTCTGGGGTAAAATTGATTCAATTCCTTTATTTCTCTGTACTCCCCTTGGCCATCTGCCCACCTGGGCATGGGAACTCCACACGGAGGGTCTGGCAGCACTGTCGGTGTGGGCCAGGAGCATTCCAGGACTGATCCGCTTCCCAACTACTTTGAACATTCCGCTTCCCTCACCTGGAGTTCTCAAAGGCAAGTGCAAGGGAATGTGGTTTCATCATCTACACCTGGTTTGTTTTGTCTGGGACTTCTACCTGTAGGTTTCAAGACTCCTGAATGAAATCATCAATAAGCATCTTTAGATGAGGAAAGATTAGCTAAGCAAACACTTGACACCTACCAGTTGCAGCCCTAGGAGAAGCAGACATGAGCTCACCTACCTTTCCAGCACATGGGTGGATTCACGTCTGCAGCCCAGGGGCCTGTGACCTTAGCAGTAGGTCACAGGACACATACTGGTAAGCCACATAAGGAACGGACATCTACACACTGGTGATACGCTGGGCGTCTGATCTTTATGGCTCTGGCAGAATTTGTGTATAGGAGAGAAGCAGAGCCCTCATGGGATTTTCAAACTGTGGGAAGGCATGGACAGAATGCCCCATTCCAGGTCTCCTTGCAGAAGCTTACCCCAAGCATGCCTTCCTCCTCTCATCAGTGACTTCAACAAAATACCTCTGCTCCCTGCATCCTCCATTTGGGGTTTCCTATTGCTCAATGATGCTCACCATTCCTGGAGCCCTTGGCCTGCTGCTGCCACATTCTGTCCTATACCTGTCTTGAGTGTCACTGCCCTTGGCCCCCATGGCAGTGTTTTTGATGTGGCAACTCGGCTAGGCCACAGTCTGCAGTTATTCAAATACCAATCTGGGTGTTGCTGTGAAGGGAGTTTGCAGATGTAATTAAAATACATAATCAGTTGACACTGGGTAAGGGAGATTATCCTAGATAATTTGGGTGGGCCAGACTCAATCAGTTGGAAGGCCTTTAAAGCAGAGGTTGAGAGACAGACAGAAGGAGAGAGAGGGAAAAAAAGAGAGAGAAATTCTCCCTGTGTACAGCAGCTTTTGTGCTTGTGAGTTCCAGCCTGCCTGGGATCATCCCTTCCTGACTGCCTGCCCTGTGAATTTTGAAGCTGCTTAGCCAGCTCCTCAAATTATGTAAGCCAAATTTTGTAATGAATCTCTTCGTGTGTGTGTGTGTGTGTGTGTGTGTGTGTGTGTGTGTGTGTATCTTCTACTGTCTCTGGTTTGGTTGAACCATGTGTTAGACAAAATAATGGCCTCCCCAAATGTCTACATCCTAATCCCCAGAACCTGTAAATAAATGCCTTACATGAGAAAAGGGATTTTGTATATGTGATTAAGGATTTTATTGGGAAATTATCCTGGATTAGCTGGGTGGTCTTAAATTAATCACAAGAGTTTTTTTTGTTTTGTTTTTGTTTTAGACGGAGTTTTGCTCTTGTCGCCCAGGCTGGAGTGCAATGGCATGATCTCAGCTCACTGCAACCTCCGCCTCGCAGGTTCAGGCAATTCTCCTGCCTCAGCATCCTGAGTAGCTGGGACTACAGTCGTGCCCCACCATGCCTGGCTAATTTTGTATTTTTAGTAGAGACAGGGTTTCGCCATGTTGGCCAGGCTGGTCTTGAACTCCTGACCTCAGGTGAACCACCCGCCTCAGCCTCCTAAAGTGTTGGGATTACAGGTGTGAGCCACCACGCCCAGCCACAAGGATTCTTAAAATAAGGAGGCAAGGGTCCAAAACAAAAAAAGGTGAAAAGGAGAGTGATTCAGATGGTGACATGCTAGTTTTGAGGATGGAGGAAGGGGCCACAAGCCAAGGAATGTGGGTGACTCTAGAAAGTGAAAAAGGCCAGGAAACAGAGATCCTCCACTAAAGCCTCCAGAAGGAACACAGCCCTACCAACACCTTAAGAAATCAAGGACTTCCAAACTCCAGAACCATTAGACAATAAATTTGTGTTGTTTTAAGCCACTCCGTGGTGATAATTTGTTACAGCAGCAATAGGAGACTAACAGAAAATTTGTCAAATTGGGGGCTTTCCAGTGAAGGAAAACAGGCACTTTCTAGTTGCCAAGCATGACTCAGCCATGGAGAAGACAGAGGTTTACAGTGGAAAACAATGACCATGACATTCAGAGAAAAGTATAGAGGGTAGGGCGAGCCCAGCTGGCATGCCAGTCCACCTGTCCAAATCCTTCACACATTTCCTATTAGGTTTCTTGTAGATTATCAAGATTCCTTGTGCATTCTGTATATTCGTCCCTCGTCAGTTTTAGACATTACAAACATCTCACATTCTGGCATTCTTTTTGCTTTAAACACTCTTATTTTAAACATTCTTATCTGTTATTAAAGTAGATAAATCATCTTTCTTTAGCTGGCATTCTTCTATTACATCTTCTTCTGTTTCTTGATTTTCAATCTTTCTGTGTCATATTGTTTTAGATGTCTCTTTTAAAGAGCATGTAACTAGATTTTATCTCTATTTTTTATCCAATCTGAGATGCTGTAGCTTTGAAATAATGAGTAGTCCATTTTCATGTGTTATAATTTTTTTTTTTTTTTTTTTAGACGGAGTCTTGCTCTGCTGCCCAGGCTGGAGTGCAGTGGCGCAATCTCGGCTCACTGCAACCTCCGCTTCCCGGGTTCACGCCATTCTCCTGTCTCAGCCTCCCGAGTAGCTGGGACTACAGGCGCCTGCCACCACGCCCGGCTAATTTTTTGTATTTTTAGTAGAGACAGGGTTTCACCATGTTAGCCAGGATGGTCTCAATCTCCTGACCACGTGATCCACCGGCCTCGGCCTCCCAAAGTGCTAGGATTACAGGCGTGAGCTACCGTGCCCGGCCCATGTATTATAATTTTTGATAAATCTAGATTTGTATCAACCTGATTATATTTATATTGTGTTCCTATTTACCATGAAGTTTATTTTTGGCTGTTTTATTTTATTTTATTTTTAACCATTTCCCCTTCCTTTTCTAGGCTTTTATTATTTAATTAGGTTTCTTTATTCTTTACTCTCTTTTGTCTTAGAAGGTATATTCAATGTCTTTTGTCTTAATGATTACCCACATATTTTAAAAATTGTGATAAAATGTGTGTAACATAAAACTTGCCATCTTACCCTTTTTTATTAATACTATTTTTTGAGACAGAGTCTTGCCTGGGCTGGAGTGCAGTGGTGCAATCATGGCTAAAAGCATCCTTGACCTCCGAGGCTCAAGCAATCCTCCCACCTCAGCTGGCACATGCTACCATGCCTGGCTAATTTTTTTATTTCTATTTTTTTAAATTTTTTGTGGAGATGAGGTCTCACTTTGTTGCCCAGGCTGGTCTCAAAATTCTGGGCTTAAGCAATCTTCCTGCCTCAGCCTCCCAAAGTGCTGGGATTACAGGCATGAGCCACCACTGCCTAGCCTATCTCAAGTTCAGTGGCATTAAGTACATTCACGTGTTGCGCGACCATCACCGTCATCCATCTCTAGAACTCTTTTCGTCTTGCAAAACTGAGACTCTATACCCCTTGAACAATAACTCCCCATTTCCCCTTACCCCTAGCTCCTAGCAACCACCATTCTGTTTTCTGTCTCTATGAATTTTACTATTCTAGGTATCTCATGTAAATGGAATCATACAGTATTTTGTCGTTCTGTGACTGGCTTATTTCATTTAGAGTAATGTCATCAAGTTTCATCTGTATTGTAGCATGTGTCAGAATTTCCTTTCTTTTTAAGGCTGAATAATATTCTATTGTATGTATATACACATTTTGTTTATCCATTTATCTATTGATGGACATCTGGGTTATTTCCACGTTTTGGCTATCGTGAATGGTGCTGCTAGAAACATAACTGCACAAATATCTCTTTGAGACCCTGCTTTCAATGTTTTTGGATATATACCCAGAAGCAAAACTGCTAGATCATATTATGACTCTACTTTTAATTTGTTCAGGAACTGCCATACTGTTTTCCATAGCAGCTGCATCATTTTACATTCCCACCAATAGTGCACAAGGGTTCCAATTTCTCTCCATCCTCAAAAACACTTGTTATATTCTGTTGTTTTGTTTTTTTATAGTAGCCATCCTAATGGGTGTGATGTCACATTGTGGTTTTGATTTGTATTTCTCTAATGATTTGCAATGTTGAGCATCTTTTCATGTGCCTTTTGGCCACTTGTGTATCATTTTTAGAGAAATGTCTATTCAAGTCCTTTGCCAATTTTTAAATTCGGTTTGTTGTTGTTGAGTTCTAAGAACTCTTTATATATTCTGGATATTCATCTTTCATCAGATATATGATTTGCAGACATTTTCTCCCATTCTGTAGATTGCCTTCTCATTCTCTTGATTGTGTCACTTGATGCACAGAAGTTTTAAATTTTGATGTAATACAATTTATCTATTTTAACTTTTGTTGCCTGTACTTTCAGTATCATATCCAAGAAATCCTTGCCAAATCCAATGGTATAAAGCTTTCCCTGTGTTTTCCTCTAAGAGTTTTATAGTTTTAGGTCTTACATTTAGATCTTTTATTCATTTGAAGTTAATTTCTATATAGGGCATAAAGTAAGCATCACTATACCATATGGATGGCATAAATTCTGTTTCTGATTCTATGTGATATAGCCTTGGGGTTTTAGTTTCTCAGAGAAATTTTTTTACCCAGAGATCTTGTTAGAGACAAACCCCTGCTGACCCTGGAGTAGTGGGCAGGGTTTTATTAGTTCCCTTTTCACCAAGGCACCTAGCTTTATGAATGGGTCTCAGTTTCAACTCCCCTATCATCTTTGAGTACCTGTGTGAGTACTAAATTCCAGCATCCATTAGGAGTTCCTTTAGCATCTCTTTACTGGTCTAATCACACCACACATATTTCCTCCTTATTCCTTGTGCAGGGTCAACTGATGTCCTCATTGTTCCTGTGTTCAATTCATTCTTCATTTCTTTCACCTAAAGATTTCACTTTCTTTCTTGCAAGTTCTGCCATGTATTTAAATCTCTGGTGCTGTTCTATTTTATGTGGTGTTTGTAGTAGGAGGGATTCCATGTGAACCTGTCATGTTGATGGAAACCATAATTCACAATAGCTGCTTATGGTTCATCTTACCCCACCTAACCACAGCCTTTAGAAGGAAGATAGGGACCTTGTCTGATTCACAGTCGTGCTCCCCATACGGAGGTTCTGTATGAGAACCGTGAAGGTGACTTGTTAAAATTCAGTCCATGACCCCAGATGCATTAAATATAATCCAGTAATGTCTCTACCCCATTCTCTCTCACAAAACCAAATCCTTTTTGCTATCATATGATATGCTTTGTGACTTTGTATTTATTTGTGCTCTGTCCACTGTCTATCTCACTCATATGGGCATAGTCCACTCTGTTTTATTCATTATCGGATCTCCAGTGGTTGATGACAGGAGGTCAATAAGAATAAATGAATGAATAAATGGGTCTCCAGCATCCATCCCAACACCAGTCTTGGCCTCAAAATTCAGAAACCCCTGCTGTTTACACTAGTAGAGTTTTACCTTTCAAACAGTGGATGGTCAATAAACTCTCACCAACAACTGGGTGAAAACCCACCCAAGAATGTTCTCTACATCCTCCCAGGCAGAAAACCCCAGGCTCAGGAACAGACCCCTAGTTAGCACCTAGCAGATCCC